>NC_000002.12:55644897-55947928 GCF_000001405.40 Homo sapiens
AAATTTAAAGCATTTTAACTACAAAAGTATTTAAAATATTTTCGTTTTGTGCACTGGGTAAAAACAATTTAAAAGCAGTAATATTCATTCATATATTAATGTTTATCTTACCATGATCACTAAAATTTTTTTTTTTTTTTTTTTGAGACGGAGTCTCACTTTGTCGCCCAGGCTGGAGTGCAGTGGCGCGATCTCGGCTCACTGCAAGCTCCGCCTCCCGGGTTCATGCCATTCTCCTGCCTCAGCCTCCCGAGTAGCTGGGACTACAGGCGCCCGCCACCACGCCCGGCTAATTTTTTGTATTTTTTAGTAGAGACAGGGTTTCACCGTGTTAGCCAGGATGGTCTCGATCTCCTGACCTTGTGATCCGCTCGCCTCGGCCTCCCAAAGTGCTGGGATTACAGGCGTGAGCCACCGCGCCCAGCCGATCACTAAAATTTTAATGTATTACCTACAACAGGTCCATTTTCTTTTCTAGATGCTCGAGGTTTTGAAATAGTTTTGTTCATGATCTGTAATATCTCCTTTTTTGCCACTAGAAGAGAAAAACACAAAAATTATAACTACATAAAACAAATATGATCTGAAATACTGTACTCTTAGTTTTCACGGTATACAATCTAAACCCTGTAGCTTAATAATTGAAGCTTTCCACATCCCTATTACCTTGAAAATTCACTCATATTCTCTTCTCCAAAAATCCCATCTTAAATAGAGTTGTTTAATTTGTAAAAATTGAAATTTCACTGGTAACCCACTTTGGCGTGTATTCATGTGTCCCAAAAACTTAGTTGTGCTTCTTCTTTTTTTAAAATAGATATGGGATCTCACTACGTTGCCCAGGCTGGTCTTGAACTCCTGGGGCTCAAGCAATCTTCCTGCCTTGGCCTCCCAAAGTGCTAGGATGAGCCACCATGCCATGCCTGGCTACTTAGTACTTCTTTTTTTTTGAGACATTTTCCCTCTGTCACCCAGGCTGGCGCGCAATGGCATGATCTCGGCTCACTGTAACCTCTGCCTCCTGGGCTCAAGCGATTCTCTTGTCTCAGCCTCCTGAGTAGCTGGGATTACAGGTATGCACCACCATGCCCGGCTAATTTTTGTACTTTTAGTAGAGACAGGGTTTCACCATGTTGGCCAGGCTGGTCTCGAACTCCTGACCTGAAGTGATCTGCCTGCCTCGGCCTCTCAAAGTGCTGGGATTACAGACATGAGCCACCACACCTGGCCAGTACTTCTTGATCTAAGTTATATGAAATTCCACTTTTTAAAGCAATATTTTATAATAAGCCTAATGAGAACTATAGTTCCCATTAGCAAAGTGGAAAAGAATGAAGGGAGAATCAAGCACACTAGCTCACCTGAAGCTTGTTGAATAGCCTCCATCACAATTTTTATTGGTATTCCAGGTAATTTAATATCAGCCTAATATGGAAAAGTCAAACAATTATATAAATATTGACTCATGGCATTATTTAAATGTTACAAAAATGAAACAAAATGGGTTTTAAAAATACCTGTAATGCAGTTATTCCTTTATTAGTGCCAGCTATTTTGAAGTCCATGTCACCATTGTAATCTTCAATTCCCTTCAGGAATTTAAAAAGTTATGACATAGTTTTAAACAAAAACAAAAGTCAACATATTCACTGTAGAAACATTTCAAAAAACAGCTTTAGAAGTAAACCATATCCTAAGTCCAAACACAAAGCAATGTTTTCTACATTAACTACCACTTCCAATTTGTGACTTTTTAAGCTACAATTATTTTCACCAGAAACATCATTTTATTTTTAGATCATTCCTTTCCCTCATAAATGCCTGAGAATGAATTTATGCTCATCCTAAAGTGAGTCATTATGAATACTTACACTGTGTAAGTATTACTGCAATACTTAAGGGTAAGTATTACTATTTTTTTAAAGTAATCATTTTATTTTATTTTATTTTACTTATTTTGAGACACAGTCTTGCTCTGTTGCCCAGGATGGAGTGCAGTGGCACGATCTTGGCTCACTGCAACCTCTGCCTCCCGGGTTCAAGCAATTCTGCCTCAGCCTGCCAAGTAGATGGGATTACAGGTGTGTGCCACCATGCCCAGGCTAATTTTTGTATTTTTAGTAGAGATGGAGTTTTGCCACATTAGCCAGACTGGTCTGGAACTCCTGACTTCCCAAAGTGCTGGGATTACAGGCATGAGTCACTGTGCCTGGCCTATTACTATTAATATAATATCTATTTTAAATTCATATCCTATAAGATACAAGGTGAACATGCAGAGGAGGAAGGGAAGAACAAGTACCTGTTCTTCAAATACTAGCATTCTTCTAAGCATACGCTAGGTGCAAAGTACATATAGTCTTCACCATTATTTGTTTTTATCTTTTAATTTTTATTTATTTATTTTTAGTCTTCATTATTAAATATTTGAAACCGAGAATATACTTGCCAAAATATCTGTCAGCAAACGATAATCTTCTATTTCACCCTTCTCAGGATCGGTTTTGGTGACCAATCCTATTGCTACGCCTGCAACAGCAGATGAAATTGGAACCCCTATAATTGGGAAAAAGAACAACTGTGGGTAATGTGTACATGAGCCTAAAACAAATATTTATCTATCAATTTTTTTTTTTTTTTGAGAGGGAGTCTCGGTCTGTTGCCCAGACTGGAGTGCAGTGGCATGATCTTGGCTCACTGTAGCCTCTGCTTCCTGGGTTCAAGCAATCCTCCCACCTCAGCCTCCCCTATAGCTGGGATTATAGGCACCCGCCAACACGCCTAGCTAATTTGCTTGTATTTTTAGTGGAGATGGGGTTTCAACCATGTTGGCCCTGTTGGTCTTGAACTCCTGACCTCAGGTGATCTGCCAGCCTCAGCCTCCCAAAGCGCTGGGATTACAAGCGTGAGCCACCGCGCCCAGCAGACATTTACTTTTAATGTAAGTGGATATTGTTGCCTAAATTGACAATCACCGAAGCTGAGTTGGAAGTCTTAAGAGGTCATCTGACTACTTCGTTTGTTTTTGAACATATAATAAAGTTCCCTAAAACAATGTAAACAAGTACTATATCCAGCAAAAACTTCTCTAACAATAGCAAACTTTATAACTTTTAAATTATCCGTTGGTTTGCTTTTTTGCTTCAGGTGTCTTATTTTCTTTTTGTTGGAAAGTAAGCATCTATTTGGTAAATTCTTCCAGCCTGAACTCCTCAGTTTACCTCCCCATGGCAGCTAACATTAGTGTATCCTCCTAGAAAATTTCTGTGCACAAGTATAAATGTAAATATAATCTTTTGTTTTCTTTACTCGTGGCGGCAGACTGTATGCATTTACTGTTCTGCACCTTGCCTTTTTCACTTAATAACATGTCTTGGATATTGACACATACCACCACACAAAGCTCTACTTTATTCCTTTGAATAGTTTTAGTACTCCCTGTATGTTTTACAAGTCACACACAGAAGTGCGATTGCTGAGTCAAAAGGTATGTGCATTTACGTTTGTTAGACTGTCAAACTGCCTTCTAAAGACATAGCATTTTAAACTTTTACCAGTGGTGTAAGAAGGTATATGCTACTCTATATTCTTATTAATTCTTGTCAAATCTTTTGATTTTTCTCAATTTAAAGTGTAAAAAATGGTTATTTTAAATCTGACTTGTTTTTTATGACTGAGGTTGAAAACTATTTCATGTTCATAAACCTATTTATATGTCTTATTTTGAGAACTCCCTGTTCATGGCCTTCAACACTTTTCTACTTGGTTGGCAGTCTTTTTATTACTGATTTTCTTTCAATATGGACAGAGCTTTATTAAAATGTAAAGATAAAATATTATGTTTAATAACATATAAATAAAATATTTTATTTCCTAGTTCGTTGACTTTGCTTATGGTCATTAGTTTTCTGTGTAGGATTTTTAGTTTACGTAATCATGGTTTCTGGGTTTTGCTTAGCAGAGCTTTTCTTCTCCAAGATTTTGATAAAACCTACCATCTTTCATTTGTTTAAAAATGTTTAAGTTTTGATCACTTGGAATTTACTTTGGTATAAAGGAGTGTGGATCTCATTTCATTTTCTCTAAGCAACCTCATCTATACTTACGATTTTAACCACCATCTATAATGTTGATGACTTAAAAATCTATCCCTCCTGTCCAGCTATCTGTGCCAAACCCTGGACCTGTATTAGTAAACTCCCTGTCAGACATCTCCAGCTAAATGTCCCCAAAGCACCTTAAATATATATTCAAAATTGAGCCAGGCCCAGTGGCTCATGCTTGTAATCCCAACGCTTTGGCAGGCCAAGATGGGAGGATCACTTGAACTCAGGAATTTGAGACCAGCCTGGGCAATATATTGAGACCTCATCTCTATAAATAATAATAATGATGATGATGAAAGAAATACATATATGTTCAAAATTGAATCACTGTCAAAAAATCCTTTTCCTCCTGCATTCTTTGGTTGAAAGCAACTAAGACACTCATGCCAGAATCAACATTTCTTTCCTCATTTCCTATATCCCATCAAGTCACAAAGATCTGTTTATTTTTTTAGAAAGCTGTCCTTTACCCTAAATATTAAAATACCTATTGTAACTTTTTAGTCTGAGTCCATATCATTTCTTGCCCTGGCAACAATCTCCCTGTCTGGCTTCCCAGATTTTACTTTCTCTCTTTGCTTCTTAGTCTCTCCCATCTCATTCCGCAGGGCTATTCATCACTTAAGCTGGGAAAAACTGTTTGGAAAAAACAAAAGCAGATTCAAATCATGCCACTGTTTTCCATAAAATCCTTCAAGTTCCCCATTGCCTACTTTCAGGAAATTTTTGTACATATTCTGTGGTCAAATAAATTTGGAAAAATATTACATGTCCTATTCCTAGAGAGTCAGTATTCGGATTAGCTTATTAAAGTCTATTTAATCCATATTAAATAAACCTGCTTAACCCTGCTGAAACTTAACTTTAGAACAGAATAAACTTTTTCATGGTATACAATAATCAATGTCCTGTGGAACACTATTCCATGGAATACTGAATTGGAAAAATGCTGGCTTTAAGTCCAAACTCCTTAGCGTAACAATAACCTTCAGATTGTACAATGTGTGGCTTTCTTGAGGCACTGCCTCTCGAGTCCCTACCTCAAACTCCACTTCAAATAGGAGATTTTATGTTGGGGAAAGAAGGATTGGTAAAGAATTCTTACTTAAAAAAAATCCTGCCCTCTCTCCCTCTCTCCACCTCTACCTCTACCTCTACCTCTACCTCTACCCACGGTCTCCCTCTCCCTCTCTCCATGGTTTCCCTCTGATGCCGAGCTGAAGCTGGACGGTACTGCTGCCTGATTCTCCTGCCTCAGCCTGCCGACTGCCTGCGATTGCAGGCGCGCGCCGCCACGCCTGACTGGTTTTCGTATTTTTTTGGTGGAGACGGGGTTTCGCTGTGTTGGCTGGGCTGGTCTCCAGCTCCTAACTGCGAGTGATCCGCTAGCCTCGGCATCCTGAGGTGCCGGGATTGCAGACGGAGTCTCGTTCACTCCATGCTCAATGGTGCCCAGGCTGGAGTGCAGTGGCGTGATCTCAGCTCGCTACAACCTTCACCTCCCAGCAGCCTGCCTTGGCCTCCCAAAGTGCCGAGATTGCAGCCTCTGCCCGGCCGCCACCCCGTCTAGGAAGTGAGGAGCGCCTCTTCCCGGCCGCCATCCCATCTGGGAAGTGAGGAGCGTCTCTGCCCGGCCGCCCATCGTCTGAGATGTGGGGAGCACCTCTGCCCTGCCGCCCCGTCCGGGATGTGAGGAGCGTCTCTGCCCGGCCGCCCCGTCTGAGAAGTGAGGAGACCCTCCGCCCGGCAACCGCCCAGTCTGAGAAGTGAGGAGCCCCTCCGCCCGGCAGCCGCGCCGTCTGAGAAGTGAGAAGCCCCTCCGCCCAGCAGCCACCCCGTCTGGGAAGTGAGGAGCGTCTCTGCCCGGCAGCCACCTCGTCCGGCAGGGAGGTGGGGGGGTCAGCCCCCCGCCCGGCCAGCCGCCCCGTCCGGGAGGGAGGTGGGGGGATCAGCCCCCCGCCCGGCCAGCCGCCCCGTCCGGGAGGTGAGGGGCGCCTCTGCCCGGCCGCCCCTACTGGGAAGTGAGGAGCCCCTCTGCCTGGCCGGCCGCCCCGTCCAGGAGGGAGGTGGGGGGGTCAGCCCCCCCGCCCAGCCAGCCGCCCCGTCCGGGAGGTGAGGGGCGCCTCTGCCCGGCCGCCCCTACTGGGAAGTGAGGAGCCCCTCTGCCCGGCCAGCCGCCCCGTCTGGGAGGTGAGGGGCGCCTCTGCCCGGCCGCCCCTACTGGGAAGTGAGGAGCCCCTCTGCCCGGCCACCACCCCGTCTGGGAGGTGTGCCCAACAGCTCATTGAGAACGGGCCATGATGACAATGGCGGTTTTGTGGAATAGAAAGGGGGGAAAGGTGGGGAAAAGATTGAGAAATCGGATGGTTGCCGT
Organism: Homo sapiens; assembly: GCF_000001405.40. Taxonomy (NCBI): domain Eukaryota; kingdom Metazoa; phylum Chordata; class Mammalia; order Primates; family Hominidae; genus Homo; species Homo sapiens. The sequence goes on from NC_000002.12 coordinate 55,651,378, forward strand.
GTCTGTGTAGAAAGAGGTAGACGTGGGAGACTTTTCATTTTGTTCTGTACTAAGAAAAATTCTTCTGCCTTGGGATCCTGTTGATCTGTGACCTTACCCCCAACCCTGTGCTCTCTGAAACATGTGCTGTGTCCACTCAGGGTTGAATAGATTAAGGGCGGTGCAAGATGTGCTTTGTTAAACAGACGCTTGAAGGCAGCATGCTCCTTAAGAGTCATCACCACTCCCTAATCTCAAGTACCCAGGGACACAAACACTGCGGAAGGCCGCAGGGTCCTCTGCCTAGGAAAACCAGAGACCTTTGTTCACTTGTTTATCTGCTGACCTTCCCTCCACTATTGTCCTGTGACCCTGCCAAATCCCCCTCTGTGAGAAACACCCAAGAATGATCAATTTAAAAAAAAAAAAAAAATTAAAAAAAAAAAATCCTATTTCTGTATAAAGCTATCCTTCCTCTGACTAGAAACAACTAGGAAATAAAGAGAAGACAAAGATAAAAAGGAAAGTCAAAAAAAAAAAAAAAAAAACAATAACCTTCAACATATGGTTCTACTTTATTACCTTAACACCTCTTTCGAGTAGATTCCTGAAACACACTACACTGTAACTTCTTAACTTTGCACATGCTGGTCCTTTCATGTGAAATACAGGCCCTGCTCCTAATATGCCCAGTCAACAATTACTCAGCCTTTAAAATCAGATGAAATGTAGCAGTCTCTCTCAGCCAATTATGCTCAGCCTAGTTCAACAATCACCCTTACACATATTTGTATTATTACCTCTTCAATCTATTAGTATCTTTTTGTTTTCAAACCTTTAAGCTTTTTCAAAAACTGGGTACAATTTGCATCCCTGGGGCATAGGACAGTGCCTGACTTAGGGCAGGGCAAGCCCTACTCTAGCAATTCAAATTCATATTTGAATTGAACTGCATACCTTGTATCGGCCCATCCCACAGGACTTGACATTCATTCTTATCAAATTTAATTTTTTTGAGGTTTTTGGCTTTAACGCTTCAAATTTAATTTTTAAACTATTAAGCTCCATATTTTTTTATCCTGCTCAATTTTGTCAGTCACCCATTCCTTTTAATCAGTATTTTTATTGGCAGTATTTTTACTGGCAGGCCAGTGTTCTCAGTCAAGTCAACATTGAAAGAGACAGGGCTGAAATAAGCATCCTCACGTCTTCAACTTGAGATCATTCTCTGACCTGTTGATCAGATTAAGCAGTCCCTTTGCTCATCCCTTAACCAGTATGAATGGTGCACCTATTATTTAGTCTAAATTTCTGCATCATTTACACAAGATATCATAAAGATATCATAAACCGTAAAGCTGAATTATAGATATATCACACCAACAGCAATACCCTCTACTGCAAATGCAGTAATTTCTTCAAAACAGAAAGTGAATTAACTATGGCATGACTTATTTTAGAGAAGTCCCTTCTGGCTTCTTTCTGTAGTCCCTTTCCTTTTTTGTTTTCTTGAGACAGAGTCACTCTGTTACCCAGGCTGGAGTGCAGTGGCACGATCTTGGCTCACTGCAGCCTCCGCCTCCTGGGTTAAAGTGATTCTCTTGACTCAGCCTCCCAAGTAGCTGGGATTACAGGCGTGGGCCACCACACCCGGCTAATTTTTGTATTTTTAGTAGAGACGGGGTTTCACTATGTTGGCCAGGCAGGCCTCAAACTCCTGACCTCAAGTGATCCACCCACCTCAGGCTCCCAAAGTGCTGCAATTACAGGAATGAGCCACTGTGCCTGGCCCCTTTCCTTTCTAAACTACTTATAAACCATTCTTTTTTTAAGTTCTTAAGAGTCTTGTTGAGGGTCACGATCAAGTTCATTGGGTTATACTTTATAGAAAATACTTTTCTTCTCTTCCAATAATAAGAACGTTTTCTGTCCTTGGGATACTAGTCTCCACGATTTCTCAATGACTGCCATCATACTTCAGTAATCTAATCCTGAAGTTCTCATTATAGTCAAGGATGAGTTTTTGTCTAGACCAAAAGATCTGAATTCATTTAAAAATGGCAGGTAAAGACTCCCCTATGATGTCATCTTTTATTTTTCAGTTTACTTTTTTCAAGATTTGTTCAGTGTTTTCCAGTATGAGATTTGGAAGACTGAGAAACACAAGTGCCATGAAGTCTAAGACTGTTTTGTTCATCACCATGTCCTAACAACTTAGATCAGTGCTTGGCACATAGGTGCCACAAAGTAAAGATTTGTAGAGTGAAAGAATGAAGATGAAAATAGTAGCAGCAGTATTTTACCAGCTACCTTAAATATCAGATTATGTTTTCCTTTATTGAATAAATTACAAAAGTACCTTTTGCATTTTTTGCTTTGGCCTGTTTTTAGTTTCAATTTTTCTAGATAATATTATTATATATTCAAACCATGTTTTCATTTAATCCTTTGTTATTCACGGCCCTCTTTTCTATCTTTCATGCCAGTACTGTAAATGTGTTAAGTTATCAGAGAAATCCTTTTGTGGCCTCTTTAGTGTCTTTAGGTTCCTTCTCTCTTTCTTCTCGAATAGCAGCATTCATGACAGTTTGGCACGAATTGGTTTTAAGAATCTCCTAGCGGCCAGGTGTGGTGGCTCATGCCTGTAATCCCAGCACTTTGGGAGGGCAAGGTGGGTGGATCACGAGGTCAGGAGTTCGAGGTCAGCCTGGCCAATATGGTGAAACCCCGTCTCGACTAAAAATACAAAAATTAGCCAGGCGTGGTAGCACGCACCTGTAATTCCAGCTACTCAGGAGGCTGAGGCAGAAGAATCACTTGAACCTGGGAGGCGGAGGTTGCAGTGAGCCGAGACTGCACCACTGCACTTCAGCCTGGACAACAGAGCGAGACTCTGTCTCAAAAAAAAAAAAAAAAAAAATCTCCTAGCATAATGCTTTCGTTTTTGGCGTTTCAGACCTGGGGATTATAATGAAACATTTGTAGTCCGCCTTCCTAAAATTGTGTGTACACGCCTGAGTGGCATTGTTCTCTTGGCTTGTATAAATCGACTGAAAGATTACAGTTGCTTTCTCTTATGATTCCTAATAGTACTTACTAATCAAAACTTCCTTGGTGATTGGAATCAATTCTGGAGCTCTCTACCTTTTGGAAGGAAATAAAGTTTACTGGGTCACCAATGCAAATAAAAATTTTTCAGTGTACTGCTTTTAGCTAAAAATAAGAATTCCAGCAGATATCTGGATATCTGAAGCTCTACTTTTCAGCCATCTTGCCTCTGGCTTGATTTGGCCATCTGTAATCTGACTTTGAGTTTTACTAAAACCCAAATTTAAAGAAATCTTATATTTTATACTAACAGGTGTGTATAAAAGGTTAGCATTTTTTTTTAATCTTTTTTGTAGAGATGAGGTCTTGCTATGTTGCCCAGGCTGGTCTTGAACTCCCAGCCTCAAGTGAGCCTCCTGCCTTGGCCTCCCAAGGCTCATGCCTGGGATTACAGGCATGAGCAATATCAGCAGTTTTGAGACATAATTCTTTTACCTGAATCCATTAATGCTAAACTTCCGCCACATGCAGATGCCATAGAAGATGACCCTATAGAAAGAAAAATAACTGCTTTATATTAAACTGATTTTTTTAATGTAGAAAAGTGTTACTATTGGTTATTTCCTTATAAATATTCAGTTACAATACAAATATTCAATAGTCTCTTCTTTTTAAAAGCAACTAAGGCAAGGTCTTTTAAGCTATAAACTATGGGGCTGCAAGGTCCAATATGGTAGACATTAGCCATAAGTGGTGACTTAAAGTTAAATCAATTAAAATAAATTTAATTCTTCAACTAGATAGGACAGATAAAGAGGATTTCTATCATCACAAAAAGTTTTATTTTACTATTATTTTTTGAGATGGAGTCTCAGCCTGCCACCACGCCCAGCTAATTTTTTGTATTTTTAGTACAGACAGAGTTTCACCAAGTTAGACCCTTTGGACCTTATGATCCACCCGCCTTGGCCTCCCAAAGTGCTGGGATTACAGGTGTGAGCCACCAAGCCCAGCCTATCACAAAAAGTTCTATTGCATAGTATTGCTACAGATATTCTAATAGACTTCCTAGTGCATATCTTTTGTCTTGCTTATCAGAAGTAGTTAAAGATATAGGGCTTTGGCTCTCTCATTCTCATAAGCCCATTAATTTAGTCACACCCAGTAGAGAACCACAAAGTCTTTAGTTAAAATTCTGAGTTTACCTTGGTATTTTTTCCTCAAAATCTGTGACTATCTGATTTACGTCTGTTACACCTTTAAGAACTCCATGACCTTTCTGCCTTTAATGACTGCACCGTACCTTGACCCATGGACAAATTTTTTATTTAAATGTGACCTCTTGGCCTAGACTCCCTCTGTGATGTACACTTATTATTCATGTGGATATGTGACAGGTATCTCCTGCCTAATGATCACTCTATTTTGGCCCTTCCTCTCTCTGTTAACCTTGTTCTGTGGTTTGTTTGTAAAAATAAAGAAACAAGCCAAACTGGATCTACTATAACAGATAAAGAAAAACATTTGTTTTATATTGCTTTCAAAACAACTCATTAGCTAAGAACAGAGATTAAGACAAGTATTTGATTAACTCAATACATTTTTCTCTTGCAACAAACTTGGGTTCTGTAGTAATAAACAAAATGTAACATTACATTTGAAAACTTAATAATAGAATAGGGAATATGGTCTTTTCTACTATGAAAGAAGTATTTCAATACCATACCATTTGACTCTAGGACTTCAGATGTAACTCTTATGGTGAAAGGAAAATCTCGGGGAATAACAGGATACAAAGCTTTCTCAGCAAGAGCACCTAAATTAGAATAGAAAACAATAAGTAAAAAATGTATTAAGTCTCTGTAAGAATACCGTATTAAGTTTACAGACCTGTACTTACCATGCCCAAGTTCTCTTCTATTTAAACCAGTGACTTTGCCAATTTCATTAGTTGCATAAGGAGGAAACTTAAAAAAAAAAAAACACAAACACACATATACAATTGACATAGAAAGATGTCCAAGTTATATTACCAAAATAATAAAACAACTTATAGAACAGTAGAATCTCATTTTTGTTTTTTAAAAAAGTACATTCATAAATATACAGAAAACGTATGATATAAATTTAACATACATACCAAATGGTTAAAAGTAGCTATTTCAAGTGTGTACATGGATTAGGATGTGGGAACTGGATGGGTATGGGGATTTACACCATAAATTTCCATTACATTTAAATTATTAACAATAACGTTATATTTTTGTAATAAGTAAAAATATGTACATATTTAAAAAGTACACATTGAAGAATCACAGATTTTTTTCCATAGCAAAGCCCACATTTATTTCACTAAATTGAAATTTAATTTACACTGATACTTTTTAGAGTTATCTCTCTCCACTAACTTTTTCAGATATGAAACAAAATACATGAATGGGAAAGTTGCATATTTTGAAGTATTTCTCAAGCAAAACACAATGACAAAAATGTATGGAGGAAACAGCTCTTTTCCATAAGGGTTTTATTTTAGCCAGTGGTTGCAAACTGTTTTATTTGGTGGATATGTTACCTTGAAGGAATATGAATTAGTTGTGATCATTTGACAATAGGAAGACTTCCCATAAAAATCTGTAATTTCAGGCCGGGCGCAGTGGCTCATGCCTGTAATCCCAGCACTTTGGGAGGCCAAGGCAGGCAGCTCACTTGAGCTCAGGAGTTTGAAACTAGCCTGGCCAACATGGTGAGACCCTGTATCTACTAAAAATAGAAAAATCAGCAGGGCGTGGTGGCGCATGCCTGTAATCCCAGCTACTCATGAGGCTGAGGCACAAGAATTGCTTGAACCCAGGAGGTGGAGGTTGCAGTAAGCCGAGACTGCACCACTGCACTTCAGCCTGTGGAACAGAGACCCTTTTTTTAAAACAGAAAAAAAAAATTCCCCCAAATATCTGTAATTCCAGATTAACAAGAATTTTTTTTTTGTTTTTTCTTTTTTTTTAAGACAGAGTTCTGCTCTTGTTGCCCAGGCTGGCGTGCAATGGTGCAATCTCGGCTCACTGCAACCTCTGCTTCTGGGTTCAAGCGATTCTCCTGCCTCAGCCTCCCAAGTAGCTGGGATTACAGGCATGCACCACCATGCCCAGCTAATTTTGTACTTTTAGTAGGACAGAGTTTCACCATGTTGGTCAGGCTGGTCTTGAACTCCTGACCTCAGGTGATCCGCCCGCCTCGGCCTCCCAAAGTGCTGGGATTACAGGCATGAGCCACCGCTCTTAAATGCAGTGGATGGAGCAGGAATCTGATTAAACCTCTGGATCTAGCGGTCAATTTGCAGGAAATAGAGAGGGGGGAGGAACATGTTGAATTGCACCATGAGTGTACAATCAGCAACACCCAGACTGTGGGAGACTATAAGTCAAATGGCTATGGGGCTTCAATAGATAGACTGCAAAAAAAAAAAAAAAAAAAAAAAAAAAAAAAAAAAAAAAAAAAAAAAGAATGTAATGGAGGAGAAATGTATAGATTTAAAAAGACTTAAAGAAATATCAGGCCGGGCATAGTGGCTTATGTCTGTAATCCCAGCACTTTGGGAGGCTGAGGCAGGCAGACTGCTTGAGCCCAGGAGTTTGAGACCAGCCTGGACAACATGGCAAAACCCCATTTTGTAAAAAATCTAAAAATTAGCGGGGTGTGGTGGTGCCTGTAGTCCCAGCTACTTGGGGGACTGAGGCAGGAGGATCACTTAAGCCTGGGAGATGGAGGTTGCAGTGAGCCAAGATGGTGCCACTGCACTCCAGCCTGAGTGACAGAGTGAGACTCTGTCTCAAATAAACTAAAACAAAAAAGGAAATACCAAATGTTTTAAAGAAAAAAACAAAACTAAACTATAGTATCTAAAAATGGAGCCAGGAAATCCAAGATGATTACTGTAAAACTTAGGAGAGTAGTTACCTACTTTTAAGAGACGACGGGTATTGAGATTGGGATGAAGAACATGGAGGGGCTTTTGAGGTGGCTGGCAATGTTAAATTTCCTGACTTGGGTGGTGGTTACAAGGATATTTGCCTTATAAAAATGTATTAAGCCATCCTTTGTTTTATACAGTTTTCAGTACCTATGCTTTATTTTATAATAAAGAGATTCACAAAAATAAAATATGGCAATAATGGCCCATATCCTTCTCCAGCTCCCTCCCCAACCCCCTTACCCAATAATCAGCTAGACCTCCATTTTGCACAGCTGCCCTTTTAAGACTGCCATGTGCTCTCCAGCTCATGACAAAGAACCTGCTTTACTCAATTATAATTCCTTTCTGGCTTCTGTAGCACCAGGCTATATCCAGAACAGGATATTTATAAGGGATTCAAGACCTGTATGAATCTTGATGTTTATGGATATTCTGTAGCATATAATTTCTACAAAAAAATGTTCTCTATTGATTACAGCAGATTCAGCAAGAGTGAAATGCTGAGACTCTGGGCAGCCAACAAGGGTTACACAAAAACGAAATGACTTGCTACTTTACATAAGTCTCTCATGTTGTATTCTTTTTCTTTTTATTTTTTGAGACAGGGTCTCACTCTGTTGCCCAGGCTGAAGTGCGGCGGAGTGATAATGGCTTGCTGCATTCTCAGCCTCCTGGGCTCAAGCAATCCTCCCATCTCAGCCTCCCGAGTAGCTGGGACTATAGGCACATGCCACCATGCTTGGCTAATTTTTAGATCTTCTTGTAGAGACAGGATCTCACTATGTTGCCCAAGCTGGTCTTGAATTTCTGGGCTCAGCAATCCTCCCTCCTCAGCCTCCCAAAGTGCTGGGATTACAGGTATGAGCTACCATGCCCTGCTCTCCATGTACATTCTTCAAATAATAAAATTAAAAGTACTTTATATTAGGTCTGGTCCCTTAGGATTTGTTGTGAATAAAGTCAATCACAAACTCAATTATCTATAATCATCTCATATAAAGTAACTTAATACTAAACGTCTCATCTTTTACTACTAATCAACTGAGTATAAATATGAACATTTCAATGAGCAAACAGAAGGTGATTTGGGAGTTGAGGTATTTAAAAAACTCTACTTTTGTTTGACAGACGTGTATACAGGCATGACTTTTTTTTTTTTAACCTAAAACGATATTGTCTGCTATACTTTAACTTTTACGTATGACTTAGAACAGGAAGTTGTTGATTAGAAAAATACCACTTATCTCTCTAAAGTACTTATCTCTTATCTCTCTAAAGTAGTACTTTAGAGAGTGCTAAATACTCTCTAAAAATACTACTTACATCTCTCTCTACTTATCATTCTACACAAAGCTTGCCATGCCTTCTGTAAGCAATAAAATAGTAGCCCCAAATTGACCTTAATAGATATATGATAAAACTAGAAAAGTAAAATATTATTGGTAAAACCCAGGTAGTGGATATATGGATAGTCACTGTAAAGTTCTTTCAACTTTACTGTATCCTGGAAGTTTTTAAAAATAAAATGTTCCAGCCTGAGCAACATGGCAAAACCCCATCTCTAGAAAAAAATAGAAAAATTAGCCAATTGTGGTTGCACAAGCCTGTAATCCCAGCTACTTGGGAGGCTGAGGCGGGAGGATGTCTTGAGCCTGGGAGGGAGAGGTTGCAGTGAGCTGAGACTGCACCACTCCACTCCAGCCTGGACAACAGGGTGAGACCTCGTCTCACAAAAATTTATTAATTTATTAATAAAATTTTGAGGAAAAAAATTCACCTTACCTCGTAGTGCAGCATGAAATTTTTATCTTTTATCCCACTAAAAATAAAAGGCATAATATTAAAAACATCATAGGGAAAAAACATATTTATTTCAAAACACAACTAAAACAGATTTAAGGGGATTTTACAAAAGAACTAGGTGTTAATGAAAAATCAGACTGAAACTGAAAACCAAAGAATTAATTAGAAGGATGATTGTGAGATGATATTTTCTTCTGGGGCTTATGAATGAATTGTACAGATTTAGGAAACCAATTTTACTTTAAATATAAGTCCTTAAATATCCAGATTTGAACACTAAGACAATAGATGTATTTTTAAGCATTAATGACTACTGAGAGAATCCTAAATGCTATACCCACGTTAGTTAAATCTCAGAGCTACAATGCTTCTCCCAGTCAATATGTGAAACGAAGAAAAAGTCCTGGGATGGGGCAGAATCTGCATGATCATAAACTGTAGCTTTGGAAAAAGAAATCTAAAAACCAAACTCCTTCAGAGGACTAAAGGAATCACAGATTTGGTGAGCCAGAGAGGATTATAGCAGGTCACTGGCCCAGTTCATTTGATAAGAAATAGAAACCAAAGGCCAGTGTGGCTGAGTGATGATGTGTGCCCCTTTATTTACACAGGTTATAGACCTAAGACTAGAATATATGGAGGTACCCTGACCAAGCCCAGTGTTCTGCATTCCACCTTCACACACACAGCTGCACTGTCGATTCTATCAGATACATGGAAAACAATTACAGTGGCTACTAGGAATTATCCTCATCAGTTGGGCATCAGGAAAAGGAGGGCCGAGCCTTGTGGTCTTCTGAGACCCTTAACCAGGAACAGGAAGTAGCCCTACTAGGCACTGAGGAAAATAAAGAACTGGCTATGAGAGTCAAGACTCTATGCAATAATGCTGGTGAGGACTGCAATAGAGATTCTTTTTTTTTTTTTTTTTTTTTTTTGAGACAGAGTCTCGCTCTGTCGTCCAGGCTGGAGCGCAGTGGTGTGATCTCACTGCAACCTCCACCTCCTGGGTTCACGCCATTCTCCTGCCTCAGCTTCCCGAGTAGCTGGGACTACAGGTGCCCACCATCACGCCCAGCTAATTTTTGCATTTTCAGTAGGGACGGAATTTCACCGTTTTAGCCAGGATAGTCTTGGTCTCCTGACTTCAGGATCCACCCACCTCGGCCTCCCAAGTGCTGGGATTACAGGCCAGGCGTGAGCCACCACGCCCGGCCTGCAATAAAGATTCTTATCATCAGAATTGATTTGGCCTGCAATAAAGATTCTTATCATCGGAATTGATTAGCATGATTTTACTGTTGACTTTTTAGGGGCAGAGGAGGACAGCCAAGTATTTCTGAACACAAAATCACAACGTGGCTTGGGATTCGACAAGGCTTTTCATTAACGAGGTTTTTCATTAACAGCCTCCAGATTATTTTCAGCAATGGGAGCTTTCGTGTATTCATTTGCTCTCGTTTCTAATAGAAAAACCAATCCATTCAAGATTACCAAGGAAGCCTGTCCTAAGAAATCATTCTAGAGACAGAGAACAAACTAAATATACTCACATTAAAGAATTAAATGCTTTACTAATATTTGTTCCAAATCAGTGATTTAGAAGACAATCTAGCACACACACAAAATCCTTTGAAATCATGATGATGTAAACAGAAAAATGAAGTACAAAAACACAGGTTAAAAAAAGTAACAATAATTAATAATATACCACATAAGCTTTAATTATATAATAGAACATCATAAAACGTAACAAACATCTTAAAAACATAACTTACTTTATAGCTGTTATAACTTGATCTGACTTAATACCAGATTCTAATGAATCAAATGTAACGGTACAAAGCACCTAAAAAAGAAAAAGAATTCCTCAGGCTTTAATATACTAACCACAAAGATGAAAACTAAAAATACTTGAAGAATCCAACTAACTCTTAAAAAAATGAGATAAGTACATCCTACACAAAGCTTGCCATGCTACTAACTGCATTAAACACTTATTTATTCTATAAATATTCATACTATGTGTAAACCTCAATAATCCAAAGTTCTAACATCACATAGACTACATATGTAAAGCACTGCTCTAGGAGTGCTGGGGAAGGAAGGCAGGAAGAGAAAGCAATGTTTTTAAGAACTATGTAGGAGAGTACGCTGAGGAAGCCTTAATACAGGTTCAGCCAATACAACTGCCTGCTTAAAATTAAAAAAAAATCAGGCCAGGCGTGGTGGCCCACACCTGTAATCCCAGCACTTTGGGAGGCTGAGGCGGGCAGATCACAAGGTCAGGAATTCGAGATCAGCCTGGCCGATACGGTGAAACCCTGTCTCTACTAAAAATACAAAAATTAGCTGGGCATGGTGGCATGTGCCTGTAGTCCCAGCTGCTTGGGAGGCTGAGGCAGAAGAATAGCTCGAATCCAACAGGCGAGGTTGCAGTGAGCCAAGATGACACCACTGCACTCCAGCCTGGGCAACAGAGCGAGACTCTGTCTCAGAAAAAGAAGAAAAGAAAAATAAATTAAGAAAATCAGTCTTCTTTGTAGAGACATAACATAATCCAGACACTCTACAATGTATCATTCACAACATCCAGAAAACAACCTACAATGAAACAGGAAACAGGGCCCATTCTCAAGAATAAAGACCAGGAATGGAGGCTGATTCTGAGTTGATTAAGATGGTGGATTAGCAGACAAAAGATTTTTTTTTTTTTTTTTGGAGACGGAATCTCACTCTGTCACCCAGGCTGGAGTACAGTGGCACGATCTCGGCTCACTGCAACCTCCATCTCCTGGGTTCAGACGATTCTCCTACCTCAGCCTCCTGAGTAAGTAGCTGGGACTACAGGTGCGTGCCACCACGCCCAGCTAATTTTTTGTATTTTTAGTAGAGATGGGGTTTCACTGTGTTAGCCAGTATGGTCTCGATCTCCTGACCTCGTGATCCATCTGCCTTGGCCTCCCAAAGTGCTGGGATTACAGGCGTGAGCCACCACGCCCGGCGACAAAAGATTTTTAACAGCTATTATAACTATACTCAAAGGACATAAAAAAGAATAAGTGGAAATTCTAGAATTGAAAACTTTAATATCTCATAATGGAGGGGAGATGGCAAGAGTCAGTGAGCATGAAGATGAATGAACAGAAATTGCCCAATTTGCAGAAGAGAGGAAAGAGAACATAGTTGCAGTGACCTATGGGACAGTATCAAAAGGATAACATATGTGCAGTTGCAATTCTAGAAGAAGAGAGAGAATGAGGCATGAAAAAATATTTGAAGAAATAATCGATGAAAATTCTCAAGTTTGGTGAAAGACATCAATGTACAGATTTAGGCTCAGGACACTTTTAGCAGGATAAACTCAAAGGAAACCACACCTTTCAATCATAATGCTGAAAACCAAAGATGAGGTGCAAATCTTGAAAGCACCCACATGAAAAAAATAATAGATAAGGAACAATGATTTGAATGGGTCCTTTTCATCAGAAAAACATGGAGAACAAAAAACACTGAAACGGCTGGGTGCGGTGGCTCATGCCTGTAATCCCAGCACTTTAGGAGGCTGAGGCAGGTGAATCACGAGGTCAGGAGATAGAGACCATCCTGGCTAACATGGTGAAACCCCGTCTCTACTAAAAAATACAAAAAAAAAATTAGCCGGGCGTGGTGGCAGCCGCCTATAGTCCCAGCTACTTGGGAGGCTGAGGCAGGAGAATGGCAGGGGCATGAACCCAGGAGGCGGAGCTTGCCGTGAGCCGAGATCACACCACTGCACTCCAGCCTGGGCGACAGAAGGAGACTCCATCCCAAAAAAAGAAAACTCATAGGATGATATTAAAGGAAGTCTTGTCAGAATGAAGGGAAATGATACTGGATCCATACTTGGATCTTCAGAAAGGAATAAAAAGCACCAGAAATGGTAAATATGTGGGCCAATATAAAAGCCTATCTTTTTCTTATTACTTCTTTAAAATACATGATTGTATGAAAGTTATAACACCACCTTGTGGGGGTTTATGACACATGTAGATGTAACTGATAAGACAACTGCAATATAAAGGATAGAAGGGGCAGGAAATGCACCTAAATGGTTGCGAAGTTTCTTCATTTTATGTTAAGTGGTACAAAATTAATTCTAAAAAGACTGTGAGGGTCTTATGCCTGTAATACCAGCACCTTGGGAGGCGAAGGTAGGAGGACTGCGGGAGCCCGGGAATTCAAGACTAGCCTGGGCAATATGGCGAAACCCTGACTCTACAAAAATTTTTTACAATATATAAATAAAAAGTTGTGAGAAGTTATGGATGTATACTGTTATTTCTATAGTAATCACTGGAAAATAACTCAGAAGTACAGCTAAAAAATAAATAGGCAAATTAAATTAAAATTCTAAAAACAATTCAATTCATTCAAAAAGAAGGCTGAAAGTAAAAAATAGAGAAACAAAAAACAGAAGGGCAAAAGAAAAACAAATAATAAAATGACGGTAAATTCAATCACATCAATGATTAAATTTAACATGAATGGACTAAGTACTACAGTTACAAAGCCAGAGATTGTCACAATGGATAACAAAAGTATGCAGAACATCTTAATAAAGGCATTTTAAAAACTTGACTAAAGAGCATAAAAGAAAACCTGAATCAAAGGTGACACTGACTCTATTCATTGTAGACTATAACTTAAATTGTAAAAGTATGATTCTTCTCTCAGATTAATATAAAAATTTAGTATAATTATAATTATAAATCCTAGAAGGATATTTTGAGAACTTGATATAATACTAAAATTCAAATAAAGGAACAAATGTATCTAAATTTTAAGATAATTTTGAGGGGATTGAACAAACAGGGAAGATGACTTGCTTCTCAGATATTAAAATATACCCCTAAATCATAATAATTAAAATAGTTTGACAGTGGCCCAGAAAATTCACGTAACAATGAAAAAGGATATAGTTTAACATGCATTTATAAACTTTGACTATCATATGGTGACATCACAAGTCATTGAGAAAAATAAAGTATTAGTAAATAATGTATAATTGGCTCACTATGGAGGTCTTCCTTTCATACAACGTGTAGGAATAAATTCAAAGATCGACTAATGGTCTACATTCGACAGCTAAAACTAGAAAGCTAATAGAAAAAGTAGGTGAGTAACTTTGTGACTTTGAGGTACAGAAGAATTTATATCAGAACTAAGTTTTCAGGTTTACTCTAAACATAGCAGACTACCACAGGCAAAGTTAAAAGGCAATAAATAAAGAAGGAGACATATATATATAAAGTTTGTTACCAAAAGGAATTAATATTTAAAACACTTCAGAAATTACTACAAAATAGCAGGTAAAACACAGTAAACCATATTAAAAAAAGAAAAACTGGCCAAAGGATATGGACAGAAAATTCATAAAAGGGCAAACCTGAGGCAAGGCCACCACACTGCACAACTCTAGGGGACAACATTCATGTGGAAATAGTGCCCTGGAGGTGTGCAGTTCCCCAGGGCATGGTTTATGCAGTGACCATGTTGACTGGCTGTTATATAAATAATGCTGAGCCTCACTAGTAATCAGGAAAATAAAATTAAAGCAAAAAGTTACTACTTGGTGCCTATCAGATTGATAGAATTAAAGAAACAATTAATGTGGGAAAGGAGTATAAAGCATAATATGGTACACAGAACAATGAATACAGATGTAGGTAAATATTAATAAACGAAAAGAAGGAGAACCAGAAGGCTACCTGTTAAATACAAGAGTGGGTGCCTATGTAAAGAATAAAGAATAGAAAAAGAATAGAACTGTACAGGCTAAATGGAGAAAACAAATGAGGGCCTTGAACAGGTCAACAATCACAATATGCCATAAACTAGAGTCTGAGTTACTCAATTTTGTATACCCAATATTAAAAGAAAGATACAACAGAAATACCAGATAATTCTAGAAAATGCAAACTAATTTATAGTGACAAAAGCAGATCAGTAGTCTCCTGAGGAGGTGGGGGGCAGGAAGAAGGCATTACAAAAAGGCATGAGGAAACTCTTGGAGGTAACTGATATGTTCATTATCTTTTTCATTTTTAAATTTTTTAAGAGACAGGGTCTGGCTTGGTAGTCCAGGCTGGAGTGCAATGGCATGACCATAGATTATTGCAACCTCGAACTCCTGGCCTCAAGCAATCCTCCCTCCTGGGCCTCCCAAAGTGCTGGAATTACAAGAGTGAGCTACCATGCCTGGCCTGTTCATTATCTTGCTGGTTTCTCAGTTGCATACTTGTGAAAAGTTACCAAATCATACATTTTAAACAGCATAGTTTATTGAACAGCAATTATACCTCAAAAAAACTGTTAAAATTACATAAAAAACACACCAAAGGCCAGGCGTGGTGGCTCATGCCTGTATCCCAGAACACCAGGAGGCTGTGGTAGGAGGATTGCTTGAGGCCAAGAGTTTGAGACCAGCTTGGGCAACATAGTAAGACCTTGTCTCTACAAAAAAAAGTTTTTAATTAACCAGGCATAGTGGCACACGCCTGTAGTCCCAGCTACTCAGGAAGCCGAGGTGGGAGGATCGCCTGAGTCCAGGAGTTAGAGGTTTCAATGAGCTATGATTGTGCCACTGCACTGGAGCCTGAGTGACAAACAAGAACCTGTCTCAAACAAAACAAACAAGAACCGCCAGATATTAATTTAAATAAATAATATACACCATATGACAAAACCTACAGCATCTACTAATGTACTTCTATTAGATCTAATTAAACAATCTTAATTTAGCAAATAATTAGAGCTTTTTATATAAATTACCTGTGTTTGTCCTCTTTGAAATAATGCTGATCCATGAAGGGTTTTAAACATATCTACCTCACAACTTACATTCCTAAGTGAAGTCAAATCCCGACCATCGCACCTATAGTGATATAGGAAATAAGTACATTAAGTAACGCTGGAAACAGAAAAATCACATGTCTTTATCTCTCCCAGGAAGTTCTCAACCTCAGTTGTGTATCATAATCCCCTGTGGAACTTTAAAAAATAATAGATACTTGAGCACTATCCTGAATATCACTGAATCAGAATGTCTGAAGTTGAACCTATATTCCTGTGTTGTTAAAAAACTCTACAGGTAGGCCGGGCGCGGTGGCTCATGCCTATAATTCCAGCACTTTTGGAGTCCGAGGCAGGCGGATCACGAGGTCAGGAGATCGAGACCATCCTGGCTAACACGGTGAAACCCCGTCTCTACTAAAAATACAAAAAATTAGCTGGGCATGGTGGTGGGCACCTGTAGTCCCAGCTACTCGGGAGGCTGAGGCAGGAGAATGACGTGAACCCGGAAGGCGGAGCTTGCAGTGAGCCGAGATTGCACTCCAGCCTGGGTGACAGAGCGAGACTCTGTCTCAAAAAAAAAAAACAAAAAACAAACAAACAAAAAACTCTACAGGTAATCCTGAAGTGCAGTCAGGGCTGGCAGGCACCGCTTTATACACCAGGCCCAAGACAGATGGTCACATATCATGTACTTTTTCTTCAATAGGTGTCCATTTATATAGCAAATATTATAATTCTTTACTGTTCACTTGAAAAAAAACAAACTTTCTTTGATCAAGTTTCCATTTTCAAGGCAACTTGCAGAGACAGTGCATACTTCAATTTCAACAAAAAAGGGTATGTTTACCTTTTGTATTCATTCAAAACAATACTTCTAAAAACTTCCTTTGCAACAACATTGAAGGATTCTATTATTTCATATGGATCGGCTTCTGGAAATTTTTCTATAGAAAAAAGACAAACCAAAACAAAGATTTTTACTTTTTTAGGAGATAGGATTTCTCTAAAGTTCATAGCATAATATCAACTAACTACGGGAATCAACCAAGGGAGATGACTCTGAACGTTTAGTCCTCAGGCAAACAAAGTAGATAAATTAAATGTTCTCAACCAAATGTGACACATCAAGTACCAAGTACTACAACTGTGTTGTTATTGTGAACTTAGTTTGTTTTCTACCTAAATGACTGAATGACAGTGCTTTGAAATCAGTTCCCTTTTCTTTCTTTCTTTTCTTTTGGAGACAAAGTCTCACTCTGTTGTCCAGGCTGGAGTGCAACGCCGCAATCTTGGCTCACTGCAACCTCTGTCTCCTGGGTTCAAGCAATTCTCCTGCCTTAGCATTCTGAGTAGCTGGGACTACAGGCGTGTACCACCATGCCTGGCTAATTTTTTTGTATTTTAGTGGAGACGGGGTTTTACCATGTGGCCCAGGCTGCTCTTGAACTCCTGAAGTCAGGCAATCTGTCTGCCTTGGCCTCGCAAAGTGCTAGGATTACAGGCGTGAGCCAATGCGCCCGGCCCATCAGTTCCCTTTTCTATTATGTTACCAGAAGAATCCAGTCAGCCTTTATGGAAAAGGTCTGACAGTCTTTTTTTTTTGAGACGGAGTTTTGCTCTTGTTGCCCAGGCTAGAGTGCAATGGCATGATCTCAGCTCACCGCAACCATCGCCTCCTGGGTTCAAGCAATTCTCCTGCCTCAGCCTCCCTAGTAGCTGGGATTATAGGCATGTGCCAACACACCTGGCTAATTTGTGTATCTTTAGTAGAGACGGGGTTTCTCCACGTTGGTCAGGCTGGGCTCGAACTCCTGACCTCAGGTGATCCGCCTGCCTTGGCCTCCCAAAGTGCTGGGATTACAGGCGTGAGCCACTGTGCCCGGCCTAACTGACAGTTTTAAGAGTAGACACCCTCACTCTTTTGCCTTTAATCTAAATCTGCAAATTGGGGAAAAATTTTAAAAATATATTAGAAATCCCTACAAACTGTTTTCTATCTAATATTTGTCAAATGCTTTCATGAGCCAGGCACTTTATTGGTTTTTTAATGCTTTTAACTTTCATAATAACTTATGAACTAAATTTTATGATTCCCATTCTACAGAAGAAAAAACTGAGGCTTAAAGGGGTGAAGTACTGTGTAAGAGATAACCACTGAGTTTAAAAAAAAACATAAATAAAAAATAAAGAGGTGGAGTAAACTGCCTGAGACCACACAGGTAGTAACTGATACAGCTGTGACCTGAATAAAGATCTGTCAGCCTCAAAGGCTTATGGTTTTATTTTATTTTATTTTTAGCTTAGGGTTTAGATGTTAAGCTATTCTACCCTATCAATTAATTTATGCCAAGTTTTAAGTACTATTCTCTCATGTGTATGGTTTATTAAACATAACTTCAAAGTAACCAAAACACAAGAAATGGTCACAGAAAGATATATTAGATTGTATCTTCTTCAGAAAAGAATAATTTTTAATATTAGACTTTAATATCTTTTCTGCTTAACTGAGTTGTACTTGGAAAGGAAAACAATCAGTACCAAAATGTTTAAAATATCCTATCAACCCAGAGGGTCGTGAAGATATTCTACTATGTATAATACAAACAAAAAGTCACTATTCTTTTAAAATAAGACAATATTCGCTATAAAATTTCTTTCTTACCAAATAGGATGAAATGTAGTGAGAAAGGACTAAACATATTCAATGACAGTTACAATTAATGGCCTTAATATCAATGCTAACAGCACTTTTTTTTTTTTTTTTGAGATGGAGTCTTGCTCTATTGCCCAGGCTGGAGTGCAGTGGCGGTCTCAGCTCACTACAACCTCTGCCTAACAGGTTCAAGTGATTCTCATGCCTCAGCCTCCCAAGTAGCTGGGATTACAGGAGCCTGCCACCATGCCCGCCTAATTTTTGTATTTTTGGTAGAGATGGGGTTTCACCATATTGGCCAGGCTGGTCTTGAACTCCTGATCTCAAGTGATCCACCCACTTTGGCTTCCCAAAGTGCTGGGATTACAGGCATGAGCCACCACGCCTGGCCAGTTTTTTATCTTAAAATAAATATTCATGTGAGAGTATATTTGTCTATTAGAAAAATTAACAAAAACTATGTCATACTTCATTTATATTCAGTTTGTGTGAGGTTGGTATTATTACTATTATTTTTATTTATTTATTTATTTTTTTGAGACAGAGTCTCGCTCCGTTGCCCAAGCTGGAGTGCAGTGGCGCGATCTCGACTCGCTGCAAGCTCCACCTCCTGGGTTCACGCCATTCTCCTGCCTCAGCCTCCTGGGTAGCTGGGACCACAGGTGCCCGCCACCACGCCCGGCTAACTTTTTGTATTTTTAGTAGAGACAGGGTTTCACCGTATTAGCCAGGATGGTCTCGATCTCTTGACCTCGTGATCTGTCTGCCTCGGCCGCCCAAAGTGCTGGGATTACAGGCGTGAGCCACCGCGCCTGGCCAGAGGTTGATATTATACAGTAAGATCCTTTGCTTAATAATTTCTGGAGAGCTAAATTACCTAAGTTCTGTATCTTATGATTCCACTAGGTATTAAGAATAGCATCAGTTAACATTTATTGAACACTTACGGTGTGGCAGGCACAGATGTAAATGATTCACTCATTTAATCCCCATAAACCAGGTATTATTAACACTGCAATTTCACAGATCAAGAACTCAAGAATTTTAAAGAATATATTTGGGTTTTCAAATGATAAGATACCAGGTTACATTTCTTGTATGGTAGGAGTTTGATTCAGAAAAGATCAGGAACATTCACATTCAACATTTACTAGGTACCTACTCTGCATCAAATGTAGTGCTAGCTACATTCATAGAAGTTAATTTAGCAGTAACCTTGTGAGCTATCATTATTACAAGTTTATTGAAAATAAAGCTGAGAAGCAATGAGAGTAACATTTATTTGAGATCTTCAACTAAAGTTAAAAAAAAAAAAAGTCTATTATTTCTTTTAATGCTTTTAAAATTAAAAAATACATAGTAATAGCGGTTCTGTGCAAAGGGGACTTTCTCTTTCCCCGAAACAGTTCGGGGAAGCTTTGGAGAAGAGGTGGCATTTGAACCTTGGGTTAGAAGAAGACCACCTGCTATGAGAGAGCATTCTAGGTCTAGGGAACAGCAGCTGTAAAGTTGAAAGTCCTTTGAATTCTTCTTTTCCTACAGATGTGATGCCTTTCCTCTTTGACCTTTAATCCCAAGAAGCAAGAGTCAGGCCATGCCTTATTAAAGCTGCCCTCAGCAAAAAAATAAAATAAAATAAAATAAAATTTACCTTTTAGTTGTTCCTCCGTATCTAATCTTATTTTGTTAACAGCTTCATCTCTGGAAACCTAAAAGAAAGTTGAGGTTCAGTTATTACATATACATGACAACATTTAATATTTCTGTTTTCTAATTATTATACAATGAACACATTGTGAATTACTCTGATTTCTTTAATATTCTTTAAAATATTGGAATTGGTTCTTGATTTATGACAAATACTACATGTTAATTCATTCAAATACATTTGTACACTCCCCTAAAACTTATATTAAAAAGAAAAGAACTTTGGGTGGCCAAGGTGGGCAGATCACTTGAGGCCAGGAGTTTGAGACCAGCCTGGCCAACATGGCCGTCTCTACTAAAAATACAAAAGATAGCTGAGTGTGGTGGCGTGCACCTGTAATCCCAGCTACTTGGGAGGCTGAGGCATGAGAATCGCTGGAAGGCGAAAGTTGCAGTGAGCTGAGATCATGCCACTGCACACCAGCCTGGGCGACAGAGAGAGACTCTGTCTCAAAAACAAAACAAAACAAAAGAATGGAGAAACAATTAGGCTTTTGTTAGTTTTTCATTTAGAGATTTTTAATAAAAATAGGACTAGCATTCATAAAGAAAATTACATGAGTTATGACAAAAATGTATTCCTAGGGCAATTATGGAAGACAAAACTCAGGTATACCTACTTTGTCATGCTCGTAATCTGTAAAAACTGCATAGAGTCTCTCCATAGCAAGTCTATTTAAGCAGAAAATAAATGTTAGCATAATAATATCTGGAAACAAGAGGCAGTTTCTATTATAAACAAAACTGAAATATTTAATAATAATCAGCTAAAACTTTAATAAATACTTCAGAAAGAATTGAAAATTTATATTGCTATTTATCATTGCTAATCTGTTTACTATTTATGGTATAGAACACAAATTTCTTTCTCCCACCCTCCCAGGGGAAACCACATGTAGTATCCTGTTCTTTTCTTCTTAATTGTTCAATTAATTTCACCTTTCATATATTCTTTTTAACCTCTTCCTTTCTTCATTCTACCCATTTTGGCTCCATTATCACATGAAACTCTTTTGCTAGAAAGAGTTAATTTAATTTCCAACTCATGGCTGTGCAACTGACATTAAGGGAAAGTATTAACCTTTTCAATTTTTTCAAATAAAATAATTTTCCAGTGATTCATTTACATTTACTGAGTGTCTGCCTAACGTTCTAAGCACTGGGCATGTAACAGTGATTACCTCTGATTTCTTTTTGAGAATTCCAACAGTTTCCTTAGATATTCAAATATCTTAACGTTTTATTCTTTTTCCTAGACGTGGAGAGATGTGGTGCTTACCTGAATCTTGACCAATAAACACACTCTTTCATTTGAGATTCAAAGTTAGGTCTTACAAGAGTGATGTGGGCTTATCCTTTTTAAGGGAGTAAGCAGATATTTATGGGAATGACTCTTAAAACAGAAAAGTGCTATTTATGAAGTAATGCATGGGCAGTGCTTCCATGGGAAGTTTCTCTCCCACGAGGAAATTAAATCTGATGACAATTTCATATTTTCATTTGCACAGATGTTCTTACTTATGAGTATATTTCACAATCTCTGGCGAAGGGGTAAATAACTTCTGAGGTGTCCTCTTGGTAACACCAGTTTCTTTTACCAACTGCTGAATGCCCTGAATTATTTGTTGGGTATATTTCACTCCCACTTTGATAGCATGGCAAAAGTCCTGCTGTAAAATGTTCTCTGCAGAGGCTTCCAACATGACTATTTAAAGGAAAAAGAAAAAAAAAATGACTGCCATCGAAGCTCTTAGTAATATAACATTTTCAAATACCATGACATGACATAAATATTATGGATCAATTTTACTTCTTAGTGATAGATCCACCTTGATTTCTTTCCTCAGAATCAACATACTTCCAAAATGTAAGCAGCGGTAAATGAATAAAGACACCTTGATATCTGTATTTAGGTTTACATTCTCCTTAAGTTTAAGGAGGGATTTCCCATAAAAAATGAAACAGAAAAAAAAAAGAAATCATGCACATATTTTAAAAATAAGTTTTATTGAGCTATAAGTCACATAAAATAAAAATTAAATCTTTTAAAGTATACAAGTGCATTTGTTTTTAATACTTTTTTTTTTTTTTTGAGACAGAGTCTCACTCTGTTGACCACGCTGGAGTGCAGTGGCGCAATCTCGGCTCACTGCCAGCTCTGCCTCCCAGGTTCACACCATTGTCCTGCCTCAGCCTCCCGAGTAGCTGGGACTACAGGCGCCCGCCACCATGCCCAGCTAATTTTTTGTATTTTTAGTAGACATGGGGTTTCACTGTGTTAGCCAGGATGGTCTCAATCTCCTGACCTTGTGATCTGCCTGCCTCAGCCTCCCAAAGTGCTGGGATTAGACGTGAGCCACTGTGCCTGGCATCTTTTTATATTTTTAAAAGGCCATATGTATGTCCTTTTCTGTGAACTGTTTATATTATTTGCCAAAGTGACTTTAGGTGATCTGCCTGCCTTGGCCTTCCAAAGTGCTGGGGATTACAGGCGTGAGCCACTACATCCAGCTAATTTTTGTAGTTTTAGTAGGGACGGGGTTTTGCCATGTTGCCCAGGCTGCTCTCGAACTCCTGACCTCAGGTGATTAACCCGCCTCAGCCTCCTAAAGTGCTGGGATTACAGGCGTGAGCCACCGCTCCTGGCAATACATATTTTAAATAAAATGTAAAAATATGTAACACAATAGGAATCTAATAAATATTTCCTGTTTAACAATTAATTCTCACATTGTCTAATTCTTGCACAGATGGGGAAATCTCTGCAGTGATCCTGTTTCAAGTAAGCCAACTAAAGGACTGAATAATAGAATTTTTTCTATTGCATTAGAAATAGCTAAAGGAAGTTTTCTAAACAGAAATGAAAAAATAAGAGAAGACATCGTGGACTGTTAGAAAGGAAAGAAAATCAGTATGCAAACTAAGAATAAATATAGAGGCTGAGCGTGGTGGCTCACACCTGTAATCCCAGCACTTTGGGAGGCTAAAGTGGGCAGATCACCTGAAGTCAGAGTTCAAGACCAGCCTGGGCAACATAGCGAGGTCCTGTCTCTATAAAAAATGAAAGAATTAGCCAGGCATAGTGGCGTGCACCTGTAGTCCCAGCTACTCAGGAGGCTGAGGCATGAGAATCACTTGAACCCAGGAGGTGGAGGTTGCAGTGAGCTGAGATCACGCCACTGCACTCTAGCCTGGGCGACAGAATGAGGCTCCATCTCAAAAAAATAAATAAATAAATAGAGAAAAAGAGTAAATACAGAGCAATAAGCTTTTCTTTCCCTCTTGAGTTTTCTAAATTATGTTTGACAGTTGAAGCAAAAGCAAAAATTGTAACACTGCCTGATATGGTTCTAACTGTAGAAGAAAATGATAACAATTGCATTCCAAATGGGAGAGGGTAAAGGGAAATAAGGTTTCCATATTTTGCACCAGGCCTGAAGAAATTTCTTCTGATACCATGATACTGAGATGGCTATATTCTTTTTCTCATCTGTATTTCCAAGATATCCTCTCACTTTGACAGGATTAATCCGGAGATTTTTAAAAATTCATTTAATGGGTATAAATTATATCTCAATAAATTGCTTTTAAAAATAAAATATGTGGCCAGGTGTGATGGCTCATGCCTATTGTCCCAGTACTTTGGGAGGCCAAGGTGGGAGGATTATTTGAGGCCAGGAGTCTGGGACCAGGCTGAGCAACACAGCAAGGTCCTGTCCCTAAAAAGATAACAACTAGAAGATAAAAAACTCAGCTGCGGTGGTGTGCCTGTAATCCTAGCTATTCTAGAGGCTGAGGCAGGATGATCACTTGAGGCCAGCAGTTTCAGGCTAGGCTACAGTGAGCCATGATCACGCCACTATACTCATACTCTAGTCTGGACAATAGAGTTGAGGAGAGTTGAGAACCAGATTCAAAAAAAAAAAAAATATGGCTGGGCATGGGGCTCATGCTTGTAATTCCAGTGCTATGGGAGGCCAGGACAGGAGGATTGCTTGAGGCCAGGAGATTAGCCTGGGCAATATAATGAGATGCTATATCTAATAAAAATAATGGTAAAATTTAAAAAATAGAATATGACAAAGAAAAATGGATACCCCCCAAATAAACTTTGTTTTCACTCATTAAACTTTAATGCAATTCCTTTTAAAAAATACTTTCTAAGAAAATTTCTTTAGCCAGGTGTGGTGACATGTGCCTGGATTCCCAGCTACTC
This sequence comes from Homo sapiens, assembly GCF_000001405.40. NCBI lineage: Eukaryota > Metazoa > Chordata > Mammalia > Primates > Hominidae > Homo > Homo sapiens. The sequence continues at coordinate 55,675,591 of NC_000002.12, forward strand.
AGGAGGCTGAGGACATAGGATCGTTTGAACCCCACAGTTTGAGGCTGTAGTGATGTATAATCACACCATTGCATTCCAGCTTGGCAACAGAGTGAGACTGTCTTAAAAAAAGAAAGAAAGAAAGAAAGAACACTCCTTACAGTTGAGTCTACAGAGCTGTGCTGTCCAATATGGTAACTACTAGCCACATATGGCTACTTGCATTTAAATTATTTAAAATTAGACAAAATTAAAATTTTGGTTCCTCAGTTACTCTAGCCACATCTGAAGTGCTAAGTAGCCACATGATCAGATATAAAACATTCCCTTCACTGCAGAGTTCTACTGGACAACACTGCTATCGATGCTAAAAATTTAAACATAAAAGCTTGTCAAAATGATTGCTATAGGCCCAGCGTGGTGGCTCACGCTTGTAATCCCAGCACTTTGGGAAGCTGAGGCAGGTGGATCACCTGAGTTCAGGAGTTTGAGACCAGCCTGGCCAACATGTTGAAACCCCATCTCTACTAAAAATAAAAAATTAGCCAGGTGTGGTGGTGCACGCCTGTAGTCCCAGCTACTTGGGAGGCCGAGTCAAGAGAATCGCTTGAACCTGGAGATGGAGGTTGCAGTGAGCCGAGATTGCGCCACTGCACTCCAGCCTGGGCGACAGAGTAAGACTCCATCTCAACCAAAAAAAAAAAAAAAAAAAAAAGAAGATTGCTATAAACTGTCAACCATTTTAGCAGTTGAAGATGAAGGAGTTTTGAGATTAGCTGAAGCTATAAATTCTAGACCCAAAATATCTTCTAAAAACATGTTACTGGTATACTTTTTCCTGACCGATATCTTCTCACACACAGAAATATTAGTGATATTAAATATACCAGTTGAAAACAAACATCTAAATGGTACGGTTCAGAATGTTGGTGTTGAAGTAACCCAGCAGCTGACAGCATGGAGTAACTATTCTTGCCGTGTAAGATTATACTCTAAAGATCTGGATGACTGCCCGGGAGTGGTGGCCCATGCCTGCAATCCCGGCACTTCGGGAGGCTGAGGCAGGTGGATCACCTGAGGTCAGGAGTTTGAGACCAGCCTGACAAACATGGTGAAACCCTGTCTCTACTAAAAACACAAAAATTAGCCAGGTGTGGTGGTGCACGCCTGTAATCCCAGCTACTCAGGAGGCTGAGTCAAGAGAATCACTTGAACCTGGGAGGCGGAAGTTGCACTGAGCCAAGATCATGCCACTGTACTCCAGCCTCGGCAACAGAGAGAGACCTGGTCTCCAAAAAAAAAAAAAAAGATTTGGATGACTAAATGACTAAATATTTTAATAATGAAATAGTAGCAATTACTTTTTTGTATTTTTGTATCACAGAAGTTCCATGATGGTGGTATTTCACTTGGACCCGATGTTAACTTTAACAGGTAAACAAGGGGTTAAAATGCATATTTGATGCATCTTTATGAAAGCAGAGAGAGCTGGCTGAATAGCTGCATGGAAATAGTGATGCAAAAGTCATAAAATGGAGGCTGGTAATTCCTAAAAACCATCCCCTTACAGGTTGGTTCTGAATCACTCTCAGCCTCCCTCTACCCAAGACTACTCTCTGAAATTTATGCGCTCTAGAGTCTCATTCTTCCCTCCTGTGAGCAACAGGTGAGAAGAGCCAGCTGGAAGTTGGCCTGTGGGGTTTCTGTGGCATGCCACATGTGCAGCAAAGATTCCTTGGTTCTGCTGGGTGCAGTGGCTCACGCCTATAATCCCAGCACTTTTGGTGGCCGAAGCGGGCAGATCACTTGAGGCCAGGAATTAGAGACCAGCCTAGCCAACATGGCAAAACCCCATCTCTACTAAAAATACAAAAATTAGCTGGGCATGGCGGTGCACGCCTATAATCCCAGCTACTTGGGAGACTGAGGCAGGAGAATCACTTGAACCTGGGAGGCGGAGGTTGCAGTGAGCTGAGATCGCACTGCTGCACTCCTCCACCCTGGGCAACAGAGCGAGACTATGTCTCAAAAAAAAAAAAAAAAAAAAAAAAAAGATTATTAGTTCATTCCTCTAATGTCTACTTAACAATTAGAAGGGTTCAAACTCTAAGGTAGATAGTGGCTATATGACCAATTAGCAGCAGGTTTACTTCTGTGTCTTTTTTGTTTGTTTGCTTGTTTGTTTTTTGAGACAGAGTCTCGCTCTGTTGCCCAGGCTGGAGTGCAGTGGTGTGATCTCGGCTCACTGCAAGCTCTGCCTCCCGGGTTCACGCCATTCTCCTGCCTCAGCCTCCCAGTAGCTGGGACTACAGGCGCCCGCCAACACGCCCGGCTAATTTTTTTTTGTATTTTTAGTAGAGACAGGGTTTCACTGTGTTAGCCAGGATGGTCTCGATCTCCTGACCTCGTGATCTGCCTGCCTCGGCCTCCCAAAGTGCTGGGATTACAGGCGTGAGCCACTATGCCCGGCCATTTCTGTGTCTTAATGATAATAGCAGGTATTAACTGTATGCTTATTAGGTAACATGCTGGGCACTTTGCAAATCTTGACTCTTATCTTCATAACTACCCTGTAAAGTAATGAGACTAGTTTACTAACAGCGAATAAACAAACGCTGTAACTTTCAGCAAAAATTCCAATGCAGATGAACAGGAAACCAATACTTTGCTCAAGGCTCCGAGATGCTCAAACATGAGGTAGACATCATCTATTATTCATGGCTTCCCCATTCTTTGGAATATCCTCTCTACATTTTGATAGTTACTCACAGTACGAATCCCACCTTCTGCAGGCAGAATACAAAAATCATTTCCTTGCCTCACTTGCAGTCGAGGCTATAGTCATGTGCCACAGTTCTGCTCAATGAGGTGTAAATAGAAACTACTGTGTGGGGATTTCTGGGAAAGGTGCTTAAAACGCAGGTTGACTTACTCAACTGCCACACACCTTTTTGCTGTTCCCTTCTTTTTTCTTCCTCCTGCCTGTAAGTCAGATAAGTTGGCCAGAGCTCTTCATGCCAGTTCATAAGCATGAAGACGAGGCCACATCTTGAGGATAGCAGAGGAGAAAGCTAAAAGGAATCTAGATTTCTTAAGATGTCATGTAACCACTATCACTGTCCTAGATTTACCACCTCTGAATTTCTTTTACCTGAGAGAAAAATAAAGTTTCCATCTTGTTTAAGTCTTGTTTATTTGGTTCGACAACACAACCCCCAACTAATATGTGGGGATTTTTCTAACTTATAGAACCTAATTTTAACTTCATCACTGGCTAACAAACCAGAAGAAGCTGGAAATGAGATGTTTCACATATTACTTGTACAAAAAAGCAGTAAAAGTTGAATAGTTTGTTTCATCAAAATGTTCCCACATCAGAAGACCCTATGTCAAAAAGTCACACACATCAAACATCACATAGTAGAATAAACCAACAATAAAAGCCCTTAAATAATCTGTCCAAGATCACATGATTATAGTGGCAGAGACAGGTTTCAAATCCAGGTCATTCTGACTGCTAAAGCCCATTTTCCTTCCACAGAACAAGGACCTGATTTTCGTTCATGCAAGTATGACATTTCTGTCACAAGGAGTAAGTGAAAATGGCCCATGGTCAATGCATTTCTTCTATTTTATTACCAGTTTTCCACCTAGTAGAAATGGGTCACTTCTCAAGAGGATACCAAGCAGACTTAGAATGAAATAGCTAAATTATAATGTTTAAACTAATAAAATGGTTACTACCAGACTTAGAACTTCTATTTTTAAAATAAGTTATTTAGACTAATAACTTATTAGTCTAAACATAATTATTGAAATTATTTTTAGACTAAAAATTAGTCATAATTTTAATAATTAAAATTTAGTCTAAAAATAATTACTGAAATGATCTTGGTAAATATTTTTGTATATTCTAAATAAAATTGAATAAAATCCTGTAATTTTAGGAATCATTTGATATGAAGCAAGAGCACAAAAATAGGACAGAGATAAAACATGACAAAAATTTTTATGGCTACCGACAAAACATACACACAGAGTTTAAATTCAGTTTAAGAAGCCAGAACTTGTAAGTAAAATCCAGAACAAATGTGGTATTTAAAACAACTTACCAATCTGACTTTTAGGTGCTCCAGCAACCACTAAATTTAAAGTACTAGAAGACATTTCTTTTCTTGTTGGGTTAACAACATATTCTCCATCAATTATTCCTATTCGTACTGCCCCTAAAATGTATTAGAATATTGGCAACTGTTTAATGGAAATACCCAGTTTTCAAGACATTATTCCAGTCATGGCTTCAACCCCATCTTTGATTGTGACCACAGAATAAAATCCATGTTTCTACACGGTATTTAAGACCCACAGAACATCCTACCCCACCCTACCTTCTGTCCTCACTGGATCACTCTGAATTGCTGAAATATACCACTTCTTCCACACCTCTGGGATTATGCTCATGTTTGTCCCCTGGTCTAGCCAGTCAGTATTCTCTCTAACGCAAATGCTTAACACTAGATCCTACTAAGGTTCAGCTTACACAAATGACTACTCTGAGGAGCCCTCCTTGACAACCTGACCACACAAAATCAAATCTGCTCTTCTCTATCATATTCTTAGCACTTTGACTATGTCTTTATAATAACACTGATCATAAGTAATTATCTGTCTCCTTTATGCAGAGATCAAGAACTGCATCTTTCATTGTTGTATTGCTAGGGCCTGCTCTGCCTAGGACACTTGATAATTATTTACTCACTGAGCCATTTTTATATTGCATGATTATGAACTTATAACAGCCGTAAGTTACATTAATTTCATCCTGAAGGAGTATATACTCTGATAATTTCCCAGTTAAAAAAAAAAAAAAAAAAGAAGTCCTCTAACAGAAAGAGACAATTATGAAGTCAAAATATCTAGGGACATAAAATCTGTAATACCGTAACATATGCTATTAGAAACAGAACCCAAGACAAGGATGAAAATGTCTGAAAGACCTGAAAGGAGACTTAGAACGTCATCTAGTTCAATTCATGAAGAGGTAATAAATCAGAGCCATATGCCATTGCTGTAACATGGTCACTACTACTTACTGAAAAAAAAAATACACATATGATTTCTTACTTTTAAATCCTAACTTACCAACAGGTCCATTCCAAGGAATATCTGATAATGAGAGGGCTACGGAAGCTTAAAAAAGGAGAAAAATCAGGGCCGAAATTAAAATTTCATTGCTTTAAAAAAATTTTTAATCTGATAATTTTAATCTCTACTTTTATACTTACCGCCATTAATTGCTAGGACATCAGGCTCATTTACACCATCTACTGCTAACAGATTACACAGAACCTGGTAAAAGGGAAAAAATTTGATTTGGAAGGGTTATCATTTAGGTTAACATCCTGACCTAAAATACAAGAGCACTATATGGCTAAAAGCAGGGGCTTTGTAGCCAAACCTCTTAATTTTGGCTGTCATTAAACGAAATGCTTGACATTGGATAAATTACTTAAATTAAACCTCAAAAGCTTCCTCATCTTTAAAAGGGAAAAACAGGCCAGGCGTGGTGGCTCACGCCTGTAATCTCAGCACTTTGGGAGGCTGAGGAGGGCGGATCACCTGAGGTCAAGAGTTTGAGACTAGTCTGACCAACATGGTGAAACTCTGTCGCTACTAAAAAGACAAAAATTAGCCGGGTGTAGTGGCCGGTGCCTGTAGTCCCAACTAATCAGGAGGCTGAGGCAGAAGAATCTCTTCAACCCAGGAGGCAGAGGTTGCAGTGAGCTGAGATCACGCCATTGCACTCCAGCCTGGGTGCCAGAGTGAGAATCTGTCTCTAAATAAATAAATAAACGGGAAAAATAATGGCCTCTTCCCAAAGGGTTCCTATGAGAATCAGATAAATACGGTAGGTAAAGCACTTATCACAGTCCTCGCATGTTGCAAGTATTCAGTAAATGTTAGCTATTTCTATCATATAAAAATATTTTCTAGGCCAGGCATGGTGGCTCACGCCTGTAATCTCAACATTTTGGGAGGCCGAGGCAGGTGGATCACTTGAGGTCGGGAGTTCAAGACCAGCCTGGCCAACATGGCAAAACCCTGTCTCTACTAAAAATACAAAAATTAGCCGTGCGTGGTAGTGCACGCCTATAATCCCAGCTACTAGGGAGGCTGAGGCAGGAGAATCACTTGAACCCGGAGGCAGAGGTTTCAGTGAGCTGAGATCGCGCCATTGGTCTCCAGCCTGGGCAACAAGAGTGAAACTCCATTTCAAAAAAAAAAAAAAAGGCTGGGCGCGGTGGCTCACGCCTGTAATCCCAGCATGTTGGGAGGCTGAGGCGGGCAGATCACGGGGTCAGGAGATCAAGACCATCCTGCCTAACACGGTGAAACCCCGTCTCTACTAAAAAAATACAAAAAATTAGCCAGGCATGTTGGCAGGTGCCTGTAGTCCCAGCTACTCAGGTGGCTGAGGCAGGATAATGGTGTGAACCTGGGAGGCGGAGCTTGCAGTGAGCCGAGATCGCGCCACTGTACTCCAGCCTGGTCGACAGAGCGAGATTCCATCTCAAAAAACAAACAAACAAACCAATAAAAAATTTCTGTTGGCCAGGTGCAGTGGCTCAGGCCTATACCAGCACTTTGAGAGGCTGAGGCAGCGGATCACTTGAGGTCACGAGTTCAAGACCAGTCTGGCCAACATGGCAAAACCCCATCTCTATTAAAAACAGAAAAAAATTAGCCAGGTGTGGTGGCAGACACCTGTAATCCCAGCTACTCAGGAGGCTGAGGCAGGGAGAATGGTTTGAACCTGGGAGGCAGAGATTGCAGTGAGCCGAGATTGCGCCATTGCACTCCAGCCTGGGTGACAGAGGGAGACTCTGTCTCAAAAAAAAAAAATTTCTGTTTATAAGCATAGATGAAACAAACTTTATACTGCAATAACGTGCCCATGTCATGCACTTAAAAAAGTTCTTTTTATAAGCATAGATTAAACAAACTTTATACTGCAATAATGTGCCTATGTCATGCACTTCAGAAAAAAACTTCAGTGACCGGGTGTGGTGGCTCATGTCTGTAATACCAGCAGTTTGGGAGGCTGAGGCAGGAGGATCGCTTGAGAGCAGGAGTTCAAGACCAGCCTGGCTTACATAGTGAAACCCCCTCTCTACAAAAAACAAAAAAACTTAGCTGGGTATGGTGGTTTGTGCCTGTAGTCCCAGCTACTTAGGAGGCTAAATTGGGAGGATCACTTGGGCTCAGGAGTTTGAGGCTGCAGTGAGGCATAATCATGCCAACTGTACTCCAGCCTGGGCAACAGAGGTCCTGACTCAAAACAAAACAAGACACAAAAAAAACTTCCTGAGGCTAAGGCTGTGATATTCTTGCAAAGGCATATTTGCAAGGTGTATTTATTTATTTCAAATGAATGAAATGGTTACTTAAGTATATGTGTCATTATCCTGAAAGAAAGTATTATTCAGGAAGTATTAAAATATAATAAAGTAGAGGTTCAGAGGATCCAGCAATAAAATTAGGTAATAAAAATTAGTTACGTTAGTTGTCCTATTCCCAGCCTGATTTGGTCTCCACTCACTGTAGTCACGCTGATCTTCTTTTTAAACTCATTAATTTCTTTCCTGCCTCTGGGCTTTCAATGCTTCCCTGACACACCTTGGTTGGCTAACTCCTACTGAAATTCAGGTGTCAACTCAAACAGACACTGAATAAATGTTAGCTTTTTAAAAGCACTATCTTTTGGCCAGGCACAGTGGCTCACGCCTGTAATCCTAGCACTTTGGGAGGCCGAGGGGGGCGGATCACAAGGTCAGGAGTTCAAGACCAGCCTGACCAACATGGTGAAAACTGGTCTCTATTAAAAATACAAAAATTAGTCGGGCATGGTGGTGCGTGCCTGTAATCCCAGCTACTCAGGAGGCTGAGGCAGGAGAATCACTTGAACCTGGGAGATTGAGGTTGCAGTGAGCTGAGATCGTGCCATTGCACTCCAGCCTGGGCGACAAAGTGAGACTCTGTCTCAAAAAAAAAAAAAAAAAAAGTACTATCTTTTTTCAAAAACGTAATGTAAAATATAACAGTATCATAAAAAATTCTTATGTTCTTTATAATGTTTACTCTAGGAAATATTACAGAGATTCATTAAGTAATTTTTGATTGATCTGGCAACTAAAAAACCTAAAGCAGAATCTACCTGTGTATCATAGAAGTAGCCAGCTGGAAAGAGCGGTCTAATTGAACGATCTGCCAAAAGAAAAAAAAACACATTAAACCGTACTGACAGAGTTGCTTTACAGTTCAAAACGTTTGAACTAATATAGATAGCCATTCAATATGTTTTCAAGAAAAATCCCCTTGGACTGATTTACTAAGAGGGACACAGATAAATGTCAGTGCTTCCATTATTACATACCATGCCCTAACAACAAAAAACAAACACAGAAGAAGCACATTAACAATAAAGATTGGGGAGCAATTTTTCATTCTGGTTCCACAGGCAACAGTTACATATATAAGCAGAGCAAAGAGACTTAAGACCAATAGCAGACCAAAAGAAAATGCTTCCTTGCTACTTTGTGTCTGAAGACTGTATATAAATATACATAAAATAGCAATTTCTGGCCGAGCACAGTGGTTCACGCCTGCAATCCCAGCACTTGGGAGGCTGAGGCGGGTGGATCACGAGGTCAGGAGTTCAAGACCAGCCTGACCAAAATGGAGAAACCCCATCTTGACTAAAAATACAAAAATCAGCCAGGCATGGTGGTGGGCACCTGTAATCCCAATCACTTGAACCCGGGAGGTAGAGGTTGCAGTGAGCCGAGATCGTGCCACTGCACTCCAGCCTGGGTGACAGAGCAAGACTCTGTCTCAAAAAAAAGCAATTTCTGGGTAGAAGAGCTATAAATTACATATGATCCCACAATATGTAGGGATGTTAAAGATTTGAAAGATTATGGACATATTTCAGTAGCTGATGAACATAATGTTTAGGAATTACTATTCTGAACATGAAAAAATGTACTAGGAATAGATTCAACAAAGTAGAGGCATGGGCCAAAAAATTCATATGCTCAATAGAGATTTACTCATTTAGTCAACAAATATTTATTGAATGCCTATTCTGTGCTAAGCAGTATAACAGGTACTAGGGATTCAACCCTGAAGAAATAAAAGTTTTTTCTTTCACAGTGCCCACATTTGAGTGAGGGAAGAGAAGGAGTGAATAATCTTAGGTGGTGTTAATGCTATGAAGGAAAACTTAAGACTTATTGTAGAACACAGATGCAAGAGAAGAGATGCTAACATAGGCATACCAGAGAAGATGAACGCCTCTATGTTAATATCTTACCTATTATTCGACTTGTTAGAATTTCTTTATCAGAAGTACCAATCTCTCTTCTCAGATAGTTTGTGGGAATTCTACCTGCTGCAGCAGCTTTTTGTCTGTAGTCAACCTGAAGCAGCAATAAAAAAAAGTTCATATAATTCTTTTTGCAGAAACAAACTATACTGTATGAATGCTAATTCTCCTGAGGTTGCTAACAACACAGTCTAGACTCAGAGTAGAAAATGTTATTTACTTAGCATTTTGTATCTTTTGGGGAGAGGAAAGTTGATAGAAATGTTTCTGCAAAGTGATTTTAAAAAACGTTCAGGTGCAGTGGCTCACGCCTGTAATCCCAGCACTTTGGGAGGCCAAAGCAGGAGGACCACTTGAGGCCAGGGTTTTAGAACTGCCTGGGTAACACAGAAAGACCTTGTCTCTACCCCCAACAAAAAAAAAATTAGTTGGGCACAATGGCCTGTGCCCATAGTCCTAGCTACTCAGAAGGCTGAGGTGGGAGGATTGCTTAAGCCCAGGAGTTTGAGGCTGCAGTGAACTATGATCACACCACTGAACAACTCTAGCCTGGGTGACAGAGCAAGACCCTGTCTCTTAAAAAAAAAAAAGTCTTCTACTCAACAGTAAAAGTGGAAGAAGACTCACTATTTGCCACAGATGCTCATTCTGATCAAGTCAAACATTGCTTTTTTTTGGTATCAACTCTGTTAAATATAATTGTACACCCCTTTTCATAATAGAAGGGAGCTATAAAATTCTCATGAGCTCATTACTAAATATACACAGTTGTCTCTTGGTATCCCTGGGGGATTGGTTCTAGGACCTCTTGCAGATATCAAAATCCATGGATGCTCAAATCCTTGATGTAAAACACCATAGTATTTGTTTATAACTTACGTATATCCTCTCATATACTTTAAATCATCTCTAGATTACATATAATCCTTAATACAATGTAAATTCTACATAAATAGTTTTTATACCGTATTGCGTAGGGAATGACAAGAAAAAAAGTCTGTACATATTCAGTACAGATGCAATTTTTCCCCCAATATTTTCGATCCATGGTTGGTTGAATCCATGGATGCAAAACCCAAGGACATGGAGGGCTGACTGTACTTGCAGAGTCATACTGAAGGGAAACTATGAGGGCAATGAATTCATTGCTTATTCAATGTCAAAGTACTCATGCACTTCCAATCTTCTTGTCAACTTACGCACCTGGACGTTCCAAATTCTAAAGTATGCTTAATCCTAGTATTTGTTTATGAAGCAGTTTATACTCTTTTAATGAATCAGTATCAAAAAACTAGGAAAAATTCTTTGTTGTGCAAGTTTGTATTTTCCACTCACTAGACACTGGACAAAAATATTATACATTCTACACTTTACTCAGACCATATTACAGTTCAGATAAATCAGCAAATACTTACCACCAAAGGCATAAACTGGGAAGGGGAAGGTTTTGTTTTACTGACCGCTGTGACCATTACTGCAGTGTCACCTGACTTAAACATAAAGAACAACGCTGGTAAGTTCCTTTGAAATCAGATATTAGCATCTAAGTAGCAACTGAATAAATCCTTACTCCAATTAAACTCAAGAAAAGATATCTAATTCTACGACACGATTATGAAATAAAAAATATTCACAAGTAGTCCAATCTTGATCTCTGAGCTTTTCAAAAGCTATGGAATCAAAATAAGGAAAGATTAACAGGTAATTTAGTCATATTCAATGAATTGAATAGTATTCTCTACTTCTTATGTGGCTATACATAAGGAAAAATTCCCCAATTATTACTATAGAAGAAAATACCAAAATCACTTTCTCTAGAAAAGCACAACAGAATTTATTAACGCATAAAACAGAAGCCCAAGTTTGGAAAGGATGTTAAACGTCACTTAATACGGCTGGGCACGGTCGCTCACACTTGTAATTGCAGCACTTTGCGGGGGCAAGGCAGGTGGATCACGAGGTCAAGAGATTGAGACCAGGCCAGGCGCGGTGGCTCACGTCTGTAATCCCAGCACTTTGGGAGGCTGAGGCAGGCGGATCACGAGGTCAGGAGATCAACACCATCCTGGCTAACACGGTGAAACCTCGACTCTACTAAAAATACAAAAAATTAGCTGGGCGTGGTGGCAGGTGCCTGTGGTCCCAGCTACTAAGGAGGCTGAGGCAGGAGAATGGCGTGAACCTGGGAGGCGGAGGTTGCAGTGAACCGAGATCGCGCCGCTGCACTCCAGCCTGGGCAACAGAGTGAGACTCCATCTCAAAAAAAAAAAAAAAAAAGAGATCGAGACCATCCTGGCCAACATGGTGAAACCCCGTCTCTACTAAAAATACAAAAATTAGCTGGGTGTGGTGGTGCACGCCTGTAGTCCCAGCTACTCGGGAGGCTGAGGCAAAAGAATCGCTTGAACCCAGGAGGCAGAGGTTGCAGTGTGCCAAAATCGCACCACTGCACTCCGGCCTGGAGATGGAGCAAGAGTCCACCTCAAAAAAAAAAATAGGTCACTTAATACATGCAGTGCTCTGGACTCTGGTTGTCTGGAATGATTCTTGCAGTAGAAATTATCTTAGTAGTATCTGAATTAATTTCCAGTACCAAAATTCTAAGTAGTTACACGATGTTGTAGTTACACATTTAGTATGAGTCTCCGTAACCATTTTTAAGATGAATTTTAAAAATCTGGACTTTTTACCTGTACTACAGCAGAGCCATCTGCAAATCTGGCCAGCTTTCCAGAAGATATTTCTAATTTCCTGTTTAAAAATAAAAATGCAATACAAGAAGACTTAGGTCATCTGTACAATTCCTGCTTAGTATAAAATAATAAAAGATTCTAAGGGAAGATTCTAACCCCCAACCCACCCACTCCACCAACAAAAAGGGGCAGAATCCATGATCATTATCAAAAGTAAAAGTGGAATTTAAGAGTGGCTTAAAGAAGAATACGGAAACCAAGGCACAGGATTGATCTGAACAGGAAAGTCTTTTGGAGGTTCAGAAGTTAACTGCTTCCCTAAATGTTAATTCCCATGTACCATCTATTTTTTTTTTGAGGTGGGGGGTGGTCTTTGTGCCTTGTATCTTCTTTTTCTTTTCTTTTTTTTTTTTTGAGACAGGGTCTTGCTCTGTTGCCCAGGCTGGAATGCAGTGGCACAATTACAGCTCACTGCAACCTAGAACACCTAGGCTCAAGCGATCCTCCAACTCAGCTTCCTGAGTAGTTGGGACTACATGTGCACACCACTACACTTGGCTAATTTTAGTTTTTGTATGGATGAGTTCTTACTATATTGTTTAGGCTGGTCTTGAACTCCTGGCCTCAAGCAATTCTCCTGCCTTGGCCTCCCAAAGTGCTGGGATTACAGGTATGAGCCACTGTGCCTGGCTCCATTTACCATCTTAGTACAGTCTCTTATCATCTCTCACCTTGTTGACTACAGTAATGTTTTAACATACAAACAGGATTGTTTCCCTACTTAAAAATCCTTTAGCCAGGCGTGGTGTCTCCCACCTGTAATCCCAGGACTTTGAAAGGCTGAGGCAGGCCTGATCACCCGAGGTCAGGAGTTCAAGACCAGCCTGGCCAACATGGTGAAATCCCATCTCTACAAAAAATATCAAAATTAGCTGGGCATGGTGTTGCGTGTCTATAATCCCAGCTACCAAGGAGGCCGAGGCAAGAGAACTGCTTGAACCCAGGAGGGGGAGGTTACAGTGAGCCGAGATTGTGCCAATGCAGTCCAGCCTGGGTGACAGAGTGAGACTCTGTAACAAAAACAAAACAAAACAAAACAACAACAACAACAACAACAACAAAAAACTTTAGAATTTCTCCCAATGCTTTTAGGACAAAATATAAACTCCTAAATATTGCCTATAAGGACCTTCATGTTCAACAGAAGGGGAAAGAACAATTTTCAATTCAATGAGGAAAGAGTAGCCTTTTGAGGCAATAGTGGACAACTGGATGCAAAAAAGAATGAATCTTCATAAATTAAGTCAAAATGGATCCTAGACCCAAACGTAAGAGCTAAAACAATAAAAGTTTTAGAAACAAAACACAGGAGTAAATCTTCAGAGACTTGGGCCACACAAAGTCTTAAATATGACATCAAAAGCATAAATGACAAAAGAAAAAAATAGGTAAGCTGATTTCATCAAAATTTAAAACTTTAATTAAGAAAGTAAAAGAAACACCATAGATTAAGAGAAAAATATTTGCAAACCATGTATCTGATAAGGGACTTGTGTTAATATCTAGAATATTTAAAGAATGCTTACAATTCAACAATAAAGACAACTGAATTTTAAAACTTGGCAAAGGATTTGAATAGCCATGTCTCCAAAAAAGACATACAAATGGCCAGTAAGTACATAAAAATATGCTCAATATCATTAACTATCAGGGAAATACAAATCCAAATCACAGTGAATACCACTTGACAGCTGTTATGAATGTTCCTTGTAGCATTATTCATAATAGTTCCCAAATGGAAACAACCCAAATGTCCATCAACTGATGAATGGATAAGCTAAATGTGGTATAATCCATACAACTGATTATTATTCAGCGATAAAAAGGAACAAAGTACTAATACATGTCACAACATGGATAAACCCTGACAACATTATGTTAAGTGAAAGAAGACAGTCACCAAAGACTATGTTTCCATGTAAGAAATATTCATAATAGGCAAATCCACAGCGATGGAAAGTAGATTAGTGGTTACCTGGGGCTGGGGAGAAACGCTAAGTGACTACTACTAATGAATTTCTTTTTAGGGTGATAGAAGTGTTCTAAAATTGATGGTGGTAATGGCTGCAAAACTTTGAATATACTAATATCCATTGAACTGTACACTTTATTTATCTGTATTTACTTATTTTGAGATAGGGTCTTGCTCTGTTGCCCAGGCTGGAGTGCCGTGGTGCCATCTCAGCTCATCTCAGCCTTGACCTCCCAGGCTCAAGTGATCCTCCCATCTCAGCCTCCCGAGTAGCTCGAAATACAGGTGTGCACCACCATGCTGGGCTAATTTTTAAATTTTTTGTAGAGATGAGGTCTCACTATGTTACCCAGGCTGGTCTCAAACTCCTGGACTCAAGCAATCCTCCTGCCTTGGCCTCTCAAAGTGCTAGGATTACAAATATAAGCCACTGCTCCCAGACGAGTTGTACACTTTAAATTAACTGTATGGTATGTGAATTATATCTTAATAAAGGTGTCTTATATACATGAAATAGGCAGCACTATTAGCCTTATTCCCTAGTTTCAGCAGAGAATGCAAAAAGAGGTTACTGATGTCTTGAAACAGACCAGCAAAACTTGTCAAAGAGCTCAAGATTCATCAAAAGGTGTTTTGAGATGAAACCAAGTCAGTGACCCCTGAAGATACAGAGAAAGAGAAAGATGTTGTGTCACATGAACTCAGTTTCGGCAACATTCTATCATAGTCTGGTGCTGAAAATGCACAAACCAAACACAAGCATGTAGACAGGCCCAATGCCCTACCCCAAGTAAGATTATTCTGTCTTTCACATACCAAGGAGATGAAGGAACAACCCTTAATATTTTCACCTGTTAAATACCTTTGCCAGAAGCCTGAGTTAATGAAAAGCATATTTATCTATTCAGTTAGACTCATTTTGTTAAGTTTGAAAGTCAGAACAAAGTATGTACATTTAATATATGTTAATAAATACAATGATTTTGTAGTATCAAATTCTTGACTCTGAAATATTAGTTTTTTTTTAAAATCAGGGAATATTTGAGAAATTCTAGTTGGGTTTCTATTTATTCAACACAGATGTTATAATGATGAAAGCCTACAATAAAATGGGTCTCCTGTGACTAATGGGAATGAGGTACAGAGAGGCTGATGCTGGATTAGTATGTTGAGTAGATGGAAGGAATGAGATACTCAAAACCAGTCACACTGTGTAGTATCACAGACCTGCAACAACCTATAGCTGAAATCAGTATTAAGTAATGGTTTCATGAGGCAAATGTAAATCTGACATCTTGAAATTTTGTTTAACCCTGAGTAACATGCCACCAGTACTTCTCAAAACTTACCAGGAACTGGCATTCTGTCTACCAATGTAAATTCTGAATACCTAAGTGATCTCTGTGAAGGGGAGTGGAGGATCTTTAACTAGACAGAAGTGGGCCCAAAACACAGGGAAGAAAAACTGTGAAAGCTACAGTTCTACTCTACTAACGGGGCTACTGCCTTAGCATTTTGCCCACTGTGGCATATTCTGTTGAATATCCTCAGTGATTTGATACATAGTAGATGCTCAATAAAAGCTTGCTGAAATGAAAATTAAACACCTGCCTCCAAGGTTACTGTAAGCATTAAATATACTATCTGAAAAACACCTACAATAATTATATAATCTTCCAGAATGCAGTAAAGAATATATATGATAACAAATATAATGTGCCTGGTACATAGTAGTCACTCAATAAATGTTGCCAATGGCAAACAAGACAAAAATGAAAGAATTTATCCAGCAGGTATGATATTTTATTAGTCTAGTTATTTCAACACATGACACGAGTTTAAAAAGAACTACCTACAAAAGAGGAACAGGTTGATTAATAAATGAAAGAGTCAAAGTAGATTATTTATGGAAAATATGGAGGGCAGCAGCTGCATCTTGTTTTCAGTATCTAATGCCTATCTCACAGTATGTGTCTGTTGAATGAAATGTTCTGGGCATTTCTTTGAAGCATGTGTAGTCCTTGAAGAATGGAAGAGATGTCCACTTCCCTCAAAAATCAGAATTAATGAATGCTGGGAGTGGAATAAGCCTTAGAGATAACCTAGTCTAGGGGTGACCAAACTACAGCTTGTGGCCTATTTCTATATTACTCTTCAATTAAAAATGTTTATATATATATATATATATATATATATATATTTTTTTTTTTTTTTTTTTTTTTTGAGACAAAAGTTTCACTCTTATCACCCAGGCTGGAGTGCAATGGCACGATCTCTGCCACTGCAACCTCTGCCTCCTGGGTTCAACCGATTCTCCTGCCTCAGCCTCCCAGGTAAATGGAATTACAGGTGCTTGCCACCACGCCCAGCTAATTTTGTATTTTTAGTAAAGACGGGGTTTCACCATTGTAGCCAGGCTGGTCTCGAACTCCTGACCTCAGGAGATCCACCCACCTCAGCCTCCCAAAGTGCTCGGATTACAGGTGTTAGCCACTGTGCTCGGCCGTTTTTTAAAATATTTCTAAAGGGTTTGTAAACACATACACACAGTGTGTACCCCAAAAAGCCTAATATATATATTATCTGGTCCTTTATAGAAAAGTTTGCAGACCCTTGATGGAATCCACTCTCCACACTTTGCACAAGAAAATGGTGAATTAACCTGTTCAATGTCAACTACTTATCAAAGTTAGAGTGCGAGACCTGGATTCAAAATGATTTTTTTGCTTTTTGTATGAACTGGGGTCCAAATTTTTTCAAAGTACACGTAAAAAATTTAGATATATGAAGTTTGCATTAGCAATTCCATTTATTCTAAGAACGATTAAAGCAAACTTTTTTTTTAAAAAGCGGTCCCCTAAAAAAAAGTATGGGCTTTGTAAGCAAAAAACAGAAATTCAAAAACCACCTAGTCCCATAATACTAACTTTTTTATAGACTCTTAGAAAGTTATCTAACCTTTTTTGAGCCTCTGTAGTCTTAACTATAAAATGAGGGTAATAGTACCTTTACGACAGGTTTAAAAAGATTGCGAGGATCATATAACTGGCGTTCAAAAAACTGACTTTTCCTTTTCCTCCTAACCCAGGGTCATAGTGGTCACACTTTAGGCAATCAATTAGATTGGATGACATGATATCTTGTACTCCTAACTTCAAGTCATCCTTCCGTCTTAGCCTCCCAAAGTGCTGGGATTACAGGTGTGAGCGCCTGACCTTTTGCCATCTCTTTGCATCGATCTTTGCTTTTGTTTCTCTCTGTGTGTCTCCTTGCCTCTCTCCCTGTCACTGTCTCTCTCTCTCCCCTGCCTCCCTCTTGGTCTCTTTTTTTTGCTGTCTCTTTCTGATGACCTTGTTCCCATCTCTGTGCGTGTGTGGCTCTCTCCCTGTCCATCTCTTACCATCTCTGCCTTCCTCTCCCAGGTCTTAAACGAATATTTCCACAATGTCTGTGAACTGGACCTGGTGTTCAACTTCTACAAGGTAGGCTCCTGGTGAAGAGGAGGCTGAAGGAGCCCGAGGAGTGGGACGTGGGGGACCCGTGGTGCACTAGCCACCCGGAGCCTCTGCTGAGGTCTGTGTCCCAGCTCGAGGGGCATCAGAGCCCCAGCTTCCAGGGTCCGGGCCAGCATCCCGGGGGGCCTCGTCTCACCCACGTCAACTCGTTATTCCTAGGTGGAATGTTTCCCACTTAAGAGCCCAGTGGTCCCGGAAAGTAAAGAGATCGGAAGTCAGGTGGACGGACAGAGTCGGATGGAGCAAAGAAGCCCGGCACACACCAACAGAGAGAACGACATAGCGCGGGAAGGAGGGTCCGAGGAGACACATTCCAAACCCGGAAAGGGAAATTTGGAATTTAGGTTTAGGGTAAGGAGAGATTAAATAGAGCTGGGATACCGGGTTTCTACCCTGGGAGATGAATACGCTCAAGCTGGCTGGACAAGACACCTTATGACAATACAGTGAACGCACGTCACTCCTTACCTGTTGCCTAAGTCCACGGCCACAGCTCGAGACCCTGCGCTACTCCATAGTGCTCGCACTTGCAACTGGGTGAGTGCCCGATCCCGCCGTGGCAGAAGGAAAGGACCATCGCTCAGGGGCCGGAGCCGGAGGCACGAGCAGCAGTACCTGCAGGCCGCCATGACACCCGGCACGCGGTCAACGCAGGCTGTGCCCTGATTGGCTCACTCCGCAGACCGTGGGGCGGAGCCTGATGGAGTTTCGTTTCCGCGGTGCCCGAGGGACGCCGGGGTAACGGAAACCTTGGCCACCTTCTACGAAGACTAGAGAGGG
This sequence comes from Homo sapiens, assembly GCF_000001405.40. Lineage (NCBI taxonomy): Eukaryota > Metazoa > Chordata > Mammalia > Primates > Hominidae > Homo > Homo sapiens. Next base: position 55,693,975 of record NC_000002.12, read on the forward strand.
TCAAACCTATCAGAACGCGATTATGTTGCAAACGATCTTTGTCTTTATGTGCCAACGAAAGGCAATTAGATAAATAAGGTTTTTGTGTGTGTACTATCGTAATTTAAAGGAGAAGTCCTAGAATAATGTAAATGTTTAATATGCAGAGTAAATTTATATTTACTTTTAATACTAGAAGTCATAGAACAACACATTATTATTATTTGGATCTGTGAACTAAGAATTAGAATTTGGGTGGTGGGCCTTGGAAAGAGATCTCCTTCTCCCCTTCTCCGCCCTGGTTTTTATTTTAAAAATTTCACATAGCAGATATGTTACTACAGCGATTTGTGTTAACCAATTTACAGTAAATTCATTTTTCATCGACTTGTAATTTTAGAAATCTTTATTGTCACTTCTGATTCATTTTCATTTCCATTGCTAATAATTAGCAATTTATATTTCTGTCCCTTTTGGTCGAACTCTTAAATGCAAAATGCCAGCTACTGTTTGAAGTAAATATTTTGTAAAATGAAAAAAAAAAGTTTTTGGGATTTGAAAAATTTTTAGAGAATGGATAAATTTCTTCCACCCCATTAATCCATTCTGTTAGAAATTCTTTATGTTTTTCCTTGAATGAACCAATGGGCATTTTCATATTATGATGTAAATTTTTTGTGTAAGGTGATAACCGCCTTACCCCAAAGAAAACCAAACAACAAAAACCCAACACTCATTCAAACACAGTTTTAAGAATTAAAAACGTTGGCTGGACGCTGTGGCTCACGCCTGTAATCCCAGCACTTTGGGAGGCCGAGGCGGGCGGATCACCTGAGTTCGAGACCAGCCTGACCAACACAGAGAAACCCCGTCTCTACTAAAAATACAAAACTAGCCGGGCATGGTGGCTTATGCCTGTAATCCCAGCTACTCGGGAGGCTGAGGCAGGGGAATCGCTTGAACCCGGGAGGCGGAGGTTGCAGTGAGCCGAGATCGCGTCATTGCAACAAGAGTGAAACTCGGTCTCAAAAAAAAAAAAAAAAAAAAAAAAAAAAAAAGTCCGGGCGCAGTGGCTCATGCCTGTAATCCCAGCACGCTGGGAGGCAGAGGCGGGTGGATCACGAGGTCAAGAGACCCAGGGCATCCTGGCCAACATGCTGAAACCGCGTCTCTACTAAAAATACAAAAATTAGCTCGGTGTGGTGGCGCGTGCCTGTAATCCCAGCTACTCCAGAGGCTGAGGCATGAGAATCGCTTGAATCCAGGAGGCGGAGGTTGCAGTGAGCCGAGATCGCGCCACTGCACTCCAGACCGAGACTCCATCTAAAAAAAAAAAAAAAAAAAAAAAAAATTAAAAATGTTGATCCGTGATGATTTAAAAAAGAAAAAAGAATGATGAGCTCTAAACAGACAAATGATTTGCTGGCAAAGCAGTTTTCTGACACCTTGCTTTCATGAGCTATTATTACTGATTTGGGATTTCCATTCCAATAGAGGGATTACCATTAACTTTGTTTACAGATTTTTAGTGTTAAAGCAGTTTTTGCGTCTCCTCCCTTTTACTTTACCTTGAGTTGCCACAGAGTTTTCCAGACCAATCTATTGAAATCTCTCATGAAGATAAATCTCTCAGAAAACCTACTTGCCACAATTGAACATGACTTTTGATTTATAGAGTAAGAATACAAAATCATCTTTTTGTTAATATACTTAATTACTATGTAATCATTTTCATTTGGGCAGTATTGCCTAATAGTTTAGAGCATAGACTTGGAGTTAGTCCCAGCTGGTTCCAATCTTGTCTCTGTTAATTACCAGTTGTGTGACTCTAGCTCTCTGAGCCTCAGTTTCCCCATAAAAACAGATAGTAATATGAATCTAATAGGGTTTTTGTAAGGATTAAAAGTGTCGGCCGGGCGCGGTGGCTCACGCCTGTAATCCTAGCACTTTGGGAGGCCGAGGCGGGTGGATCATGAGGTCAGGAGATTGAGACCATCCTGGCTAACAAGGTGAAACCCCGTCTCTACTAAAAATACAAAAAATTAGCCGGGCGCGGTAGCGGGCGCCTGTAGTCCCAGCTACTCGGGAGGCTGAGGCAGGAGAATGGCGTGAACCCGGGAAGCGGAGCTTGCAGTGAGCCGAGATTGCGCCACTGCAGTCCGCAGTCCGGCCTGGGCGACAGAGCGAGACTCCGTCTCAAAAAAAAAAAAAAAAAAAAAAGTGTCAGATGATATAATAGTACCTAGCACATTGTCAACACTCAATAAATGGTAAATTTAGCTTTCATCCAGCCTTTTCGTTTTTTTCAAGACAGAGTTTTGCTCTTGTTGCCCAGGCTAGAGTGCAGTGGCGTGATCTCAGCTCACTGCAACCTCCGCCTCCGGGGTTCAAGTGATTCCCCTTCCTCAGCCCTCCCAAATAGCTGGGATTACAGGTGCCTGCCACCATGCCTGGCTAATTTTTTGGATTTTTAGTAGAGATGGGGTTTCATCATGTTGGCCAGGTTGGTCTTGAACTCCTGACCTCAGGCAATCCACCCGCCACGGCCTCCCAAAGTGCTGGGATTACAGGCATGAGCCACCGCGCCCAGGCTTATCCAGACTTTTCTTAATTCTTCCTCCAGTTTCCAGGTATTCTGAACATTTTTCTCTTCTTCAGAACTCCTTGAACTCCTTGAATCGGTTAGCTTTTATCCAGCCAGAAGTGATGGAAAGCAGCATTTACCTATTAAGAATCCCCCACCCCCATTTCCTCACACAAATCTGATATAATTCAAATAGTAGTAATTGGATAGTAAACTCAAAAGCAAATGTAGGCACTAAAATCTTGCAGCAGAGCTTTATTATGAAGATATAGATGATACAGAATGCGTTTATATGTTTATATTAAGCATTTTTAGATTAGCGTAGAAAGAAAAATATAATAAGTTTAAATTCTTGTAGTTGTTACTACTGAAGCTATAATCCGTGAGGTTCAGTCTGAGATGTTATTCTGCAAGTAGAGTTATGTCAAGTGTAGTTCAACAGCCAAAATATAATTTAAAAGGGATTTATTTACCTATGACTGCTGAAGGACATTAAAAATGATCCAACTTAAATCCACCAGCAACTTCTCAGATCTCCTTTTCCCTTTTCTTCAAACTCTGATGAACCTGCATCAAAACAGTTAATACCACTGCATGTTCTGAATAAGCAACTACGTTAAGTAAAACACCATTGCATTAAATTATGCTTAACTACTTTTTTTTTTTTTGAGATGGAGTCTTGCTCTGTTGCCCAAGCTGGAGTGCAGTGGCACAATCTTGGCTCACTGCAACCTCCACCTCCTGGGTTCAAGCAATTCTCCTACCTCAGCCTCCCAAGTAGCTGGGACTACAGACGTGCGCCACCGCGCCCAGCTAATTTTTGTACTTTTAATAGAGACAGGGTTTCACCATGTTGGCCAGGCTGATCTCCAACTCCCACCCTCAGGTGATCTGCCTGCCTTGGCCTCACAAAATGCTGGGATTACAGGCGTGAGCCACAGAGCCCGGCCCTTTAACTATATTTTAATTTAGTTTGTAGTTTAGTTTAGACAGGATATACATTTATATTGCTTTTATGACTAAAAGCTGTAACAATATGGAAGTTATATTTTGTTATATAGTAACATTATAATTAAAAGTATCAGCAGTCCCTGAAGTGTTCAGGAAAAAATTCTTCTCTTGAAAGAATGTAGCCTACTCAACTTTAAGAAAGTCTGTGCTACACCGCTACCAGAAGGATCTTCTTTCTCAATCACAAATAGAATTGTGTCTCCATCCTGATTAAATTTTTTCAGTGGCTTCCTAAATCTTTAAGGATAAAATTTAAACTGCTTTGTATAGACTATAAGCTTTTCCTTTCCTATTGGCCTCATCAACTTTTTCTTACTACCCTGTTTCCTTCCCTTCCTCTTTTCACTTTATACTCCAAGTAAACTGAACTGCTTGTTCCCTTGCAATACTTCTCCTGCATCTGTGGCTTTGCAGGTATGATTCTCTGTGCTTGGCACACACTCCTCACATGCATCAATCAAACAAACTCAGTCTTCAGTACTATCCTCTTTACTTCCCTAGGCAGACTTATGGATACAATCTATGTCTGTCCTTCCACTTTATTAATGTATTTATGTAGTTATTAATTCATCTGTGCAAGTGAATGTGGGAATAGGTATTGCATAGTGGTTAAAAGTGCTGGCTCTGGCATCAGATTGCCTGGGTTTGCATCTTACCTCTTTCCCCTCCTAAACAAGTGACTCTTGATAAGATACTTACCCTTTCTATGCCTCAGTTTCCTCTTTTATAAATGGGAATGATAGTAAATACCTACCTCCCAGGGTTGTTATGCAGACTTAAGGCAGTCTTATTTTTATGAAACTAAGGATAGTCCCTGGCACATGGAAAGCATGATAAGGTGCTCTAATATTTATTGAATACTTACATTATGCCAGGGTCTGTGCTAGGCTTGAGACCATAGAGATGTCAAGAGAGCCATAGGGCATAATCCTTGCTTTATGGAGCTTGCATTCTAGCGAGAGACTGACAAAAACCCAATCAAACATACAAACAGATAAATTAGAATGTGGTTTATGGAGCTTGCATTCTAACGAGAGACTGACAAAAACACAATCAAACATAAACAGATAAATTGTAATGTGGTTAATACTAAGAAGGAAATAAACTAGGTAAAAAGAGAATAATGGGATGGAGAGAGAACAAACTTCAAAAACAGTGGCCAGGGAATGCATTCCTGAGGAGATATTTTAGCCAATCCCAAGGACGAGAAGAAGACACCTTCTGAAACATGGGGGCCAGGTGGGAGCAGTGACTTGTAGCAGGAGGGGTGCCCTGAGTCAGGAGAGAATTTGGCTTCTCTGAGGATGTGGAAAAGCCAGTGTCACTAGACAGTAGTAAGCAGGAGAGTAGTAAGCAGGTGGGTACGAAGTAGAAGAGGAAGGCAGAGCATAGCACGGGGTTTGGGAAAACAGCGGAAAGTTTAAACAGGGAAGTAGCAGGATCTAGTGTACATTTTAAGATGGTCCCCTCTGGCTGCCAGGTCTAGAATGGATCAGAGGAGGACAAGAGAGAAATGTTGTGATTTGGACTAATGTGGTGGCATGGACTGATGTGGCGGCAGGGGTGACAAGAAGAAAGGATGGGCAGATTGTAATATATTTTAGAGGTGGAATTGATCAGACTTGCTGATGAATTGGATACAGAGAGAGAAGAACTAAGACCATTAATAGGCTCAGATGGGTCAGAAATGCAATGTCTGAGACACCAGAGCATAGCTGTCAGCAGATATTTGGATCTGAGTGCAGGACACAGAGGAGAGGACTAGGCTAATGTAAATATAAAAGTAATCACTGTGGGAGTAGAGATTAGAGAGAGAGTGAGTAGAGAGAAAAGAGAAGAGGGCCTGGTCTGAACCCTGAGGAGGGAGAGGCTGCATGGCTATGAAGTTGGAGCCAGTGTTGTGTTGATGCAGGAGGAGCGTGAGAATGTATTATGCTAGTATTTTCCATTTGCTCCCGTCCATCCGTTCTCTACCTTCCTTGGCTTTGCTCTGTGCCCCAGGGAACTGATCATTATGGATTGCAACACCCCAACTCCCTGGCCCTCTGGCTATTGGTTGGATCAGCCAATGGGAAGTACCAGCAGGAGATACAAGAGGAGAGACACACTAAAAATTAGGAAGCCATAATTCATTATGGCAAGGCAGTGGCTGTATTTCTCTGCCACTGTGGCTCCTACTGGGCAGGCCCTGCTTGCCCGCTTCCAGCTCTCACTCCAATTCTACTGCTTCTCCTCCTTGCTGCCCCGGCATTAACACTTCCCCATGGGTGCTAATGCCTCAGTGCTGCAGCACTCTTCTTAGTCCTGGAATCTGCCTGCCACTCTGTAACTAGTACTTTCCTAAAATTCTGTTCAGAATTCACATGAGTATGCAATCTGTTTCCTGCTTCCCTTGCCACCTCAGAGACACCTTGGAGACGCCTCTCCATACTCTCTCCTAGCAGGAAGTCATTGTTAGTTGTCACTAGCAGCTTGTTAGCCTGGAGGTGGGAAGTCAGGGGCTTGTGCTGTCTGTTGTTCTGATTAACCCTCAGTATCAGGCAGGCACTATGTCTCAGGGTCTTGGGTGCTGGTGGCATTCTCTGTGTTCATACCCCCATCCCAGATGTCATTCTGAGCCCAGCATTCTTTCTGTCCCTTCCCCAGGGGTAGAGAGTCTTGTTCTGTTTCTTCCCTGAGCTGCAATCAGTTTCCACAGCTTTTTCTTTCTTTTTCTTTTTTTCCCCTCCCCTCCCCTCCCCTCCCCACTCCCCCTCCCCTCCCCCTCCCCTCAGCCTTCCCCTTCCCATCCCCTCCCCCTCCCCTCCCCTCTCTCCCCTCCCCTGCCCTCACCTTTCTCCTTTCTTTTCCCTCTTCTCTGCCACCCTCCCACCTTCCCTTTCTTCCTTCCTTCTCTCTCTCTTTTGGGGGAGGGGGATCTCACTATGTTGCCCAGGCTGGATTCAAATTCCTGGGCTCAAGGGGTGCTCCCACCTCAGCCTCTGGAGTAGCTGGTACTACAGGCATGCTCCAGTGTGCCTGGCTGCTTTTCACAATGTCTTAGGCTAATGGTGTTTGTTGCCTTCCCACAGCACCTAAGGCTTCTATTCCTTTGGAGAGACAGGGAAGAAGCATCCAGTGAGGGTTCTGCCTTTCCCACAGTGACTGTGTCCCCCTTCCCCAGGCCTACACCATGAGGGACACTCTCAGGATTCTTGCTCTTACCTGAGTCTTTTTTGTAAGGTCCAGTGAGGTCCATGGAGACAAGCTTTTGAGTGATTGCAAATTCCTCTTGTGTCTATGGTCCCCAGGGGTTCTATATTCTCTGGGCAGCTGTCTTAGTCAGCTTGAGCCAGAAGGCCATAGACTGTTTGGCTTAAACAACAGAAATGTATTTATTTGTTTCTCTTTTTGAGACAGAGTCTTGCTCTGTTGCCCAGGCTGGAGTGCGGTGGAGTGATGTCGGCTCACTGCAACCTCTGCCTCCCGGGTTCAAGCGGTTCTCCTGCCTCAGCCTCTTGAGTAAGCTGGGATTATAGGTGCACGCCACCACGCTGGGATAATTTTTGTATTTTAGTAGAGATGGGGTTTTACCATGTTGGTCAGGGTGGTCTTGAACTCTTGACCTTGTGATCCGCACGCCTCGGACTTCCAAAGTGCCGGGATTACAGGCGTGAGCCACCGCGCCTGGCCCAGAAATGTATTTCTTATACTTCTGGAGGCTGGGAAGTCTAAGATCAAGGGGCTGGCCAGTCCAATTCCTGATAGGGGTCCTCTTCTGGCTTGTAGTTGGTCACTTTCTCTGTGTCCTTACAAGGAAAGAGAGAGTAGGGTTATAGGGGAGAGAGAGAGGCAGAGAGGGAGGGGGAAAGAGAGAGCAGGGAAGAAGGAGAGAGAGGGAAGGAGGGAGGAAGGAAGGAAGGGGAAGGAAGGGAGAGAGAGAAAACGTGAGCTGAGCAAGTTCCCCGGTCTCTTCTTATAAGGGTATTAATCCCTGTATGAAGATACCCTCACACCTTCATCTAAACCTAATTACCTCCCAAAGGCTCCATCTCCAAACATTATCATATTGGGGAATAGGGCTTCAAAATATGAATTGTGGAGGGACACAATTCAGTGCACAGTAATAGCCCATACTCAGGTTTTAGCAATTAAAGTATTTGGTTGAATTCTTCTTCTTGCCAGTGTTTGGTGGTGACTGCTCCAGGTGGCAAGAGCTCATGCCCCAGCTCTCTTTGCAGGTGCCCGTCTTTCCTAAGATTTCCGGTTAGTAGGTTGTTCTGTCTCTTCAGCTCTCTGATGCGCTCAAGAAGAGTTGTGAATTTTCCGATGGTCTGGCTTTGTTGTTGTTACTGTTGTGATTGTTTTTGTTGCTCTAAGAGTGGGGTGCTCTTTCCAGATTTCTACAGCTTAAGCAGAAGCCACAGGCCTCTCAAAGCTTAAGCAGAAGCACAGGCCTCTCTCTCCTCTCTACTACTCAGGGAGGTGAAGAAAGAGTCTAATTTGTTCATTCCCAAGTTAGTTTTTTTTTTTTTGCTTCCTCCTGCTTCCATAATTCTTATGCCTCTTCCAGGATTGGGACATAGGATAATAGAATAGAGGAAGGAATGAAATAATTCAATTTCTGGAGCCGATGGAATTCTTCTTTGACCAACACTGGATGTTTTTCATTTCTACCATTACTACAGACATCTAAAATCTGGCCATGATATGGGTTATAGGTATGGGTTACATGGGTGACCTCTGCTAGGACTGCCAAACTAATGCCGTTTCCCAGTGTGAGTACTCTCTGGGTGATCTTTTGTGACTCTCCCAGCCTCTGCTCCTGGTAGTCTACTGTACTTGTACAGCTTTTTTTTTTTTTTTTTTTTTTTTTGAGATGGAGTTTTGCTCTTGTTGCCCAGGCTGGAGCGCAGTGATGCGATCTTGGCTCACAGTAACCTCTGCCTCCTGGGTTCAAGCGATTCTCCTGCCTCAGCCTCCCCAGTAGCTGGGATTACAGGTGCATGCCACCACTCCTGGCTAATTTTGTATTTTTAGTAGAGATGGGTTTTCTCCATGTTGGTCAGGCTGGTCTTGGAACTCCTGACCTTAGGTGATCCACCCACCTTGGCCTCCCAAAGTGCTGGGATTACAGGCAGGAGCCACTGCGCCCGGCCCTATTGCACAGCTTCTTACTGCTGAGATCCTCTTGTCTTGGCTCTTAGCTCTCTTAGGTGAAGTACCTTCAAAATGGATTTCTTGGGTTCTTTTGGACCACAAACTCATACATCCTTGTCCCCCAAATAGGTAAAATTATAGCTTGTTTGAACTATTGATCTCTATTCTTGCTCTGCCATTTCTGGTGGCTTCAGGTAGCCTCTGTCTTCCAAATTCTCTGTGGGAAGCAGGCACTAGTGTCCATATTCTTAAATGTTCCTGGTATGGCCACTTTGCAATAGCAGGATAGACCCTCACCCAACATTCTAATTCGATGTCAAGACTGATGATGTCATACACACACATCAAAAGGGTGTGAAAAGGTGTATTCTTTTTTTTTTTTTGAGACGGAGTCTGGCTCTGTCACCCAGGCTGGAGTCCAGTGGCATTATCTCAGCTCACTGCAACCTCTGCCTCTTGGGTTCAAGCAATTCTTCTGCCTCAGCCTCCCGAGTAGCTGGGACTACAGGCGCATGCCACCACGCCTGGCTAATTCTTTGTATTTTATTAGAGACGGGGTTTCACCATGTAGCCCAGGATGGTCTTGAACTCCTGAGCTCAAGCAATCTGCCTGCCTTGGCCTCCCAAAGTGTTAGGATTACAGGCGTGAGCCACTGCGCCCGGCCAGGTGTATTTCTTTCATAATGAGGCTTTTTGGGGAGAGCAGGACAGGCTTCACAAGCTGGTTTAAAGGTGACTTGAGAGAGTAGGAAAAGGAGATTGGCTTGGAGTTTTTCTTCTCGTAATTGGGTGGGGTGGGGTGACGGTCCCTGCTTATGGGTAGGCAGAGGCTTCTGTGGTTAGAATCTCCCATGAGTGCCAAAGGAGGGAGCACCTGAGCTTTCTTATCAGCTTGCCCAGATGTGGGCCACAAGGGGAAGAGAAAGCGGTGAGCGTTAAAAATGATCAGGAATCAAACATCAAAAAATGGATTTAAATTCTATTAAGGCTTAGTCTAGCTCTAGGGGACATATGGCAAGACTTCCTGATAACTCTGTTCCTGGGCCTGGGCTTGGCTTCTAACTCATGATAGCACAGGACTATTGTACAGCTTAATAAATGTCTAGTTGGAGAGGGAGATGCCAATCTTTTCCTCATTCTCTACTGTGGTTCTCTTGGGCTCCCATTGCTTAGTTTGGAGGGTAAGATAGGGAAGAGGGACTCTGACTTCCTCCACAGAGAGGGGAGAAAAATGTCACATCATTTCTAACTAGGCTGGCAACTCTCTACCTCAATGCCTCTCATCAATCTGTGTTCCAAATTTCTACTATTCTGCTTTTTGGCTGGAATGAGTGATAGGAGTTAATAATTATGGACTAGTTCTGCTATCTTAGATTTTATAGAGTGTTGGGGCAATTATTACTCATTGTTTTCAGTTTTAGAGCCTTAACTCAAATTCTGAAACCATGGGAAAAGCGCTCATTCAACATCCGGTTATACACAGAGGAGGAGGAAAATTTCTTTCATTGGGATGGCAGAGAGTGTAAGGCTGAGAACGGATGCAGGTGAATTAGTTTCCTTCCCTCTCTCCCTCCCTTCTTTCCTTTCTTTCTTCCTTCCTTCCTTTCTTTTTTTTTTGACAGAGTGTCATTCTGTTGCGCAGGCTGGAGTGCAGTGACACGATCTCGGCTCACTGCAACCTCCACCTCCTGGATTCAAGCTAGTCTCCTGCCTCAGTCTCTCTAGTAGTTGGGATTACAGGTGTGTGCCACCACACCCAGCTAATTTTTTTTTTTTGTAGTTTTAGTAAAGATGGGGTTTCACCATGTTGGCCAGGCTGTTCTCGAACTCCCGACCTTAGGTGATGCACCTGCCTCTCAAAGTAGTGGGATTACAGGCATGAGCCACTGTGCCCAGCCAGATGCAGGTGCATTAGAAGATTTGCTTAAGGGAGGATGGGAAAAATTTATTTGGCTTCAGTCTCTAGTGAATTTTGAGGCAAGGGGAGCAGCTGAGAGTAAGGGGGGAAAGAAGGTATGTGAAGTTAAGGGAGGAAGTGATTTTGGGGGATGGAAGAGTAAGTCTATTCAAGAAACACAGTTGGATTGCTGGACAGTGGTGCCTTGCTACATGGCCTTTGAAGTTTGTGATCATGAATTTCAAGAGAAACCAGTCTATTCAGTTGGGTGACTTTTTTTTCTAGCAAATTGTACCTGTTTGGTGCAGGCATGGAAAAAGCAAATGGTAGGATTCATCTGGGGTTGGGGTTTTCTAGGTGCTATGAACTAATTGTGTCCCTCCACCCTTCAAATTCATATGCTGAAGCTCAGCCAGCACGGTGGCTCACGCCTGTAATCCCAGCACTTTGGGAGGCTGAGGCAGGAGGATCACTTGAGGCCAGGAGTTTGAGACCAGCCTGGCCAACATGGCGAAACCCTGTCTCTATTAAAAATACAAAAAAGTTAGCTGGCTGAGGTGGCGTATGCCTGTAATCCCAGCTACTCAGGAGGCTGAGGCCAGGAGGTGGAGTTTGCAGTGAGCCAAGATTGAGTGACTGTACTCCAGCCTGGGTGACAGAGCGAAACTTTGTCTAAAAAAAAAAAAAAAAAAAAAATTTGTATGTTGAAGCTCTAACCCCCAATGTTGCTGCGTTTGAAGTAAGGCAGTAATTAAGTTTAATGAAATCTTGAGGGAGGAGCTCTGATAGGATTAGTTTCCTTATAAGAGACGCCGGAGAGCTTTTGGGCTTTCCCTCTCTCCTCATCACGTGAGGACTGTGAAAAGGCAGCCATCTACAAGCCAGGAAGAGAGCCTCTTCCAAGGACAGACTCTGCCAGACCTTGATCTGGGACTGCTAGTTTCCAGAACTGTGAGAAAATACATTTCTGTTGTTTAAGTCACCCAGTTTATGGTATTTTGTTATGGCAGCCCAAGCTGACTATTACACTAGGCAAGGATGACTGAGGGAGAGAGGGGCAAAGGAGTTATGGATGTTTGCAGAAGAGTGATTATAAGGAGGGGACCCCGTCTGAGAAGTGAGGAGCCCCTCCGCCCGGCAGCCGCCCCGTCTGGGAAGTGAGGAGCGTCTCCGCCCGGCAGCCACCCCGTCCGGGAGGGAGGTGGGGGGGTCAGCTCCCCGCCCGGCCAGCCGCCCCGTCCGGGAGGTGAGGGGCGCCTCTGCCCGGCCGCCCCTACTGGGAAGTGAGGGGCCCCTCTGCCCGGCCAGCACCCCGTCTGGGAGGTGTACCCAACAGCTCATTGAGAACGGGCCATGAAGACAATGGCGGTTTTGTGGAATAGAAAAGGGGGAAAAGTGGGGAAAAGATTGAGAAATCAGATGGTTGCCGTGTCTGTGTAGAAAGAGGTAGACATGGGAGACTTTTCATTTTGTTCTGTATTAAGAAAAATTCTTCTGCCTTGCGATCCTGTTGATCTGTGACCTTACCCCCAACCCTGTGCTCTCTGAAACATGTGCTGTGTCCACTCAGGGTTAAATGGATTAAGGGCGGTGCGAGATGTGCTTTGTTAAACAGATGCTTGAAGGCAGCAGGCTCCTTAAGAGTCATCACCACTCCCTAATCTCAAGTACCCAGGGACACAAACACTGCGGAAGGCCACAGGGTCCTCTGCCTAGGAAAACCAGAGACCTTTGTTCACTTGTTTATCTGCTGACCTTCCCCTCCACTATTGTCCTATGACCCTGCCAAATCCCCCTCTGCGAGAAACACCCAAGAATGATCAATAAAAAAAAAATAAAAAAATAATAATAAATAAATAAAAATAAAAATAAAAAATAAAAAAAATAAAAAAAAATAATAAGGAGGGGACCATGAAATCTAGGCTAGACAAGGCGCTGTGGACATGAAACCAAGAGAAAGTTGATGAATAGTGAGAAATGGTGGGACCAATGGATCAAATGTTGAATTATAGCAATGAGGATAAAAAGGTGGTGGTTGTTTTCAAGGTTCATTCGTGTTATAGTATATATCACTACATTCTTCCTTTTTGTGGCTGAATAATATTTCATTGGATGGATATACCATGTTTTCTTTATCCACTTATCAGTTGATGGACATTTGGTTTGTTTGCAGAAATGTGAATTATTGGATTTTTTTTTTCCCAGTTAATTTTTACTGGGCTTCTGACATTTGCAGTTAAAAAAGTTTCACATACTGGTGAGTGTGAATGTCATAACAATGTCAATTGCACAGAGTTTTTATAGGGATTATATATGTAATGGACACTGCTGCACTATCCAGAATACAGACTGTGTACTTGGGAAAATCAAGGAAGAGTACATTCACACATTTAGTTATCCAATTGGTCCAGAGCCCCAGAACTGCTCAGTTTGTTTGTCCCTAGGGAAGATACAGAAAATGTATCTGCTACTGCTCTTTTCATTGTCTGTGAAAAGTAAGCATTTATCTAAAAATTATGCTTTCTTACTTAATTTTTGTGTTTTACTTTTTAATATATATTTTTTAAGAAACAAACACACCTATTCCTCATTGTCATGGGTTCAGTAAGAAAGCTGTGACTAGATAGCACTGCTGGCCCACAGTTTCTGCTCTGAGGAAAGCAGTAACAGAGGTTAGAACATTTCCCTCCTTTGGAATGGTCACCCAGCTCTGCTGGTGCAGGTAGCAGATATCTCTTCTGTATCTTCCCTAAGAACGAACAAACTGCACAGTTCTGGGGTTCTGGGCCAACTGGATAACTAAAAACTCCCACTTTAAGGCAGAAGGTAGCAGCAGGTTAGATATGCCTGGATGATATTTGCTGCTGCAGTCTTTTTGTTTTTAATTGACAATAAGGGATAGTAAAAACCTTTTTCAGCCTGTTTTTGTCTCTTGGTGTACTGAACTTTTCCTTCATTCCAACACAAGACAATCAGAAAGGGTCTGCCTCCAGAAAGGATCACCCCTAATTTTTTCCAGATCTTAAAACAGCAAGGTTCAATGTTTAGACCCTCAGTGTCATGAGTGTTGCTCTGTGTCATGCTACCGCCAATGACCATTTTGGTTATTTGCTACTTCTACCACCACCCATCATTGTCATTATTCCTAGGGAATAGATTTTTCTTGTGCTGACCACACTCCTGATGCTTTCGTACATGCAACTCAGTCACAAACTGCTACAGAGAAAGTTTTACTGGTTTGTGATAAACAGAATCAATTCACAAGTAGTCTTTGGTGTTTACTTGTGTGTTCTTAGATTTTAACTAAATGCAGTGCCCCCCTCCACACCCCATACCACTGGATTGTTGTCTAACTTTTCACATTGGTTAATTGTTCTTAGGATAGTGGGGTCATTGTTCCTTCTCACAAAACAAAACAGTTTCTTTAAAATCAGGATGAATGAGCAGTAATTGAGCATAAAAGCCTGACCTTGCCAACAGTGCATTGCATGCTTAGTCAAATTAGTTTAGACCATTACAGTTTATATTAATTGTGTTTGTCATTTGTAATTAATGTGAATTAAAATTTGGGGAATTTTAGAATTGTTTTGGTCAATTATGCTAGTGGGAATTTCAGAACATATTAACGTGTTCTCTTGCTCCTTAAAATTGTTCTGTGTTTCTGTGTTTTGTTAACAGAATAATTATGTCTTTGACCTGATTTTGGAATAGGCTATCTTTTGTTTTTTATTTTTTATTTTTTTTGAGACGGAGTCTCGCTGTCGCCCAGGCTGGAGTGCAGTGGCGCGATCTCGGCTCACTGCAGGCTCCGCCCCGCTGGGTTCACGCCATTCTCCTGCCTCAGCCTCCCGAGTAGCTGGCACTACAGGCGCCCGCCACCTCGCCCGGCTAATTTTTTGTATTTTTAGTAGAGACGGGGTTTCACCGTGTTAGCTAGGATGGTCTCAATCTCCTGACCTCGTGATCCGCCCGCCTCGGCCTCCCAAAGTGCTGGGATTACAGGCGTGAGCCACCGCGCCCAGCTGGAATAGGCTATCTTTAATGTTAGCTCGGGGATAATGTGGAAACCATTCTTCACCCAATTTTCTCTGGTTTCCTTTGACAGTTGGCATAAGTCTGATCGGGAGAGAAGCAATCCATACATTTGAATTTTGGCTCATTGTGTAAGATGATAACATTGAGCCAAATTTAGAATGTCTTAGAGTAACTTGAGACTTTCTACTGAAATATGCTTACTGTGTCTTGGATATGAAACAGGTGGCTCAGCAGACAAGCATGAGCTGTTGTAATAAATGGACTATTATATGCAAAGAACCTTTACATTATCATCGTTAACCCTCATTAAAATCAAAAGCTTTTAGCTTCTCACAGCTTATTTTCTTTTAAAGAGATGATGTTCAAGGTCATGCTGTAGTCTTTGAAATGTTTACATTTAAAATAAAACCTCGAGGGCCGGGCCGGGTGGCTCACGCCTATAATCCCCTCACTTTGGGAGGTTGGGACGGGTGGATCACGAGGTCAGGAGTTCAAGACCAGCCTGGCCAAGATGGTGAAACCCCCGCCTCCACTAAAAATACAAAGATTAGCTGGGCCTGGTGGCAGGTGCCTGTAATCCCAGCTACTTGGGAGGCTGAGGCAGGAGAATCGCTTGAACCTGTGGGGCGTAGGTTGCAGTGACCCCAATGCACTCCAGCTGGGTGACAGAGTGAGCCTCCATCTCAATAAATAAATAAATAAATAAATAAAGCCTCTGCTTATTCTTGTGAATCAATCTTATGAGAGAGATGGATTTGAAGTTGAGCAGTAGTATCAACTTTAATTTTTTTTTTTTTTTTTTTCTGAGATGGAGTCTCCCTCTGTTGCTCAGGCTGGAGTGCATTGGTGCAATCTTCGCTCCCTACAACCTCCACCTCCAGGGTTCAAGCAATTCCCCTGCCTCAGCCTCTCCGGGTAGCTGGGACTGCAGGCACGCGCCACCCTCCCAGCTAATTTTTTTTGTATTTTTAGTAGAGATGAAGTTTCACCATGTTGGCCAGGCTGGTCTCCAACTCTTGACCTCAGGTGATCTGCACGCCTCAGCCTCCCAAAGTGCTGAGATTACAGATGTGAGCCACCGTGCCTGGTCAACTTTAATATTTTATTGTCCTTTTCAGTCTCTCATATAGCTTTCAAAAATTATTGAGTTCACAGAAATCCACTCACATTTGCAGTTTCTCTTTCTTTTAGCAATCCTTATCTCTTTTTTTCCTGGTTCTCATACGCATCATTCTCAATATCACTAACCATGCATGGAGCCTATATCATTACGTGAGAAAGCACAGCAATTTCTTTAGTAAATGTGTTCACATTTCATCCCTTTCAATACAGACTCTGATGGACTCTAAGCAAAGAAATGCCAGGGTGAAAAGGGTGTACGAGATTTCTCTTAGGCTTCTGCCTGGTTCTCATTAGGCCTTGTTTAATTTGGTTTTGGCTCTAGCTACATAGCCCAGTTTAATTTACCTCCCCTGCCCCAATATTTTCTTGTGGAAAATTTTAGTTTTAGTTTTTAACTTTTGTAAAATTTGGTTGCTTTTGTTGAAAGATAAACTTAGGCACATTAAAATTTGGAAGAATTTATTTGTGCAGGCAGAGATTCATGAATTGGGCAGCACCAGACCTTAAGCAGTCCAGGACTCCATCAAGGAGGTTTGATGGGAAAACTTTTATAAGGTGTTTGTGGAAGAAAGACAAAGAAAATATTTGATTGGTTAAAGTGGAAAGTTCCTAGTTAGAGGTTAGTTGGTGGTTTCTGATTGATTAAGCTTAAGTTTCATTTTACTGTTGACAATGAGTTAGGTTTTGGTTTACTAGTAGGGGACCCAAGGTGCCGGAGTTGTTTCAGCCTAATGACCTCCTAATTAAATTTTTTAAATACTCTGAATGTTAAGAAAGTATACTTCACTCAAGACTTGAGCTCTAGCTGGGTGTGGTGGCTCATGCCTGTAATCCCAGCACTTTGGGAGGCCGAGGAGGGTGGATCGCCTGAGGTCAGGAGTTTTAGACCAGCCTAACCAACAAGGTGAAACCCTGTCTCTACTAAAAATACAAAAATTAGCCAGGCGTGGTGGCCGGCGCCTGTAATCCCAGCTACTGGGGAGGCTGAGACAGGAGAATTGCTTGAACCCGGGAGGCAGATGTTGCCGTGAGGCGAGATCACACCACTGCACTCCAGCCTGGGTGACAGCGCGAGACTCCGTCTCAAAAAAAAAAAAAAAAAAAGACTTGAGGTCTATACACACTGAAATTGTTATCCCTTTTGATGAAGAGGTAAATTTGGAAATGATGCTTAAAATTTTGGGGTTTGGTTTCAATAATGATTTATTGAATATGTTGAATGTAGGCAGTATGTTGTTTTCACATTTATCATTTAAAAATTAATTTTAACTTTAATTTTAAGTTCTGGGGTACATGTGCAGGATGTGCAGGTTTGTTACACAGGTGAACGTGTGCCATGGTGGCTTGCTGTGCCTATCAATCCATCACCTAGTTATTAAGCCCAGCATGCATTAGCTATTTTTCCTAATGCTCTCCCTTCCCCCACCCCACACCCTGACAGGCCCCAGTGTGTGTTGTTTGCCTCCTTTGTCCATGTGTTCTCATTGTTCAGCTCTCACTTATAAGTGAGAACATGCAGTGTTTGGTTTTCTGTTCCTGGTTAGTTTGCTGAAGATAATGGCTTCCAGCTCCATCCATGTCCCTGCAAAGGACATGATCTTGTTCCTTTTTGTAACTGCATTGTATTCCATGGTGTATATGTACCACATTTTCTTTATCTAGTCGATTATTGATGGGCATTTGGGTTGATTCCGTGTCTCAAGATCTAGAACCAGAAATACCATTTGACTCAGCAATACCATTGCTGGGTATATACCCAAAGGAATATAAATCATTCTATTACAAAGATACATGCACATGTATGTTCATTGCAGCACTCTTCACATTTATCATTTTATTTAATTGTAGAGCATGGCCATGCAGACTTGGCCTAATATAAATTCATGAGCAATGTGCAACTGGGAATTCAAGTGATATATAAGACATTGTTTTCTTTCTTTCTCTCTCTTTCTTCCTTTCTTTCTTTCTCTCTTTCTTTCTTTTTTTTTTTTTTCGCGGAGTTTTGTTCCTGTTGCCCAGGCTGGAGTGCAGTGGTGTGGTCTCGGCTCACTGCAACCGCTATCTCTCAGGTTCAAGCGATTCTCCTGCCTCAGCCTCCCAAGTAGCTGGGATTACAGATGCCCACCACCACACCTGGCTAAATTTTTTGCATTTTTGGTAGAGAAGGGGTTTCACCATGTTGATCAGGCTGGTCTAAAACTCCTGACATCAGGTGATCCACCCGCCTCGGCCTCCGAAGTGCTGGGATTATAGGTGTGAGCCGCCGCGCCTGGCGAGACTCTGTTTTCTCTTGAGAAATTTGCAAGGAGACATATGAGTATAATGAGTCTATATTTTGAGATATAAACTTATTCCTCTCTCCTAATATTTTATGCTATCCTACCATTGTCCCCAACCTAGGAAGTAACTAGGGTACTTTAAGTGCCCCTAGGAGAGATTGTTAAAAAGAAGAAAGAAAATAATAAATACTTTTTGAGTTTCAAAATACATACAGACCATATTTTGAAAGAAATGCTTTGTGAGAAAAGGGGCATAAAGTTCTGCATGCCATA
The DNA here is from genome assembly GCF_000001405.40 of Homo sapiens. Classification (NCBI taxonomy): domain Eukaryota; kingdom Metazoa; phylum Chordata; class Mammalia; order Primates; family Hominidae; genus Homo; species Homo sapiens. Next base: position 55,712,294 of record NC_000002.12, read on the forward strand.
AAAAGTAGATTAAGAAGAATATGGAATGATGTGAGGAGCATTTTTCCAGTATTTTGAAAAGACAGCCTAGAGAGAAGATAAATGCAGGTTGGAGAGGGGTGGTCATAGGGACTTAAAACTTGAGGATCTGTAATAGAGGAGACTTGAGCTGAATGAGTTTTCAGTCCCCCAAAGAGCCATATTCACTTGTGCCTCAGTGATTTTGCTTATGCTGCTTATACGTTTGTATGCGGCTCAGCTGATGTTTCTGTTGGGAGGCCTGCTTTAGCCTACCCGAGTCTACCGAGTTTCTGTAATAAGTAAAGGGTTAACTCAGTAGGCCTGGGTTCCTCAAATTCTGCACATTCCAAAGGTCTTCAGGAAGGGTCCTTGAATGGTTCCTGGGAGGTAACCTCTGAGCCCTTAAAATATCCTTTCTGATAAGACTGTCTTTGTGTACCTGAGACTTTGGTTTACGTGGCTAGTTTATGCTAACAATGTGATTTATGATAAATGCCTGTTTTTGTGTGACTGAGGCCCTGGGCCACACTGTATCAGTTTGACCTCTGGAAGGAGGCTGGAGATAGAGTAAGTAGAGTTGGTCATGCAGGTATCCCACACCTATGTGACTGACCCCAATAAAAACCTCTGAACAAAGGCTTTGTGGGGTTCCCTGGTTGGCAACACTTTGTGCTTGTTATCACGAATTGTTTAACTGGGGGAATTAAGTGCTGTCTGTGAGATTCCTCTGAGAGATGACAACTGGAAGCTTGTTCTTGGTTTCTCATGGAGTCTGCCCTATATACCTTTTTTTTTTTTTTTTTTTTGCTGACTTAAGTCTGCATTCTTTTGCTGTAGTAAACCATAATTGTGAGTGTAATAGCTTTTCTGAATCCTGTGAGTCCTTTCAGTGAATCATCAAACCTGAAGGTGATCTTGACACTTTTTGATAATTTTTTTCTGTAACAATTATCACACTGTTCATTCATTCATTCATTCATTCATCCATCCATCCATTTAACCAATGAACTATTGAAGCCTGCCATGTCCCAGGGATTGTGTTAAGCCTAGAGGTATAGGAGTAAACATAATAGGCACAATTCTTACCATCAGCGAGTTTATAGTCTGGTGGTGAAGGAGAGAAGTAAACAGATAAATACAATTCAGCGTAGTAGCAGCTATGATGGGCATAGTGCAGGGTGCCATAGGGAGCAGAGAGATAAGAGGCCAACACAAACTAGTGAGGAGGGTGTCAGGTCAAGCTTCCTAGAGTAGGTGAAGAGCTGCTTGCTAAGTAGGCAAGTGATAAAGGGGTAGAAAAGAGTGATTAAAGCAGAGGCAACACATATATAAAAACCAGGAAGTGAGAAAAGTGAAGTGATTTTATTTTATCTGGAAAGGAATTTTTGTGGTTGTTGTTTTGAGACGGAATCTTGCTCTGTCACCCAGGCTGGAGTGCAGTGGCGCGATCTCACTGCCACCTCAGCCTCCTGGGTTTGAGTGATTCTTGTGCCTCAGCCTCCAGAGTAGCTGGGATTACAGGCACCTGCCACCACGCCTGGCTAATTTTTGTATTTTTAGTAGAGATGGGGTTTCACCATGTTGGCCAGGCTGGTCTCAAACTCCTGACCTCAGGTAATCCACCTGCCTCATCTTCCCAAAGTGCTGGGATTACAGGCATGAGCCACGGCGCATGGCCTGGAAAGGAATGTTTGAGGGAAAAAGTGGCAAGAGATGAGGCTGGAGAAATATGTAGTGGCCAGAGTCAAGTAAGCCATGGTATGCTTCTCTTAAACGGATGTGAAGAAGTCTAGATTTGGGAGAAAAAAGGTGAGTTCAGGTTTGGTCATGTTGATGTTGTTTAATGGTTTCTTCTTCCCTTCATCTGTAAGTTCCATAAGGTCAGGCAATACTATTTATTAAATATAACTTATTCTGTTGTAAGCCAATAGTATCATTCCTAAGATGCTTATCACTACGAAAAGTATATTATCAAAACCATTGTTTCCGGAGATTAAGGAAATTAGGAGTTGGAGAATTTTTAGAGGGGCAGTATCAAAGTTATTTTTGCTGCAGGGATTTCAATAATAAAGGAATTTTGAATATAAATATCTTTAGTTATTAGATGCTAAAAATAATAAATTATATTAAAACTGACAAAATAAACTTCTTCACTTTCATTACATTCCACTCCCTCCACTTATTCTTTTCTTTAATCTTTGGCCTTGACCTGGCAATTTTACTTGCAGCATACCTCGTAAACATCAAAGGTAAACGTAAGAGCAAACGCATTGCCCAGGTGAATAAATACCTTAGAGTAGCCACTCATTCCAGCAAAGTGGCTTTGTGTCCTATGCTTTTATACATGTAGTCAGCATCAGTTCTGTATCACGATCAAATTATTAAAGTACTGATCACATTATGGCCTAGGGAAATTATGAAAATTAGCACTATTGGAGAAATGGTTGCTATCCATTCCCCCATGATATGAAATGGCATCTTTGTAATACACTCAATTCCTATATATATTTTGTTTGTTTGTTTGTTTTGTTTTGTTTTGTTTTTTGACAGTCTTGTTCTGTCACTCAGGCTGGAGTGCAACGGCATGATCTCAGCTCACTGCAACTTCTGCCTCCCAGGTTGAAGCGATTCTCCTGCCTCAGCCTCCTGAGTAGCTGGGACTACAGGTGTGTGCCACCACACCTGGCTAATTTTTTTGTATTTTTAGTAGAGACAGGGTTTCACCATGTCAGTCACTTTGGTCTCGAACTCCTGGCCTCAAATGATCTGCCTGCCTCGACCTCCCACAGTGCTGGGATTTCAGGTGTGAACCACCGTGCCTGGCCCAGGAAGCTATATTTAAAATAAAACAAAACAAAAAAACTCTTCAGGAGATTCTGATATTTAGCCAGCTTTGTGTATGATGACTATAGATGATGTAAAGATATGTACTATAAGTCAGAATTCCTCTCTAGAAAATCAGTCCTGAAAGTGAGATGGCATGAACACAGCATTTCAGTTTAACCAACATTTATTGAATGTATGAGACACTGGGCTAGGAGATGGAGCTATAAAGATTAGTAAGTCATGGACTTTGCCCTTAACTCTGTTAATGAAAGAAACAAACACACAGCCAGGTAGCTTCAAAAGAAACCATGGTGGTCCGGCATGGTGGCTCATGCCTATAATCCCAGCACTTTGGGAGGCGGAGGTGGGCAGATTACTTGAGGTCAGGAGTTTGAGACCAGCCTGGCCAACATGGTGAAACCCCATCTCTATTAAAAATACAAAAATTAGCTGGGCGTGGGGGTGGGTGCCTATAATCCCAGCTACTTGGAGGCTGAGGCAGGAGACTCGCTTGAGCCCAGGAGGCAGAGGTTGTAGTGAGCCAAGATCACGCCATTGCACTCTAGCCTGGGCGACAGGGCTAGACTGTCTCAAAACAAACAAACAAACAAACATGGCAAGGTGCTATGATAGAAGCCCTGTGCACAGACTTCTGCTTGCTGAAGAATTCCAGGAAAGCTTCCTGAGAAAGATGAATTTTGAACTCAACCAGAATGACATCACCAGGTACAGAAGTGGAGCTGAGGATGCCAGAGGCCACTCCTGGCCCGACTCATTGTATCCTGTGTGACTAGCACTCCTGGGGTAATGCAATGGGGGCAGTTCTGGAAGAGGGGTCTTGAAGGGAAGATCAGCCCAGGCAGAACAGAGGTGGAGAACTGTAAAACAGCAGAGTGTGTTTAGGGAACTGGAATCAGTTTGCTCTTACTGTACTGTAAACTGTAGATGGAAAGTGGTAAGATGCAAAACTAGAGGATGGGTGATTCTGTGCTGTGGATCCGGGACTGCACTCTGTAGGCAGTGGAGAACTATAGGTGGGTTTAAGTAGGAGAGAGATGTAAAGGTCTGAATTTCCAAGATGTCTCCTGTGGTAGTGTGGAGGGTGAACTTGAGGGGGTAAGATCAGAAGACAAGAAAGAGACTAGTTGCTGTAGTTCCATGAGTGATGAGGATGACAAGAACTAGGGCATTGCAAGAGGGCAGAATGGGTGTGAATGTTAGAGATGTTCAGGGCATCCAGAATTTGGTTTATGATTACAGTAAAGGCTGAGGGGAAGGGGGGACTCCAGGATGACTCCCAGGTTTCTGAGAGATTTAGAGTGTGAGAGAAGATGATGTCATTTTTTTTTTTTTTTAGACAGTTTTGCTCTTGTTGCCCAGGCTGGAGTGCAGTGGCATGATTTCGGCTCACTGCCAGCTCCGCCTCCCGGGTTCAAGCGGTTCTCCTGCCTCAGCCTCCCAAGTAGCTGGGATTACAGGCACCCGCCACCACGCCTGGCTAATTTTTGTATTTTTAGTAGAGACAGGATTTCATCATGTTGGCCAGGCTGGTCTCAAACTTCTGACCTCAGGTGATCCACCTGCCTTGGCCTCCCAAAGTGCTGGGATTACAGGCGTGAGCCACCGCACCCGGCCATGATGTCAGTTTTTGGTCATGCCAAGTCTGAGGTACTTGTTAACCACCTTGTTCTGTAATACAAGGTTGAAAGTAATAAATGACACAGAGGAAACAGAAATAGAACTCAGAGGAATAAAATAAAAAAAGACTCAGAAGAGGATAAATAATTTCTGGTTTGCAGAATTAGGAAAGATAGAATCATAGAGAAGGATTGGTCTAGGCCTTGAAGGATTGGTAAGATTTGGATATGGGGATATGATGGGAGGGAATTGTCCAAGTGAAGGCACAGTCACCCTCAGGATATTGTTTGGGAACAACTGAGACTTCCTGTTTGTGTGACTATAGAGTAAGCTAAAGCCAGATGAGGAGGATGTGGCTACCACGGTAAGTCGGAGCCAAGTCCTGAAAGGCACTGGGGTTGTGTCTCTAATGAGCACTGGGCTTCGCATTGGGCTTCGCATTAGGCAATACTTTGAATGGGACTATGCTTTAGGAAAAATAATCTCAGGTATTATATAAGATACATTAGAAGTAGAAAAATTAAAGGCAGAGAGGAGTCAGGACACTACACCAGGATGCCAGAAACAGGAATGGAGAGGAGGGACCAGTGACTAAGAAGAGCGGGAAATTATTGCCTTTGAGAGTGTGGCTCAGGTCAAAGGTTAAAGATGGTTGGATTACAAGGGATTGAGAAGATGGTACTGCCTCTATAGAAATAAAGGCGTCTAATAGAAAAACAGGTTTATACTGAACCCCTAGATCTGGCTCTGAACATTTAGGTACGTGCTGTACTAATTTGAATCCAGAGAGATCCATGTAGTGGGTCAAGACACTTTACAAAGTGCAAAAGTTAGCTTTACGAAATGTCAAGTAAATGGAAACAAGGCCAGTTCTTTCTTTTTCTTTCTTTCTTTTCTTTTCTTTTTTTTTTTTTTTTGAGATGGAGTTTTGCTCTTGTTGCCCAGGCTGGTGTGCAATGGCACGATCTTGGTTCACTGCACCCTCCGCCTTCCAAGTTCAAGTGATTCTCCTGCTTCAGTCTCCTGAGTAGCTGCGATTACAGGTGCCCGCCACCACACTGGCTACCTTTTTGTATTTTAGTAGAGACAGAGTTTCGCTATGTTGGCCAGGCTGGTCTCGAACTCCTGACCTCAGGTGATCCACCCTCTTTGGCCTCCCAAAGTGCTGGAATTACAGGCATGAGCCACCGTGCCCAGCCACAAGACCAGTGATTTCTACAAAAGTCTTATGTGTTTTCAAACGAGACCAGCATAATATTTACAACTTGAGGTAATCTCAAGAGTTCACTAGAATTCTATATTAATAAATTAATAGATTGTTAAAGTGCTTTGGATTCTATAATGTAAGTAAAGATACTTTCTGCCATCATAAATAATTGATTGAGGCAAGCAAGAATCATCAATGGATGCTTAAACTAGTGGGTGAAAATTCGAAGAGTAACAGATATTTACACGATCTAAAATTTAGCTTTCTTCCATTTTTCTTCATATTTGTTTTTAATGCACAAACCATTCGCCAGCTTCAAAGAGTTAAAAGAAAATAATGGAAATCTCATTTATTGTTCAGCATACTGGCAGCCTTTGGACACTAGGAGAATTCATTTCCCACTAGAGGGCGCTCAGGTGTTGCTTAATTCACCTCTTCAGGTTTTTGCGACCTCCTTTGTAACTCAAACTGTAAAATGGAATTTTAAGTTTTATATTTGTGGGTGAACTTAACTAACATTTTAGGATTAATGTAGCAACAACATTTTAAAGCTTTGGGGTTCATATTAAAAATAATTACCCAAATGACAGCAATCAAAACTCCCTCCAAAAATAAAAAATAAAAAATAAACTTCCACCATCCCCCAAATCAATTGTTTTTGTTTTCCAGCAAACATTTCTGGTCCTGGTTCATCGCAGGTTTGAGAGGCACGGTTTCTTCTCCATTATTTACCTACTCTAGAACCACTTTATAGAAGGTGGAGGTGGGGTGGGTTGGCCAGGGTGAGATAAACTCTCAGTTTCAGAATGTGGTGCAAGGCGCTGACACTCTTGTGAGTCCTGCCTTACATTAGACTATGCGAATGGTTCTCAAAGTGGCAGCCCCCCCACCAAGCAACGTCAGCATCACCTGGGAACTTGTTAGAATGCAAATTCTTGGGCCCCACCCCAGACCTATTGAATTAGAACTTCTGAGGGTGGACCTATTGGTCTGTATTTGAACAATTTCTCTGAGTGATTCTGATGAATGCTACCGTTTGAGACCCACTAAGCTAGATACTTGGTTTTTACAGGGCAAACTGCTTTTGGGCAATCAGAGCTCAGGTTTTATCGGTTGGTGCCCTCTCTAAGAATCAGGAACAGACTCCCTCCAGGCTAGGTCTCAGACCCTTAGGCAAATGGCAGTCAGGGTCAAGGTGGTTTTCTACCTGCTTCAAGTTTCTAAAGAGAACTTGTCTTTCACCAGTCTCAGCAGGGGCACCAGTCCATAGACCATTCACATATAGACGGCACCATGAGAGTCAGTTAAGAATTTATGGCCAGGTGCAGTGGTTCACGCCTGTAATCCTTGCACTTTGGGAGGCCGAGGTGGGTGGATCACCTGAGATCTGGAGTTTGAGACCAACCTTGCCAACATGGTGAAACCCCATCTCTACTAAAAATATAAAAGATTAGCCAGGCATGATGGCAAGTGCTTGTAATCCCAGCTACTTGGGAGGCTGAGGCAGGAGAATCGCTTGAACCTATTGGGGTAGGGGGTGGAGGTTGCAGTGAGCCGAGATTGTGCCATTGCACCCTAGCCTGGGATTTTCTTTTAATCCCAGCTCTCCCGCCTAATAGGACTGACTGTGAGCAAGTTACTTAACCTCTCTTTAAATTTCACTTTCTTTCTCATTTGTAAAATATGGGTGATAATAATCATCTAACAGAGTTAGTGTGAGAGAAAGGAATACAATCAGAAGGTAAATTGTGGAAATAAGGCACCATTATCTGTATATTACTGTTCCAGGAAATGCTGTAGTTATAGGGTAGTTCTAGCCACATGATAGGGCTAGATACACATTAGTTCCCTTTCTTGCAAAGCTTTGTACCTTTTGAGTATTCAGGACCCTTTTAAATTGTCAGAGTGGGCTGGGACTGGTGGCTTATGCCTGTAATCCCAGGACATTGGGAGGTCAAGATGGGAGCATTGCTTGGGCCCCGGTTTTCAAGGCTGCAGTGAGCTATGATTGTTGCCACTGTGCTCCAGCCTAAGCAATAAATAAATAAATAAATAAATAAATAAATAAAATGAAATAATAAAAATAAAATAAAAAAATAAAAAATAAAAAATAATCACAGTGAATTATGTTCTTGTACTGTTTACTTCCAGCTTCACACTCCAGCTCCTGGATATCTGGAGTGGTTGGGAGAGGGTTCTATTTTCCCTCCTTTTCTCACACAGGGGTCTTTTGAGCCAGATTTTTTATTCTTTTCCCCTCCAGATCACAAAGCTTATACTTTTATTGCAGAAAATCTGCAATATTCAATAAAGCATAAACAAGGAAATGAACATCACCAGTCCTTCTCCAGAAGAAAGCATCATTAATGTTTTGGAGTATTTCCTGCTAGACTTTCCCCCCTCTGCTTATATAAAATTGCTATCATAACTCACGTTCAATTTTCCTTGCTGCCTCAGGGCTTCTTTAGATGCGATTCTCTTGGCCGGGCACGGCTTTCTCTGGCTTTGGTTGCTCCTTCTTTCCCTACCCTTTCCTCCCATCCCAGCCCACCCGGATGCTTCAGATAAGGTGAGGTCTCCCTGCTAGACGCTTTCAAAGCGTGCTGTGCTCACTCTGGACAGCGTTCCTCATGGTCTGTAATTATACATTTACCTATGTGATGGTGTGAGTTGTCTCTGTCCGTGGCTGAACTGCAAGCTCTGGGAGAGTAGGAGCTGTGTCTGATTTACTCACAACCGGATGCCAAGTGCCAGCACAATGCTGGACACATAGAGTGCCCGCAACAAATCATTTTTGAATGAGTGAATAAGTAAATGAAGAATTTTGTAAGCATTTTTTCCGCACTGGACATGATTTTATTTTATTATTTATTTATTTTGGGCGTGATTTTAACTGGTGGATGTCCGGGGATAGATGAGGTGTTCTCTCAGGATTTCAGATAACTCCATGGATGTCTGAAGCAGCCTGTTATGGCGGAAGGATTCCTGTTCTGGAACTAAAGAAAACCGCGTCCCGCTTTTTGCTTTACCAGTTCCTCTGATCTCGAGCAAGTGACTGAGCGTCATTTTCCTTAGTTACTCTGCTTCTCTCCCAAAGAATCTCACACATTAAATAAAAAAGTGCATGACAAAGCCCTTCTCAACTGCAAAGGTCCATAAAAATATGTAGAGAAGGTTGTTCAAAAGATATTTTGCTTTATAGATAAATGGAGCCACTTGCTAATTAAATTTGCACTGAGGCACTAACTTTGAAACTTAAAATTGATTGTTTCCAAGACAATCTCCCGTTTCAAAGCTTAATAATTAGAAATAATTGTGAGTCTAAATGTCTTTACTAGCCAAAATACATTAACTACTACTTTATTTCTTAAGGGCAGACATTGTAGAGTTTGTTTCCATTTTGTAAAGATTGCAATAAATAATTATGATATGTTGTGACAATAGAAACTTAGATTTATGTTTCTTTCAAATTTCATTGTGCTGAGGTAGTCAAGATATTTTTTGACAGACTAGCCAATGAATGTAAATTACATAGATTATTTTAAGAACAAACCTTAGTTTTAAATTTTTTCTTTTTTTAATAAAGTAAGCTTTTTACTGATGTATAGTGTACATACAAAAGAGTGCTTAAATCATCAGCATTTTGAGGGATGTTCACAAATGAAATAGGCCTAATGTAATCAACAGTAAGATAAAAAAATAGAACATGCCCAGTATTTAGAAGCCCCTCCCCCTATGCCTTTCCAGATATCACCCCAGGAAGAAAACCTTTATTCTGACTTCTGTCGTCAGAGACTCGTTTTTCTGGTTTTAAGCCTTTACAAATGAAGCCATACACTGTGTTGTAACCGTTTATGCTTGGCTTCTTTTACTCAAAGTTATTCATCCATTTTGTTGCCTGTAACAGTAGTGTGTTATTCTTTTTTCTTCTTTTTTACACTGCAGGAATATGTTTATTTTTGAGATCTATTGCGCATCATGATGAATATAGTTAATAATAGAACATTGTACATTTCAAAATTGCTAACAGTGTACATTGCAAATGATCTCACCCCAAGAAATGTTAAATATGTGGGGTGATGTATATGTTAGCTGGGTTGACTCAATTATTTCACAATGCATTCAAAGACCATAATAGCACTTGGTATCACATTACATATATAGAATTATAAATGGTCAACTTTAAAATTTTTCTTATTTATATTTATTTATTTATTAATAAAGACCGGATCTTGCTATGTTACCCAGGCTTGTCTTGAACTCCTGGGATCAAGTGATCCTCCAGTCTTGGCCTCCCAAAATGTTGGGATTACAAGCCTGGGCCACTGAACCCACCCAAACCCTAGTTTTTGAATATACTCTATACCTTATTCAACAAGAAAGGAATATGGTAAAATTTGGAATTTCCAAAATGGAGCTAATATCTTTGTGATATGATTAATATTCATATTTAAAGGTTGGATGAAAGAAAGTTTTCCACCAAGGTCTTGGATGCCAAGAATTAGAATAAGTAACCCCTATAACTAAGTTTTTTTGATTGATTCTGTAGTTTTCCATTGTATCTTAAATAATTTCCTTTCTGTTTTAGGTTATATGATGGTGCTTGAAATGTATATACATTGAGGACATAAAACATCTTGGAGAACAGATAAGAATTGAAAGTATGGTAGAAAGAAAGACCAGTCTCTTACTATCTGTGAAAATTTGTGAGTTCATGGATAAAATGAGGCAGTGTTTGCTGATTTTATCTTTTAATAACTCCAACACACTCTACTGAAAAAGAAACATTTTTCTTTTCTTTCTTTGTAACACCAATTAGTAAACACATAGCATTTTAGAAGAGGAAAATACTTTAAAAGTTCATTGTCCTTGTTTCATAGATAATATCTAACATTTACAAAGAAATTTACAATTGCTTCCAGATAACATGATTTCATAGAATCCTGAGAACTCTATTATTACCCTCAATTTAAAATGAGGAAGTGGAGACTCAGAGGACTTAAATGACTTACCTAAGGTCACAGAGATAAACATAATAATGATGGATAATATTAATTGAGCACTTACTCGATGCCAAGCCTTCCTCATGCATGATCACATTTAATCCGCAGAATATTCTTATTACCTCTTACATAATATGTGACAAGCTAGCATTATAAATCTGTGCTAAGAAACTGGCATAACTGACTTTTTTTCCTGGATGCTCTTCTATAGACACAACCTAAATATTAAATAAAATCAATATGATTTTATGTATTTAGGATAGTATCACATTGTGTATGTATGATGTTGATTGGTTAAGTAAATAGTATTATAGTATTCTCATTTTACAGATGAGATATTATGGACATGGAGAATTAAAGACTCCCATAGTAGTACTGTGCTAGCTGACACTGATGAGCAGAGGCAAGAATCCAGTTCTTTTCACCACACTAGCTTCCTTTTCTCTGAGATGTGTCTCAGAATGTGGAGTGGGCAATTGGTGACTTGGATCCAAAGCTAAGGACAAAGAGGCACCAAGAATCTCACATTCTGAGTATTGCAGGCCAAGTACCTCCTCCAGGTTTAGTAAGAGTCAGGCAAACTGACTGGGCATTCCCCTAATCATCGTCTGAGACTCAACCACTTCTTATGCCCAATCCATCTACACTTTTGACTAGACAGGGAAGACAGGCATGTGATGAGAGTGTCAAGTCTTTGGTGAAAAGTACAGTGGCTCCTGCTTTGAAGCCAAAGACTGGGTGCCCTGAGGACCATCTACAGAGAGTGGGATTAAATGAGAAGAATGACATCTTATTTCTTAGCTCACACCAGCTGATCTGACCTCAGTGCCTGTGAGAGTAAGGGAATGGAGAATTGAGATAATGAAGCAGAGAGAAGTGAGGCAGTGGAGCAGGCTGCACCCATCTGGTGCTATGACAGTGCTGTATGGGTATTCCAGGGGTCAAGAAGCCACCATGGAAGTAGCCGGACTTGATTTGACCTGCCAGTACTCTACTCAAAAGGAGTTGGGGGGAATGCCAGGGGAAGCAACTGAGGGTGTAGTAGAGGAGCTGGGTGGAGGGTGCTCCCACAGCAGGAAACTCTGCCCTGGGGAGACTCCTGCAAGTCCCCAATGTAGCCCATGGAAGAGCCAGTGTTGGGACACCCACCACACAGAGACTAATCGACATCACCAGCCAAGAGAAGACCACAGCTGCAGCACTGAATGAGACACTGTTCCTTTCTATCTCTGCATCTACTACAAGCCACCACCCCCAAAGCCCACAACTCAAGAGGGAATGAAGGTGGAGACTGTACTCCTTTTCCATTTCAGGTCCTGGCCACAAATGCCTGAGCTATCTACAGGAAGGGAGGATTGGACTTCTTCATTTCAAAGCTGTGAGAGAGCTGCGCAGAATGTTGTTAAGCGGTGAGAAAGGGAGGTTCAGTGGAGCATGGTTAAGGTAGTAATTGGGGGAAAAAAGGATACTTTATACTTGCACTCTACTGAATTCAGGTTGTGTAGAATAGACATTACATATGCCTCTCTCTCTGTATATAAATATAATAACCAATATTTATGTATAGCTTTGCATCCTTTTCAAATATGCAGAAAGTCTTATGGGATGATATTATCAGGAACCAAGTAGCATTTTAAAAATTATTGCATATCCAAGTGATGAAATTAAGGAAACATGGGCCAAAAAAAAAAGGTAACCTCCTCTTTTCTTCTGAGTTTTCCTTTTGCCCCAGCAGATGTGTTGGCATCTGACCTGCCGGGATGCTAAGACATCCTGACTGATAGACCATTAGATTCAATCAAACAGTCAGTATTCAATTAGTACCTTCCATGGCAAATACCATAGGAATGAAAGAGTATATAAAAAATGGTCCTGGCCAGGTACAGTGGCGCACACCTGTAATCCTAACACTTAGGGAGGCTGAGGCAGCTGGATCACTTGAGTCTAGGAATTCGAGACCAGCCTGCACAACAGGGTAAAACCCTGTCTGTACAAAATATACAAAAAATTAGCTGGGCTTGGTGGTATATACCTGTAGTCTTGGCTACTCAGGAGGCTGAGGTGGGAGGATTGCTTGAACCCAAGAGGTCGAGGCTGCAGTGAGCCATGATCATCCACTGCACTCCAGCCTGGATGATGGAGTATGATCCTATCTCTCTCTCTCTCTCTCACACACACACACACACACACACACACACACACACACACACAGTTCCCTGCTTTCAAGGTGGTGACACTCTAGATAAACGTACACTCATTAAAGATAGGGCAGCATATGACAAGTGCCACATGAATCAAAGTGACAGCAAAGGTAATGTATGGCTTTAGATTACCTAGAGACCCTCTTGCACTGGTTGCCTGACTGGAAAAGGTGAGGCTCTAATGGTGCCATGAAGGATGGGTGAGAATAAGAGTGCAAGGCTAAAGGGCTGCTACATGAGCAAATGAGCAGAGACCAGCGTAGCTGGGAAGTCACATTTGGGGACACTGAGTCCCCCTCAAAGAAATTCTGTAACAGCATCCTTTGCAAGTCCTGGAAAACCCAACTAAAACTGGCTTGTATTAGGGCATTTATTAGTTCATATAACTAAAGAGAACTAGAGGTAGAGTGTGCAGGAGTGTGTTAATTTGGGTTGTAGCTCTGTTTCTATGTGAGCCTCACTGCCCTCTCTACCTTCAGCCTGTTATTCTTGGTTGTTAGATGGCTCCCTGGGTGTATTGGTTATCTATTGCTGCATAACAAAAAACCCTCAAATTTAGCAGATTAAGCAGTAAACTTTTTTTTTTTGAGACAGAGTTTCACTCTGTCAACCAGGCTGGAGAGCAATGGTGACATCTTAGCTCACTGCAACCTCTGCTTTGTGGTTTCAAGTGATTCTCATGTCTCAGCCTCTCGAGTAGCTGGGATTACAGGCACGCACCACCACGTCCAGCTAATTTTTGTATTTTTAGTAGAGATGGGGTTTTACCATGTTGGCCAGACTGGTCTTGAACTCCTGACCTCAGGTAATCCACCCACCTCGGGCTCCCAGAGTGCTAGGATTACAGGCGTGAGCCACTGTGCCCGGCCAAGCAGTAAACTTTTATTTATTTATTTATTTATTTATTTATTTATTTATTTATTTATTTTTGAGACAGAGTCTCAGTCTGTCGCCCAGGTTGGAGTGCAGTGGCACCATCTCGGCTCACTACAACCTCCATCTCCTGGGTTCAAGCCATTCTCCTGCTTCAGCCTCCTGAGTAGCTAAGATCACAGGCGCCCACCACCACACCCAGCTAATTTTTGTATTTTAGTACAGACAGGGTTTCACCATGTTGATCAGGCTGGTCTCGAACTCCTGACCTCAAATGATCCTCCTGCCTTGGCCTCCCAAGGTGCTGGGATTACAGGCATGAGCCACCGCACCCGGCCAGTAAACTTTTTTTGTTGTTGTTACAGTGTCTCACTCTCTCACCCAGGCTGGAGTGCAGTGGTGTGAACAGGTTCACTGCAGCCTCTAACTCCTGGGCTCAAGTGATCATCCTGCCTCGGCCTCCCAAAGTGCTGGGATTAAGGGTGTGAGCCACCATGCCTGGCCACAGTAAGCATTATCAGGCCTGGCACGGTGGCTCACACCTGTAATTGCAGCACTTTGGGAGGCTGAGGTGGGTGGATCACTTGAGGTCAGGAGTTCAAGACCAGCCTGGGCAACACGGCAAAACCTCATCTCTACAAAAAAATGCAAAAATTAGCCAGGTGTGGTGCCACGTGCCTGAGGTCCCAGTTACTCAGGAGGCAAAGGTGGGAGGATCACCTGAGCCCAGGAGGTTGAGGTTGCAGTGAGCAGAGATTCTGCCACTGCACTCCAGTCTGGGTGACAGAGTGGCAGAGTGAGACCCTGTCTAAAACAACAACAACAACAACCAAATAAAACATTTATTCTCTGGAATAAATGTCAGGAACCTAGGTGCAGCTTAGTAGGTGGCTCTGTCTCAGGGTTTCTCGTGAGGCTGCAATCAAGATATCAATCAGGCTGACCATCTGAAACTTTATGGGGGCTGGAGGATCAGCTTCCAGGCTAACTCACCCTGTTGTAATGGAGACTTCAGTTCCTTGTTATATGGGCCTCTCTATACAGTCTCTCATGACATGGTAGCTAGCCTCTCTCAGAGCAAATGATGAGGGAGAGGGGTGTGTATTATAACACAATCTCAGAAGTGATATACCATCACTTCTTCCCTACTCTATTGATTATGCAGACCAGTCTTGCCAACCCTGATATATTGTGAGGCGGGATTATTCAAAGCTGCAAATATCAGGAGGCTGGAATCATTGGGGCCATCTTGGAGGCTGGCTACTACATCTGTCCTATAGGATTTCTTATTTATATCCAGAATAAAGTTGCTTCTTTTTAGCCATTGAACAAAAGTTCTCAGATTTTCTCTGATTGTGCCATCTTTAAACACAGGGGCTGGGAGAATAACAGCTACTATGTGGCTTAGGTCTAGGTTACTGAGCCAATGTCTGTTTCAAGGGGAATAGGATGATGATGACTGGCTTAGACAAATTAGGATACACCTAGAGCTAGAGCTGCGGTTGTTGCATGGTTCAAACAGCATGGTTGATTCGTAGAAAGGAGTGGATAATATGTTGGGAGGCAACTACAAAGTCCTCAGCATCCATCTATGTGAACATCGTCATGCTTCTCAGGATCCATCTATATTATCCTCCTCCTTACCCAAAGACTGTCACATGGTCACGTGTGTTACAACCCTTCTCTAATGAGGCAATCCAAAGTCTAATTCAAGTTCCAAGTCCAGGCTCTCTGGGTGTTGTTCTTTCTTCTCCATCAGGTCTGGATACAACTCTTCACAGTCTAATGATTTCAAGAGTCCACTTCTTTCTTTTTTTTTTTTTTTTTGAGATGGAGTCTCACTCTGTCACCCAGGCTGGAGTGCAGTGGTGCTATCTTGGCTCACTGCAACCTCCACCTCCTGGGTTCAAGCGATTCTTCTGCCTCAGCCTCCTGAGTAGCTGGGACTACAGGTGCGCAGCACCATGCTCGGCTAATTTTTGTATTTTTAGTAGAGATGGGGTTTCACCAAATTGATCAGCCTGGTCTCGAACTCCTGACCTTGTGATTCGCCCACCTCGGCCTCCCAAAGTGCTGGGATTACAAGCATGAGCCACTGCGCCCGGCCTCCACTTCTAACATAACTAATATGGAATTGTGAATAAAGAACTGGATAATTTCAATAAAACACTCATTAGGAAGAGTGGATGGACGACAATACACAGTTTCCCTGGTCCACAGCACATATTACATCCTGCTGGAAATGAATTTTAAGTTCTCCCTACCCTGGTTGTAAGAGAGAGTCTGGGTAGCAAGAGTAAAGTAGGGTCCCCATCATTAATTGCTGCCAGATTGTGGAGGGCCTTTTGGAATGGTAGCCTGTAGGCAATGGAGGAAGAAAGAAGATCATTCAAGGTTTTTGCATAGAGTAGTGACGTGATTTTGGTTAACTTAATTTTGGAGGCATTATCCAGTATAAATTAATAAATCCCCTTGAAATAATGCCCTGGGGACACAGAAATGTTAACTGATTCCACAGTAAAAGCCCATGTATAATCTAGGTTTGTCTCTTTCCAAATAGAAATTATAAGTTGTTTCCAGGAACCTACGTGGAACAAGCAGGGTGGTTCACATTGTGTCACTTCCTTGGTATTAATTCCAAACTAGAATGAAAAAGCTTTAAGCCTCTTTTGAAAAGATTTGTAATAGAAGTAGACTTGGTAGGTGGAGAGTGACTGGGACTAAGTTTAAATAGAAAAAATGAGAAAAAAATTACTAGAGAAAGCATTTTTGGATAGCTATAATCCTTCACTTACTTATGCATAGTGAAGGAAATAATAAAAAATTGTTTAAATTATTTTACTATTGTAAGTCCTGCATAAGTTAGCTAGCTACAAGGTTGTATGGGCTGCGAAACATTTGTACTTTAAACAGGATCGAGTTGTGGGATAGGTAAAGCTGTGAGCCATTGCACTACCTGCTATTGTGAGGGGCTTTTCGTAGTTTAGGATATGAGGAATAAAGCCTATGAGATTTCTTCTCAGATGGCCTGGAAGAAATCCAAAATAGAAAATGGTAGAAAAACAGAGTATTCCTATTTGAAATTTCAGATATTATGATTTAATTTGCATTTGACTTATTTCTGAAAAACACAGTAGAAACACCCCCATAATAAAGTTATGTTATTCCTCTAGTCTACAGACTTGAGTATGGGTGAGTGAAATGTATAAAAGAAAACATTTTTTGAGGTAGGAATAGATTCATCATTGAGTTCCTCTGCCAAATTCAGAATTAGATAGTGGAAAAATTCTATTTATTTTGAGTTTGTTAATCTGCCAGCAAACTGTTGGGAAAAATAAAGACAAGCCAGATGAGGACTTGGGTTATGGAATGAACCATAGATGACATATGAGTGAACTTTTTAAGAGAATATAGTTGTTCCTACTTTTATTTCCTGTTTGTAGTTTAGAGTGTTTAATAACTTTGATTTGCAGTGTGCATTTCTACTGTACTAAACTGTAGCAGCAAAATGGATAACACAGCATATTGCTGTGTTGAAATTAACCTTAAGTAAGGGTCAGGAAATTGAAAATATCACGTTTCCATAGTAACACTAATTTAGTCAGATCACACATGTTGTTTCTGAGCCATTAGTTTACTCTTATGATATTCTGGATGGGAACACAATATTTACTCTGGAATGTGGTTAAGTTCATGTTACAATGCAAAGCAATTTCATATTTTCTTTATGTCCATTTTAAATCCTTTATTATGGTTGGTTTGATATCTGATTCCTTGTGCTATTTGCAAAATGCAAAAATGTAACAGTTTTTTAAAAAGTTTCTGAAGATAATTAAATAGGAAATCATGAATATATCATATTTATATAACAATTATGGAAAAATTGTAAGAAAGAGGAACTGGATTTTGAAAGTTTGCGTCAGAATTTTTGGGTAATTGTTAGGTAATTTATTTGGTCTTCCAACTGGGTGGCTCTGACTTGATCTGATTTTAGTTTTCATGGTTGTCAAATTCCATATGATATCTAGTAGGGATTTTCCCCATCTTCTTTTGAATTCCAAATTCATGAATACTGCTATAGCTCTGTCTTTGGCTGACATTTCAGGCCCACTTTTCCATAAAGAAGCCTCTCACCCCACAACTTCATAGGAACTATTACCAAGATAATGACCTATAGAAAAGGGCAAATCTGCCTTCCAAGTGGGCCCTTTCTCAGTGCACACACCAAGCACATTCCTATGCCTGCCTGTACACATGAGTCTTGTGTGTGATTCAAATCTGCTTCTTAGTAAAATGACAAAATGCTGCATGTCATATCTTTGAGGCTATTCATGACTATCACATCGATTTTCAGCTGTGCATTTCTGGGATAAATCTCACTTGATCATAGTATATAATTCTTACTATATGTTGCTGGATTTGGTTTGCTAGTATTTTGTTGATGATTTTTATTTCTATTTCCATAAGCAATATTGGTCTGTAGTTTTCTTTTCCTTTTTCCTTTTTTTTTTTTTTTTTGAGATGAAGTGTCACTCTATCCCCCAGGCTGGAGTGCAGTGGCATGATCTTGGCTCACTGCAACCTCTGCATCCTGGGTTCAAGCAATTCTCCTGCCTCAGCCTCCTCAGTAGCTTGGATTAGAGGCACTTGTCCCCATGCCCAGGTAATTTTTGTATTTTTAGTAGAGATGGGGTTTCACCACATTGGCCAGGCTGGTTTCGAACTCTTGACCTCAAATGATCTGACTGCCTTGGTCTCCCAAAGTGCTAGGATTACAGGCGTGAGCCACTGCACCTTGCCAGGTCTATAGTTTTCTTGTAACATTCATGAACATTAGAGTGTACTGTATTACCCAAACTCTCATTCAGTTCACTTAAGAAAAACAAAAGCAATGAAGAAAATCACAATCATGCCTTTTGGTATTGTAAATATGAATACAATTTATTTGGTTGATTGGACAGTTTCTTTCTTTCTTTCTTTCTCTCTCTCTCTCTCTCTCTCTTTCTTCTTTCTTTCTTTCTGACACGGTCTTGCTCTGTCACCCAGGTGGGAGTGTAGTGGCATGATCATGGCTTGTTGCAGCCTCCACCTGTTGGGCTCAAGTGATCCTCCCGCCTCATTTTTTGATTTTTTGTAGAGACGAGGTCTCACTGTGTTGCCCAGGCTGGTCTTGAACTCCTGGGCTCAAGCGATCCTCCTGCTTTGGCCTCCCAAAGTGTTGGGATTATGGGTGTGAACCACTGCTCCTGGCCTGGACAGTTCACTTGCTTGCCAGTCTCAGTGCTAAGTAATATGGAGAGATTAAATTCAATACAAGACATTATTTATTGAATGCCTAATATGCTAGGCTTGTGCTTGGTACTGGGGGTATTGATGAGTATTGAAAGGTAGTAGTTACATAGTGGGTAAGAGTAGTTGGATTTGGGTCCTACCTTTACTACTTCCTAACTGATGGACCACAGACAAATTACTTAAACCTGTTTCCTCATCTGTGAAATGTGGCTACTAATAGCATGTAATATAGGATTGCTGTGAAGTTTAAATTAAGAATACAGGTAAACAGTGCCTGATACTTAGCTATCAGTAGATACAGTTTAGCTTTATTATTATTTGTTTTTCTTGTACCAGAACTTACATACATCATTTCATTTAATTCTCATAACAGCCCTGCTGAGGAGCTTAGTATTAGCTCCATTTTCATAGCTGAGAAACCTTTGCTTCTAGAGGCTAACCAACTTACCTGAGATCACAGATATGGCTACTGGTAGAAGCATAACTCACATCCAGAATATTCTTGACTGCCAAGCTAGTGTTAAAAAACATATAGTCTTTCCCTGGCTTAAAGGAGCACTCACCTAGATTTTCCAGGTAGCCCTGTCCAATTATTAGTTTAGATTCTTTAAGTTTCCAGAGAAGATGTTTTGGTGCCATATTCCAGTGACTTGTTCCCCTAAAGTCAGTTAAAAAAAAAAAGTCTAATACCAATGTCATCTATTGTATTAGAACTCTATTTCTTTTCTTTCTTTTTTTTTTTTTTTTTTTTTTTGAGATGGAGTTTCACTCTTGTTGCCCAGGCTGGAGTGCAATGGTGCGATCTCAGCCCACCGCAACCACCGCCTCCCAGGTTCAAGCAATTATCCTGCCTCAGCATCCCAAGTAGCTGGGATTACAGGCATGCACCACCACGCCCGGCTAATTTTGTATTTTTAGTAGAGACGGGATTTCCCCATGTTGGTCAGGCTGGTCTCGAACTCCCAAGCTCAGGTGATCCACCCACCTCGGCCTCCCAAAGTGCTGGGATTACAGGCGTGAGCCACCACACCTGGCCTAGAGCTCTATTTCTTCCTTAGTATACAGAAGAAATGTATCTGTCTATGTGGCAACCTAAAGTGAAGGTATTCTGGTAGTTTCTCTGACATTTACCTAGAGAATTCATTGTTAAATGCAGGAAAAGCACATACTATATAGAAAGCTTGGTTTTTCTGGATTTCTCTTCAAGGTTAGAAAGCTCAATTAAGGATCTTTTATTATCTTTCTAGACCCTCTCTCTGCCCTTGATTTTGATCCGTGTTTGACCAAGGATTTTTTTCCAGGGTCTCTGACTACCTGTTCATGGGTTTGGTTCCCACCTTGCTATACTTTCTAAGTGCTCCGTTTTCACATCACTTGAAGGGCCTCAGAGGTCCCCTCAAAATAAAGCCTTATAAGCAATATATACTTAGAACTGAAGTTTCTAGGAAAGATGGGTGAATACCTAAAAATGAGAAAACTTTCTGAAAGGAAAAAAATCTTTATTTTAAAGGAAAAAAAATTCCAGTGCATACCAAATATGACACAAAGCTGATACCCACCCAGTGGCCAGATATGTTTTCCTGAGGGATTTCCTTGTGTTTATTCCTCTAGCATTTTTTCATTCCTGACTTTTGGGGTGGCCCTTCTGTGAAGAGTTTCCTCATCCCAGCTGTTATGATGTTTAATCTAGAGTTGCCAACTTCTGATCCGGCGGTTCCAAGACACAGGGTGAGGAAAACAAAGCTTTCCAGTATTTCTGAATCTGAACCCCCACCCGCATTGGAATTACTGCTTTAATCTCTGGTCAATCCTGAATTGTTTTCAACCCTAGCTTTATCTCTCCTCTCCCCCGGAATAGCAGAAGAATTACTAATGGTAAAGATCTATGCCCATGTCCAGGGTTCAAATTACTTATGCTCCGCACAAACCTCAATTTATGTCTCTTTTCTTTTTCTTTCCCTCCCCTCCCTTCCACCCAAGTAAACTATGGTGTCTTTGGGTCTGTGTGTTTGAAATAATTTACTTTCAAGAGCTTTTTACTTTTTTAAGATAAAAATTAGATTATAGTTTTTTAAGCTAACTGGGGTTATTTTTTCTTAGGAAAAACAGAGTAATCATTAAACAGGCTAACCATCTGGTTTTGATCCTAATGTTAGTCCATGAGATGGCTTGACACTTTAAATAAGCAAAGTCATGGCTTTTCGTTTAGAAATATGCAAGGATGGCTACTCCTGGCTCCATCCTGCCCTTGGCCTGATTGTTTAATGTTAAGGTGGAATGATCCTGACTGGTCCTCTGTTTTATGCCTGACCTGCTGCAGCACTAGTCAGATAAGGAATTAGGGAAAAGCAGAATTATTACTCAAAGGCAGAAAACAAGGCACAGATTTATATGAAGAAACAGCTCCTTTTTCCAAATATGGAGAAACACAAAACTTACAGTACGGTAACATGTTGCTTTTTTCTGGTACATTCAACTAGTACTGTGAATGAAGCTACCTCTGGCAATGAAAAGTATTTAGGAAATCAAATGGTAAAGTAGGAAAATGGTGTTTTTTAGTTCTCTTACTGTCCCCAAGTTTCTGGTATAACATGACTATTCCCACATGGCTTTGTTTAAGGACACCCCCCTCAAAGCCCCCACAGATTTGCCTTTAGACCATACCCCTTGCTCTGGATCTTTTCCTCACCCTACTGTCCTTGGTAAGGATGGATAGCCACTGACCTGAAACAGTCTATTTATTATTTATTTATTTATTTATTTTTGAGGCAGAGTATCGCTCTGTCACCCAGGCTGGAGTGCAGTGGCGCAATCTCTGTTCATTGCAACCTCTGCCTCCTGGGTTTGAGCGAGTCTGCTGCCTCAGCCTCCTGAGTAGCTGGGATTACAGGCACCTGCCACCACGCCCAGCTAATTTTTGTATTTTCAATAGAGATGGGGTTTCACCATGTTGGCCAGGCTGGTCTTGAACTCCTGACCTCAGCGGATCAGCTCACCTCGGCCTCCCAAAGTGCTAGGATTACAGGTGTGAGCCACCGTGCCCGGCCACTGACCTGAAATAGTTGAGTGTCCCCTTCCCTTATGTATCTGCTCCCAGCTAGGCATAGCCAGCTAGCTTGCTGGAAAGATAAATAGCAGGAATATACCACTTTGCACTTTAATAACAGGAATCTTTTAGAATTAATTTCTGATCCCCAAAGAAATTCTGTAAATATAACAAATTAGTGGAAATTTTAGGTGATGTCAGGCTAATTGAACCTGCCTGTCTGGGAGCAGGCAGGTTTTCTAGTGTCCCATAGTATATTATATATAAGGTTAGAGCTGCCTTTGAATGTTCACTTCTTTTCTCTTGAGAAAAATCCCTATTCCTTCTATTGAAAGGTCTTAATGAAAGCTTCAAAGAAACATGCAGGTTTCTAATGAAAGAAGGGTGGGTCCTTATTAGAAAGATGTTTTAACCAAAAAATACAAAATGTTTAAATGGTGTTCCAAATACTTCATAGCAGTCTAGATAAGAAAAACCCAGATTCCTGTATTGTTTCTGCAGTATTACGCTAGCTCTTTTATATGATTGACAGCTAATTCTCTTGTTTATGTTTCCCTTCTTTTTGCCTTGTCCTTATTATTTATATGTTTGTTTTGATATATGAAAGAGCATTCCTTCCAAATAGAAAGTCAGAAAGTTGAAGTTTTCCTACTATAAAACAGGTTAGTTGTTTGTTTTTGTTGTTTTTCTTAAGAATTAGGGTAGAAATCTACCTTTGGCAGAATGGAAAATATTTAGGAGGGTTGAGTCACATTTGTACTATTATTGTATTGACATTCTATTTTGACTTATCTTTCAAATAACAAACATTGTGGAAACCTTTTATGAACTTGTGTTGAGTGAATTTGAATATCTGACTTAGAGACTGGGCATGACTTCTTTGGAATGTTTGTGTTTATGAAGATATACTTTGTCTGCCTAAATTTGTTTACCTCAATTTGTATAAAAATGAATTTCTGAGAATTTAGGAAAATAATTCCTTTCTATTTAAACATTAACATGTGTTTCTTTAATTGTACATTAATATAAAGCATAATTATTTTGCTTAGTATTAAGAAGCTACGTTGATTAAATACTAAACTATTTTTGGTTTATTTACTCATTTTCAGTTGTCAAAATAAGTATAATTGGAAACAGCTGCCTTCATATTATTTTTGACAGTTCTTCACAATTGAATCTAAAATGGGTAACTAAGAAAATGGGCCTTTTCTAATTACAATTTTTCCTAAAATATACATTCAGATTGCTCTTCTGTAAATGAGAAGCAGACAGATATTTTCTGTGGCTTCCTCATTTTTATGAATTGATTAGCCTCATTTGGCTATTTTACACATATTAGCAGATTTCACTATTCTCTGGCATGATTAAAATGTGGTAGAAGACTAGTGAAGTGTTTCTTTATCCTTTTAGTCTTGTCTTCAAGCTGCACTTAAACTTCTTTTCATTATCAAAACAACTTAATAATGTGATTTGATATTAGCAAGAGATTTGAAATTTTTCCATATCTTAATAGTATCTTAATAACTTCTGTGATTAAATAAGTACGTTTATTTTAGCCGTTCTTAGGATTAATTTATCTAATGCAAAGTGAGCTCTTGATTAATTTAGAAATTAGGAAGCTAGAAATATTTTTTAAAATACCAGTTTAATATAAAATGCTATACTATTAGGCAATTTTTTCTTCTAAATTTATCCCTACAACACTTCTAACTTTTTAAATGAATTTAAAAAGAAATACTGTGTTCCTCTCCCCAACCCCCCACACCAGAAAGTCTGGCCAAGACCAAAAGAAATATAATCCAAGGTACCTCACTTGCATTCGAAAGCATGGGAAATGCTTGTTTTACTGCTCATGCTAGGATTCCATTCCTACGCATGTATTACATAACTCACAAAGAAGGAATTGGGCTCCAAAGGACTTTGATTTTTTTTTTTTCACTTTGATTCTTTTTTATTTATTTATTTATTTATTTATTTATTTATTTATTTATTTATTATACTTTAAGTTTTAGGGTACATGTGCACATCGTGCAGGTTAGTTACATAAGTATACATGTGCCATGCTGGTGTGCTGCACCCACTAACTCGTCATCTAGCATTAGCTATATCTCCCAACGCTATCCCTCCCCCTCCCCCCACCCCACAACAGTACCCAGAGTGTGATGTTCCCCTTCCTGTGTCCATGTGATCTCATTGTTGAATTCCCACCGATGAGTGAGAATATGCGGTGTTTGGTTTTTTGTTCTTGCGATAGTTTACTGAGAATGATGGTTTCCAATTTCATCCATGTCTCTACAAAGGACATGAACTCATCATTTTTTATGGCTGCATAGTATTCCATGGTGTATATGTGCCACATTTTCTTAATCCAGTCTATCATTGTTGGACATTTGGGCTGGTTCCAAGTCTTTGCTATTGTGAATACTGCTGCAATAAACATACGTGTGCATGTGTCTTTATAGCAGCATGATTTATAGTCCTTTGGGTATATACCCAGTAATGGGATGGCTGGGTCAAATGGTATTTCTAGTTCTAGATCCCTGAGGAATCGCCACACTGACTTCCACAATGGTTGAACTAGTTTACAGTCCCACCAACAGTGTAAAAGTGTTCCTATTTCTCCACATCCTCTCCAGCACCTGTTGTTTCCTGACTTTTTAATGATCGCCATTCTAACTGGTGTGAGATGGTATCTCATAGTGGTTTTGATTTGCATATCTCTGATGGCCAGTGATGGTGAGCATTTTTTCCTGTGTTTTTTGGCTGCATAAATATCTTCTTTTGAGAAGTGTCTGTTCATGTCCTTCACCCACTCTTTGATGGGGTTGTTTGTTTTTTTCTTGTCAATTTGTTTGAGTTCATTGTAGATTCTGGATATTAGCCCTTTGTCAGATGAGTAGGTTGCGAAAATGTTCTCCCATTTTGTAGGTTGCCCGTTCACTCTGATGGTAGTTTCTTTTGCTGTGCAGAAGCTCTTTAGTTTAATTAGATCCCATTTGTCAATTTTGGCTTTTGTTGCCATTGCTTTTGGTGTTTTAGACATGAAGTCCTTGTCCATGCCTATGTCCTGAATGGTAATGCCTAGGTTTTCTTCTAGGGTTTTTATGGTTTTAGGTCTAACGTTTAAGTCTTTAATCCATCTTGAATTGATTTTTGTATAAGGTGTAAGGAAGGGATCCAGTTTCAGCTTTCTACATATGGCTAGCCAGTTTTCCTAGCACCATTTATTAAATAGGGAATCCTTTCCCCATTGCTTGTTTTTCTCAAGTTTGTCAAAGATCAGATAGTTGTAGGTATGTGGCGTTATTTCTGAGGGCTCTGTTCTGTTCCATTGATCTATATCTCTGTTTTGGTACCAGTACCATGCTGTTTTGGTTACTGTAGCCTTGTAGTATAGTTTGAAGTCAGGTAGTGTGATGCCTCCAGCTTTGTTCTTTTGGCTTAGGATTGACTTGGTGATGTGGGCTCTTTTTTGGTTCCATATGAACTTTAAAGTAGTTTTTTCCAATTCTGTGAATAAAGGCATTGGTAGCTTGATGGGGATGGCATTGAATCTGTAAATTACCTTGGGCAGTATGGCCATTTTCACGAAATTGATTCTTCCTACACATGAGCATGGAATGTTCTTCCATTTGTTTGTATCCTCTTTTATTTCCTTGAGCAGTGGTTTGTAGTTCTCCTTGAAGAGGTCCTTCATGTCCCTTGTAAGTTGGATTCCTAGGTATTTCATTCTCTTTGAAGCAATTGTGAATGGGAGTTCACTCATGATTTGGCTCTCTGTTTCTCCGTTGTTGGTGTATAGGAATGCTTGTGATTTTTGCACATTGATTTTGTATCCTGAGACTTTGCTGAAGTTGCTTATCAGCTTAAGGAGATTTTGGGCTGAGACAATGGGGTTTTCTAGATATACAATCATGTCATCTGCAAACAGGGACAATTTGACTTCCTCTTTTCCTAATTGAACACCCTTTATTTCCTTCTCCTGCCTAATTGCCCTGGCCAGAACTTCCAACACTATGTTGAATAGGAGTGGTGAGAGAGGGCATCCCTGTCTTGTGCCAGTTTTCAAAGGGAATGCCTCCAGTTTTTGCCCATTCAGTATGGTATTGTCTGTGGGTTTGTCATAGATAGCTCTTATTATTTTGAAATATATCCCATCAATACCTAATTTATTGAGAGTTTTTAGCATGAAAGGTTGTTGAATTTTGTCAAAGGCCTTTTCTGCATCTATTGAGATAATCATGTGGTTTTTGTCTTTGGCTCTGTTTATATGCTGGATTACATTTATTGATTTGCGTATATTGCATCAGCCTTGCATCCCAGGGATGAAGCCCACTTGATCATGGTGGATAAGCTTTTTGATGTGCTGCTGGATTTGGTTTGCCAGTATTTTATTGAGGATTTTTGCATCAATGTTCATCAAGGATATTGGTCTAAAATTCTCTTTTTTGGTTGTGTCTCTGCCCGGCTTTGGTATCAGGAGGATGCTGGCCTCATAAAATGAGTTAGGGAGGATTCCCTCTTTTTCTATTGATTGGAATAGTTTCAGAAGGAATGGTACCAGTTCCTCCTTGTACCTCTGGTAGAATTTGGCTGTGAATCCATCTGGTCCTGGACTCTTTTTGGTTGGTAAGCTATTGATTATTGCCACAATTTCAGACCCTGTTATTAGTCTATTCAGAGATTCAACTTCTTCCTGGTTTAGTCTTGGGAGAGTGTATGTGTCAAGGAATTTATCCATTTCTTCTAAATTTTCTAGTTTATTTGCGTAGAGGTGTTTGTAGTATTCTCTGATGGTAGTTTGTATTTCTGTGGGATCAGTGGTGATATCCCCTTTATCATTTTTTATTGCGTCTATTTGATTCTTCTCTCTTTTTTTCTTTATTAGTCTTGCTTGTGGTCTATCAATTTTGTTGATCCTTCCAAAAAACCAGCTCCTGGATTCATTAATTTTTTGAAGGGTTTTTTGTGTCTCTATTTCCTTCAGTTCTGCTCTGATTTTAGTTATTTCTTGCCTTCTGCTAGCTTTTGAATGTGTTTGCTCTTGCTTTTCTAGTTCTTTTAATTGTGATGTTAGGGTGTCAATTTTGGATCTTTCCTGCTTTCTCTTGTGGGCATTTAGTGCTATAAATTTCCCTCTACACACTGCTTTGAATGCGTCCCAGAGATTCTGGTATGTTGTGTCTTTGTTCTCGTTGGTTTCAAAGAACATCTTCATTTCTGCCTTCATTTCGTTATGTACCCAGTAGTCATTCAGGAGCAGGTTGTTCAGTTTCCATGTAGTTGAGCGGTTTTGAGTGAGATTCTTAATCCTGAGTTCTAGTTTGATTGCACTGTGGTCTGAGAGATAGTTTGTTATAATTTCTGTTCTTTTACATTTGCTGAGGAGAGCTTTACTTCCAACCATGTGGTCAATTTTGGAATAGGTGTGGTGTGGTGCTGAAAAAAATGTATATTCTGTTGATTTGGGGTGGAGAGTTCTGTAGATGTCTATTAGGTCCGCCTGGTGCAGAGCTGAGTTCAATTCCTGGGTATCCTTGTTAACTTTCTGTCTCATTGATCTGTCTAATGTTGACAGTGGGGTGTTAAAGTCTCCCATTATTAATGTGTGGGAGTCTAAGTCTCTTTCTAGGTCACTCAGGACTTGCTTTATGAAACTGGGTGCTCCTGTATTGGGTGCATATATATTTAGGATAGTTAGCTCTTCTTGTTGAATTGATCCCTTTACCATTATGTAATGGCCTTCTTTGTCTCTTTTGATCTTTGTTGGTTTCAAGTCTGTTTTATCAGAGACTAGGATTGCAACCCCTGCCTTTTTTTGTTTTTCATTTGCTTGGTAGATCTTCCTCCATCCTTTTATTTTGAGCCTATGTGTGTCTCTGCACGTGAGATGGGTTTCCTGAATACAGCACACTGATGGGTCTTGACTCTTTATCCAATTTGCCAGTCTGTGTCTTTTAATTGGAGCATTTAGTCCATTTACATTTAAAATTAATAGTGTTATGTGTGAATTTGATCCTGTCATTATGATGTTAGCTGGTTATTTTGCTCGTTAGTTGATGCAGTTTCTTCCTAGTCTTGATGGTCTTTACATTTTGGCATGATTTTGCAGCGGCTGGTACCGGTTGTTCCTTTCCATGTTTAGTGCTTCCTTCAGGAGCTCTTTTTGGGCAGGCCTGGTGGTGACAAAATCTCTCAGCATTTGCTTGTCTGTAAAGTATTTTATTTCTCCTTCACTTATGAAGCTTAGTTTGGCTGGATATGAAATTCTGGGTTGAAAATTCTTTTCTTTAAGAATGTTGAATATTGGCCCCCACTCTCTTCTGGCCTATAGAATTTCTGCCAAGAGATCCGCTGTTAGTCTGATGGGCTTCCCTTTGAGGGTAACCCAACCTTTCTCTCTGACTGCCCTTAACATTTTTTCCTTCATTTCAACTTTGGTGAATCTGACAATTATGTGTCTTGGAGTTGCTCTTCTCGAGGAGTATCTTTGTGGCGTTCTCTGTATTTCCTGAATCTGAACGTTGGCCTGCCTTGCTAGATTGGGGAACTTCTCCTAGATAATATCCTGCAGAGTGTTTTCCAACTTGGTTCCATTCTCCCCATCACTTTCAGGTACACCAATCAGACGTAGATTTGGTCTTTTCACATAGCCCCATATTTCTTGGAGGCTTTGCTCGTTTCTTTTTATTCTTTTTTCTCTAAACCTTCCTTCTTGCTTCATTTCATTCATTTCATCTTCCATCGCTGATACCCTTTCTTCCAGTTGATCACATTGGCTTCTGAGGCTTCTGCATTCTTCACGTAGTTCTCGAGCCTTGGTTTTCAGCTCCATGAGCTCCTTTAAGCACTTCTCTGTATTGGTTATTCTAGTTATACATTCTTCTAAATTTTTTTCAAAGTTTTCAACTTCTTTGACTTTGGTTTGAATGTCCTCCCATAGCTCAGAGTAATTTGATTGTCTGAAGCCTTCTTCTCTCAGCTCGTCAAAGTCATTCTCCATCCAGCTTTGTTCCGTTGCTGGTGAGGAGCTGCATTCCTTTGGAGGAGGAGAGGCGCTCTGATTTTTAGAGTTTCCAGTTTTTCTGTTCTGTTTTTTCCCCATCTTTGTGGTTTTATCTACTTTTGGTCTTTGATGATGGTGATGTACAGATGGGTTTTTGGTGTAGATGTCCTTTCTGTTTGTTAGTTTTCCTTCTAACAGACAGGATCCTCAGCTGCAGGTCTGTTGGAGTACCCTGCAGTGTGAGGTGTCAGTGTGCCCCTGCTGGAGGGTGCCTCCCAGTTAGGCTGCTCGGGGGTCAGGGACCCACTTGAGGAGGCAGTCTGCCCGTTCTCAGATCTCCAGCTGCGTGCTGGGAGAACCACTGCTCTCTTCAAAGCTGTCAGACAGGGACATTTAAGTCTGCAGAGGTTACTCCTGTCTTTTTATTTGTCTGTGCCCTGCCCCCAGAGGTGGAGCCTACAGAGGCAGGCAGGCCTCCTTGAGCTGTGGTGGGCTCCACCCAGTTCGAGCTTCCTGGCAGCTTTGTTTACCTAAGCAAGCCTGGGCAATGGTGGGCGCCCCTCCCCCAGCCTCGCTGCCGCCTTGCAGTTTGATCTCAGACTGCTGTGCTAGCAATCAGCGAGACTCCGTGGGCGTAGGACCCTCCGAGCCACGTGCGGGATATAATCTCATGGTGCACCGTTTTTTAAGCCCATCGGAAAAGCACAGTATTCGGGTGGGAGTGACCCGATTTTCCTGATTTTCCAGGTGCTGTCCATCACCCCTTTCTTTGATTAGGAAAGGGAACTCCCTGACCCCTTGCGCTTCCCGAGTGAGGCAATGCCTCGCCCTGCTTCGGCTCGCGCACGGTGCGCGCACCCACTGACCTGCGCCCACTGTCTGGCACTCCCTAGTGAGATGAACCCGGTACCTCAGATGGAAATGCAGAAATCACCCGTCTTCTGCGTCGCTCAGGCTGGGAGCTGTAGACCGGAGCTGTTCCTATTCGGCCATCTTGGCTCCTCCCTCAGGACTTTGATTTTACATGGCAATATGGTAAGCCTTAAAGAACACTGTCCTGTGTGTTGATAGCCCTGTAGTTCAAACTTTGCTTTTCGGTAAGTCATTTCTGTAGGCCTCATTTTCCCCAAACATATATCTATAAGGATGGATTGGATGACTTCCCTGTTTTCACCATCTGTGATATTTTATTTTATGTTTTATTTTTTTTGAGATGGAATCTCACTCTGTCGCCCAGGCTGGAGTGCAGTGGTGCGATCTTGGCTCACTATAACCTCTGCCTCCTGGGTTCAAGCAATTCTCCTGCCTCAGCTTCCCAAGTAGCTGGGATTACAGGTACCCACCACCACCCCTGACTAATTTTTTTGTATTTTTAGTAGAGACGAGGTTTCACCATGTCGACCAGGCTGGTGTTGAACTCCTGGACTCAAGTGATCCACCTGCCTCGGCCTCCCAAAGTGCTAGAATTACAGGCCATCTCTGATATTTTAGAATCTTTGAAATCTATAATTACTCTCTCTCATATTTCTCACACTGGCCTTCTCAAGCGTTTTGTGTTTTCCTCAACACTTTTTCAATGTGATACTTACTGCAGATGACTTCAACTGTGAGAGCAACATGAATGCTACATCTTGAACCACAAAAAAGACAAACCGAAACAAAACAAAAAGCAAGAACACTTTGTCTAACATAAGCCCTGAAATAGTGAAGACTTGTTTGAGTCCTTTCTGTAAAGTTCCTATTTGGAAGCAATTTTACCTTGACTTCTGCCATCTACAGATAGGTGGCAATCCTTGCTGATATGCTAACCATGTGAGAAAATGGCGCTCTTGCCATAAATAGGCATACTGTTATCTTGGTAACTTTGCATCTCTCCCCTTAATATCTGCTGTTTGCTTTGTTTATGGAGCCAATTCTTTTAGACTAGACTAGACTTCATTACAAGACATTAGACGTAAAAATACTTTTCTATTACTAACACTTTGGTCTCTGACTTTTCCTTTCACACTGAACATTTTAATATCCAAGGTCTTCTGCTTCAGACAAGGGTGTGTTCTTCCTCCTTTGAAAGACTAGTTCCTGTACTTGTGTTCTTGCAGCTCCCAGAATATTGTTTCTTCACATATCTACTCTGATCACATCTTCCTTCTTTAATATTTCTTTGTGGTAGCTTTCCTATCTGCCTAAAACCACAAATATCTTTCTTTTGATTTTATTCATCTCTCATGTTACTTTGCTTTAGTTCACCTTTTCATTAACAAAAGTCTTGAAAGAATCCTCTATTTTAACCCAGAAGAATTCCGAAATTCCATAACCATTTGTAGCCTGGCTTTTGCCCCCACACATCTACTGAAACCACTCTTATAAAGTTGACTAAGAATTGGTCAGTGACTAAGTACAATGAACTTTCAGTTCTCTTCCCTGCTGTTGTCTAAATCTGGAAACTCATTGTATTAGTTCATTCTCATGCTGCTATGAAGAAATAGCCAAGACTGGGTAATTTAAAAAGAAAAGAGGTTTAATTGACTCACAGTTCCACATGGATGGGGAGGCCTCAGGAAACTTACACTCATGGCAGAATACACCTCTTCACAGGGTGGCAGGAGAGAAAATGAGTGCTGAGCAAAGGGAGACCGCCCGCTATAAAACCATCAGATCTTATGAGAACTCACTCACTATCATGAGAACAGTATGGGGGAAACTTCCCCCATGATTAAATTATCTTTACCTGGTCCCACTCTTGGCATGTGGGGATTAGTACAATTCAAGGTGAGATTTGGGTGGGGATGCAGAGCCAAACTATATCACTAGTTTTCTCTTTTGGCTTCTTTACATTTTCCTGGTTTTCCCATCTCTCTGCTAGCCCCTTTTCTGTTTCATCTTTCTTCTATAAATGTACTTGTTTCTCAAGGATCTGATCTTGGCATTGTTTTCTTCTTAATCCCTGTTTTAATCCAATTTCAGACTTATCTGGTCTATGGGGATCAATTGTTAGCTGTCTGTGGTTGGCTCCTGAATCTGTATATACAGCCCAGCCTTCTCTACTAAATGAATCTCTCTCCCCATTTTTCTTCCATATTTATCCAGTATCTAACAGGTCTGTGATTTTAATGGTCAGCAAAATATCAGCAGTGGGATATTTTCTAGTACCTCTCCATCATTATGTATAAAATGTAACTTGTCATCTATATGCTTAAATCTGCCCTTCCTTACATGACTCCCTTTTGAGTTAATGATAGAACCATCCATGAAAGTCACCCAGGATTGGGATCTCGAGCCATATTTAATTTTTCTCTGCCTTATTCTTTGCTCTGCTGACCAGTTGCTAAGCTGTATATAGTTTATCTCCCTAAAAGCTCTCATACCTACCCAATTCTAACAGATGCAATCCATTTCTGAGCCCCCATCTCTCTACAGTTTTCTTGCCGTCAGACTGTTTACCATCCTGTTTCTAGCTTCCTGAAGCCCAAGTCCAATATTATTATCCCCTGCTCAGAAAATCGTCAATGATATGTCCACTTACGGCACTTAGAGGGGTCTCTTTTCAAAATCACAGGCTTCTCTCTTGTCTAAAAGATTCACTTGTTTATTCTCTTCCAGACAATTTGGGCTTAAAATTTTTTTAAACAATTTAAATATTGTGAAACATAGGATACAAAAAGTGCATACAACTCATATGTATAGTTTAACAAATATCTGTAAAGTGAACATCCATGAAAACCACCACCCAGGTGAGGAAATAGAGCATTATTGACGCATAGGAAGCTTCCTGTGTCTGTCTTCCCAATTGTCCTCTCAATCCCAAGCTCCTTTTCTTTCTCCAGGGAAAATCACTCTCCTGACTTTTATAGAAGTACTTTTCTTGTTTTTCATTATAATCTGACTACTTGGGTATATACTCCTGAGTAATATAGTTTGTGTTTCCCTGTTTTCGATGTTTATATAGATGGAGTCATTATTGTATGCATTCTCTGTGTGACTTTTCTTCTACTGACTTTATTTTAAGAATTATTCCTGGTCAGATGGGTGACTCACGCCTGTAATCCCAGAACTTTGGGAGGCTGAGGCGGGCGGATTACCTCAGGAGTTCGAGACCAGCCTGGCCGACATGGTGAAACGCTGTCTCTACTAAAAATACAAAAATTAGCTGGGCGTGGTGGCAGGCACCTATAATCCCAGCTACTCGGGAAGCTGAGGCAGGAGAATCGCTTGAACCCAGGAGGTGGAGGTTTCTGTGAGCCGAGATCGTGCCACTGCACTTCAGCCTGGGCAACAAGAGCAAAACTCCATCTCAAGAAAAAAATTATTCCTATTATTAGTTATAGTTATGGATTGTTCCTTCTCTTTGCTGATTAAGTCCACACTTGCTGGGTGGAGTGGTGCCCACTTGCTGGGTGGAGAGGAGCTTCCTGTAATCACAGCTCCTCAGGAAGCTGAGGCAAGAGAATCACTTGAGTTCAGGAATTTGAGGCCAGAGAGAGGCAACATAGTGAGACCCCGTTTCTAAAAAAAAGATCATGCTTTATTTATCCATTCTTTTGCTAATGGACATTTGAATTGTTTCCAGTTTTGGGTGATGATAAACAATGCTTCTGTGGATATTCTTGTACATATACCCTGGTACATTGAAACATACAATCTCTAAGATAAAGATTTGGGGGTAGAATTTCAAGGTCATAAGGTAAGCATATCTTCAACTTGATTAGATAATGCAACACATTTTCAAATAATTTGTAGCAATTTACATCATTCACATTCTGTAAGTTCCTGATGCTCTGTATTTTGGATAACTCAACACAGTTATTACAGTTAATACAGTTAATTCCATCTGTATAATGTAGTCTGTATTATCAGACTTTTATATTTTTGCTCATCTGATGGATGAGTAGTGGTATTTCGTTGTGGTTTTAAAATACATTTCCCTGAAAAATAATGACATTGAAGATTTAAAAATATGGTATTGGTTGTTGGGATTTTCTCTTTTGAGAAGTGTTTGTTCAAGTCTTTTCACCAGTTTTACTCCTGGTTTTCCTTGTTATTTGGAGGCGTTTCTTCATATTCTGGATACTATACTTTGTCAGTTATAGGCATTTTTTTTTATTGTAGCTTTGCTTTATTGTGCTTCACAGATATTGCATTTTTTTTTTTTTTTTTACAAATTGAAGGTTTGTGGCAACTCCATATTGAGCAAGTGTTTCAACAACATGGACTCGCTTTGTGTCTCTGTGTCACATTTGGTAATTCTTGCAATATTTCAAACTTTTAAATTATTATTATATTTGCCTTGGTGATCTGTGATCAGTGATCTTTGATGGTACATTGTAGTTGTTGTGGGACACCATAAATCATGCCCATGTAAGATAGAGAACTTAATTGATAAATAAGTTAGATATAAGATAAGTTAAATGGTGTGTACTGACTGCTCCACTGACTGGCTGTTCCCCTATCTCTCTCTCTCTCTGTCTTTGGGCCTCCCTATTCCCCGAGACACAGTAATATTGAAATTAGGTGAATTAATAACCCTATAGTGACCTCTAAGTGTTCATATGAAAGGAAAAGTCATACATCTCTTACTTTAAATCAAAAACTGAAAATGATTGAGCTTAGTGAGGAAAGCATGCTTAAAGCCAAGATAAACCAACCTCTTGTGCCAAACAGTTCATTGTGCATTGAAGGAAAGTTCTTGAAGAAAACTAAAGTACTCCTATGGTGAACACATGAATGATAAGGAAGTGAAACAACCTTATTGCTGATATGGAGAAAGTGTGAGTGGCCTGGATAGAAGATCAAACCAATCACAGCATTCCTTTAAGCGAAAGCCTAATCCAGATCAAGGACCTAATTCTCTTCAAATCTGAGAAGGCTGAGAGAGGTGAGGAAGCTGCAGGAGAAAGGTTGTAAGCCAGCCAAAGTTCGTTCATGAGGTTTAAGGAAAGAAGCCATCTCCTTAACATATAAAGTGCAAGATGACGCAGCAAGTGTTGATAGAGAAGCTGCAGCAAGGTATCCAGAAGATCTAGCTAAGACAATTAATGCAAGTGGCCATATAAACAACAGATTTTCCATGTAGACAAAACACCCTTCTATTGGAAGAAGATGCCATGAGGACTTGCACAGTTAGAGAGAAGAAGTTAATGCCTGGCTTCAAAGCTTCAAAGAACAGGCTGACTCACTTGTTAAAGGCTGATGCAGCTGGTGACTTTAAGGTAAGTTGAAGCCAGTGCTCATTTACCATTCCCTAAATCCTAGAGCCCTTAAAAATTATGAAGTCCCATTCACAATTGCTACAAAAAGAATAAAATACCTAAGAATACAGTTAACAAGGGAAGCGAAGGACCTCTTCAAAGAGAACTACAAACCACTGCTCAAAGAAATCAGAGAGGACACAAACAAATGGAGAAACATTCCACACTCATTGGATAGGAAGAATCAATATCATGAAAATGGCCATACTGCCCAATGTAGTTTATAGATTAAATGCTATTCCCATTAAACTACCACTGACATTCTTCACAGAATTAGATAAAACTATTTTAAAATTCATATGAAACCACAAAGAGCCTGAATAGCCAAGATAATCCTAAACAAAAAGAACAAAGCTGGAGGCATCATGCTCCCTGGCTTCAAACTATACTACGAGGCTGTAGTAACCAGAACAGTATGATACTGGTACAAGAACAGACACGTAGACCAATGGAACAGAATACAGAACTCAGAAACAAGACTGCACACCTACACCATTTGATCTTCAACAAACTTGACAAAAACAAGCAATGGTGAAAGGACTTCCTATTTAATAAACGGCACTGGGAGTGCTGGCTAGCCATATTTAGAAAAGTGAAACTGGACACCTTCTTTACACCACATAGAAAAATTAACTCAAGATGGATTAAAGCCTTAAATGTTAAACCCAAAACTATAAAAACTCTAGAAGAGGCCAGGCGCAGTGGCTTACACCTGTAATCCCAGCACTTTGGGAGGCCGAGGCGGTCGGATCACAAGGTCAGGAGATCGAGACCATCCTGGCTAACATGGTGAAACCCTGTCTCTACTAAAAATACAAAAAAAATTAGCCGGGCGTGATGGCAGGCACCTGTAGTCCCAGCTGCTCGGGAGGCTGAGGCAGGAGAATGGCGTGAACCCAGGAGGCAGAGTTTGCAGTGAGCCGAGATCGCACCACTGCACTCTAGCCTGGGCGACAGACGGAGACTCCGTCTAAAACAAAAAACAAAAAACAAGAAACAAAAAACACCTCTAGAAGAAAATCTAGGCAGTATCATTCAGGACATAGGCACAGGCAAAAATTTCATGACAAAAATGCCGAAAGCACATGCAACAAAAACAAAAATTGACAAATGGGATCTAATTAAACTAAAGAGCTTCTGCACAGCAAAATAAACTATCAGAGTGAACAGACAATCTACAGAATGGGAGAACATTTTTGCAATATATCCATTTGACAAAGGTCTAATATCCACTCTACAAGAAACTTAAATTTACAAGATAAAAACAAGGCCAGGCATGGTGGCTCATGCTTGTAATCCCAGCACTTTAGGATGCCAAGGCAGGAGGATTACTTGAGGTCAGGGGTTTGAGACCAGCCTGGCCAACATAGTGAAATCCTGTCTCTATTAAAAACACAAAAATTAGCTGGGCGTGGTGGCACACGCCTGTAATCCCAGCTACTTGGGAGGCTGAGGCAAGAGAATCACTTGAACCTGGGAGGCGGAGGTTACAGTGAGCCAAGATCTCGCCACTGCACTCCAGCCTGGGCAATAGAGTGAGACTCCATCTCAAAAAACAAACAAACAAACAAACAAGAAAACCCCATTAAAAATTGGTCAAAGGACGTGAACAGACATATGAAAAAGAGCTCAACATCACTAATCTTGAGAGAAATGCAAATCAAAACCACAATGAGATACCATCTAATGCCAGTTAAAATGGCTATTATTAAAAAGTCAAGAAACAACAGATGCTGGCAAGGTTGCACAGAAAGAACACTTTTACACTGTTGGTGGGAGTGTAAATTAGTTCAACTGTTATGGAAGATGGTGTGGCAACCTCTTAAAGATCTAGAGGCAGAAATACCATTTGACTCAGCAATCCCATTACTAAGTGTACACCCCCAAATATATAAATTATTCTATTATAAAGGTATATGCATGCGTATGTTCATTGCAGCACTATTCACAATAGCAAAGACATGGAATCAACCCAAATACCCATCAATGATAGACTGGATAAAGAAAATGTGGTACATATACACCATGGAATACTATGCAGTCATAAAAAGGAATGAGATTATGTCCTTTGCAGGGACATGGATGGAGCTGGAAGCCATCATCCTCAGCAAACTAACATAGGAACAGAAAACCAAACACTGCATGTCCTCACTTATATATAAGTGGGAACTGAATGATGAGAACACATGGACACATGGTAGGGAACAGCATACACTAAGGCTTGTTGTGGGGGGTTGGGGGAGGAAGAGCATCAGGAAGAATAATGGATGGGCTTAATACCTAGGTGATGGGATGATCTGTGCAGCAAACCACCATGGCACACGTTTACCTATTTAACAAACGTGCACATCCTTCACATGTATTCCTGAACTTAAAATACAAGTTGAAGAGAAAAAAAAAAAAAAAGAGAGAAAACCCTCATGGTGATGGTACTAGGAGGTAGGGCCTTTGGGAGGTGATTAGATCAGAGGGGTGGAGCCCTCACAAATGGGATTAGCGCCTTTGTAAAAGAGGCTATAGGGAGACTGCTTTCCCCTTCTGCCATGTGAGGATACAACAGGAAGGTGCCACCTTTAAAGCAGAAAGTAGCCTTCATCAGAAACTGGAAAAAAAAAAAAAGAAAAAAAAAAGAAAAGAAAACCTTCTGGAAAGGATTCACCACTCTAGAGGCCATTAAGAGCATTTGTGATTCATGAGACAAGGTCAAAATATCAATATTAACAGAAATTTGGAAGAAGTTGATTCCAACCCTCATAGTTGACTTTGAGGGGTTCAAGACTTCAGTGAATGAAGTATCTGCAGATATGGTAGAGATAGCAAGAGAACTAGAGTGGAGCCTGAAGATGTGACCAAATTGCTGGACTCTCATGATAAAACTTAAATGCAGAGTTGCTTCTTATGAATGAGCAAAGAAAGTGGTTTCTTGATATGGAATCTACTCCTGGTAAAGATGTTGTAAACAATTGTTTAAATGACCACAAAGGATTTAGAATATTACATAAACTTACTTGATAAAGCAGTGGCAGGGTTTGACAAGATTGACTCCAATTTTGAAAGAAGTTCTTCTGTGGGTGAAATGCTATCAAACAGCATTGCATAAATTTTTTTTTTTTTTTTTTTTTGTGAATGGAAGAACTAATCAATGCAGCAAAGCAAATTTGATTGTTGTCTTTTTGTTGTTGTTGTTATTGAGACAGGGTCTTGCTGTCTGTCACCCAGGCTATAATGCAGTGGTGCGATCATCGCTCACTGTAATCTCAAACTCCTGGACTCAAGCAATCCTCCTGCCTCAGCCTCCCAAGTAGCTAGGACTACAGGCACGCACCACCAAACCCAGCTATTTAATTTTTTTTTTTTAATAGAGATATGGTCTCACTACGTTGCTTAGGCAGGTCTCAAACTCCTAGTCTCAAATAATCCTCCTGCCTTGGCCTCCCAAAACTCTGGTATTACAGGCATGAGCCACTATGCCTGGCTCATTGTTGTCTTGTTTTATGAAATTGCCACAGCCACCCAACCTTCAGCAACCACCACCCTGATCAGTCAGCAGCCATCAACATTGAGGCAAAACTCTCCACCAGCAAAAAGATTATTACTTGCTGAAGTCCTAGATGATCATTAGCACTTTTTAGCAATAAAGCATTTTTAAAAATAGAAGTATGTACATTGTTTTTTTCAGACATAATGCTACGTACACTCAATAGACTATGTATAATATAAATACAACTTCATATACACTGGGAAACTAAAAGAATTGTGTGGCTCATATTATTGCAATATCAGTTTTATTGAGGTGGTCTGTAACTGAACTGGCAGTATCTCCAAAGTTATGCCCGTATATATGTTGCAAATATCTTTTCTCACTCTGAGGGTTGACCTTTTGCTCTTTCTGTATTGCCTTTTATAAGTAGAAGTTCTAAAATTAATTTTATCAGTCTTTTTCTTCATTATGAGTGCTTTTTGTATTCATTTAGGAAATCCTTCCCTAGTCCAAGGTCAAGAAGAAACAATCCTGTGTGTATTCTGTTCTCAAATCCATTGTGTTTTATTTTTGCATATGCTGTGAAAGAGGGGTCTAATTTCATTTTTTCATTGTGCAGTGTTATTTATTGGAAAGTCCATTCCATCTCCACTGCTCTGCAATGCCATCTCTGTCATAAATCAAATTTCACACAAGTCTGTTTCTGAGCTATTTGTGAGCTCTCTTTTTGTGTCTATTCATCTACTTCCCTATCCATGTGCCAATACCACATTGTCTTGCTCACTATAGCTTTATAATATATCTTGATGTCTAGTAATACACATCTTCCTCTTTGTTCTGTGTCTTCAAGTGTTTTGTTATAGTCTGAATTGTGTCTCCTCCAAAAAGATATGTTGAAGTTTTCATATCTCAGAATGTGACCTTATTTGGAAATAAAGTAATTGCAGATAATGTCCTCATTAGTTAAGATGAGGACATACTGGAGTAGGGTGGGCCCCTAATCCAGCACAAATGATGTCCTTGTAAGATGAGGGCTGTGTGATGACAGAAGCACACAGGGAGAATACTACGTGATGATGAAGGCAGGTTGGAGTTATGCAGCTGCAAGCCAAGAAAAATTAAAGACTGCCAGGAAACCACCAGAAGCTGGGAGAAAGCAAGGAAGGATTCTCTGTACAGGCTTCAGGGGAAGCATCAACCAGGAAATACAATTTTGGACTTGTAGCCATCAGAACTGTGAGACAATAAACTTCTTTTTGAAGCCAGTACCATCTGGTTGTGGTGTGCTTTGTTATAGCATCCCTAGAAAACTAATACAAGTGTCTTGATTGTCTTGGCTTTTTGCATTTCTATATTAATTTTAAAAGCAATTTATCAAATTCCATAAAAACTTATGATTTTGATAAGATTGCATTGAATTTATGCATAAATTGTGGAAGAAATGCCATATTTTTAATATTGACTGTTCCAATCCTTGGACAGTCTCCTCTATATTACTTTTCTTTAACGTCTCTCAACAAGGTTTTATAATTTTCTCTATAAAGGCCTTAAATATCTTTATTAGATTTATTCCTAAGTGATAATTTTTTAATGCTATATTGTAAATGGTATCTTTTATAAAATTAAAATTTCTATTTGTTGCTGGTATAAATAGATTTTTATATATTGATTTATTATCTAATACATTTGCTAAACTTTCTTGTTCTAAATGCCAACAGCTTATTTATATATATTTTTAGATTTTTGTATGTAATCATTATCAGCTGTAAATGATCATAATTATGTTTTTTCTTTTACTTTAATTTCTTACCTTTAATTTCTTGCTGTTTTTTCCCTCATGGCTGGGCCCTCCAGTGAAATGTTGACTAGAAACAATGATAGGAGACTTTCTTGTCTTGGTCTTGATCTCAAATGAAAAACTTTCAGCATTTAAGTATGATATTTATTGTATGTTTTTACCAATATCCTTTATCAAATTAAAGACTATTTCTTCTGTTCTTAGTTTGCACAGAGCTTTATTTGATGAAATCATAAATAGATGTTAAAGTGTATTAAGTACTTTTATCTGCCTATATTGAGATGACCATATGACTTTTTTCTGCTTTAATCTGTTAACATAGTGAAATACATTAATTAATGTTTGAATATTAAACCAACCATACGTTTCTGGGATAAATGGGATAAATCCAACTTAATCAAGATCTATTTTTATAGGTTGCTAGATTGTATTTGCCAATCCAGTAGAGCAAACTATTAGCTCAGGATTTTTGCATCTATGCTCATATATTAGGGTTCTCTAGAGAAACAAAACAAATATATACACAAAAGGAGATTTATTATGTGGAATGGCTCATGCAATTATGGAGGCTGAGAAATCCCACAATATGCTGTCGGTAAGCTAGAGACACAGGAAAGCTGGTAGTGTAATTCAGTCTGAGTCTGAAGGCCTGATGAGATTAGATGAAATGAGAGGTGGCAGGCCAGGCGCGGTGGCTCACGCCTGTAATCCCAGCACTTTGGGAGGCCGAGGCGGGCAGATCACGAGGTCAGGAATCGAGACCATCCTGGCTAACATGGCGAAACTCCGTCTCTACTAAAAATACAAAAAATTAGCCAGGTGTGGTGGCCGGCGCCTGTAGTCCCAGCTACTCGGGAGGCTGAGGCAGGAGAATGGCGTGAACCCAGGAAGCGGAGCTTGCAGTGAGCCGAGATCGCGCCACCGCACTCCAGCCTGGCAACAGAGTGAGACTCCGTCTCAAAAAAAAAAAAAAAAAAAAGAAAGAAATGAGATGTGGCAACTCAACCAGTAAGGCAGGAAAAAAAGGGGTGAATTCCTCCTTCCTCCACCTTTTATTCTACTCAGGCCCTCAGTGGATTGGATGATACCCAACCATACTGGGGAGGACAATCTATTTTACTGAGTCCACTGGCTCAAACGCTTATCTCATCCAAAAACACATTTACAGACACACCTAGAGACAATGTGTAATCCAGGCACTCCATGACCCACTCAAATTAACACATAAAATTAACCATCATAGCTCATAAGTGAGGTTGGCCGATAATTTTCTTTTCTTTATAATATCATTGTTAGGTTTTGGTATCACAATTATGCTAGCCATAAGAGATGAGTTGGACAGTATTTTCTATTTTTCTATTCTCTGGAAGAGGTTGTATATAATGGGGATTATTAATTCTTTGGGCGTTTGTTAAAACTCACCAGTAAAATCATCTGGACTTGGAGTTTTCTTTGTGGGCACACTTTGACTACTGATTTAATTTCTATAATGTTTGTAGGATTCAATATTTTCTATTTCTTCTGATATCAGTTTTATATATGATATTCCTCTAGGTTTTTATAAAATTTCATCCAAATTTTAAAATTTATTGACAAAATCTGTCAATAATTTGCTCTTATTATTTGTTTAATGTGTGTAGCATCAATAGTGGTTCCCTTTTTTACCTCTGATATTTGTTAT
The DNA here is from genome assembly GCF_000001405.40 of Homo sapiens. Classification (NCBI taxonomy): domain Eukaryota; kingdom Metazoa; phylum Chordata; class Mammalia; order Primates; family Hominidae; genus Homo; species Homo sapiens. The sequence goes on from NC_000002.12 coordinate 55,754,591, forward strand.
TCATTCCTTCTTTATTTTTTCCTGATCAGTTTCACCAAAGGTTTGTCAATTTTGTTAGTTTTTCTCAAAGAAAGACCTTTTGACTTTATTGGCTTTTTTCCATTTTTTTTATTTAATATCTATCTACTCTCTCATTATTTATTTCCTTCTACTTTCTTCAATTTTCTTTTTCTTTTTCTAATTTCTAGAGACAAATGCTTAGCTTACTAATTTTTAGTCCTTATAATTTCCTGACATATTCAGTTTAAGTTATATGTTTCCCTCTAAGTATTGTTTTAGTTGTATCTTAAAGTTCTGGTATTCAAGTTTGTACATTATCATTCAATTTAAATTATTTTCTAATTTCTCTCATTATTTGTTTTCTTTGGCCCCTTTCATAATTTCTCAAAAAATGGCAAATTTTGTAGTTATCTTTCCAAAATGTATAGTGGGCATAGAACAACATTCTTTGTATGATTTTAGTCCTTTGAAATTTGTTAAGATTTGCTTTATGGTCCAGTATATGGGCAATTTTTGTAAATATTTCTTGTGTACATTCCACAGTTGGATTCAGTGTTCCGTGTATGTCTGGTACATCTAGTAAGTCAGTTTGTTAATTGTGTTGTTCAAATCATTTGTCCTTATTTTTCTATGTTTGTTTTACATAAATTGGGGAAGAAATGTCATCTTTTTAATGTTAATGTTAAATGTCTTTTTTTGTTGTTTTGAGATGGAGTCTTGCTCTGTCACCCAGGATGGAATGCAGTGTGGTGATCTCAGCTCACTGCAACCTCCGCCTCCCAGGTTCAAGCAATTCTCCTGCCTCAGTCTCCTGAGTAGCTGGGACTACAGACATGCGCCACCATGCCTGGCTAATTTTTGTATTTTTAGTGGAGATGGGGTTTCACCATGTTAGCCAGGCTGGTCTTGAACTTCTGACCTTAAGTGACCCACCTGCCTTGGCCTCCCAAAGTGCTGGGATTATAGGTGTGAGCCACCATGCCCAGCCAATGTTAAATGTCTTAATATTGATAGTAAATGTTCTATCATTTACTGAGAGAGGTATGCTAAATCTCCTAGTATGATTGTGAATTCCTTTATTTATCCTTGTAGATCAGTTTTTGCTTCACATATTTTGAGGCCATGTTAGGTATGTACAAATTTAAAATTTTGTCTTCTTGGTGAATTGAAATTTTATCATTAGGAAGCCTCTTTATTTAGAATACATTTATTTATTTATTTATTTATTTTAAGATGGAGTTTTGCCCTCGTCACCCAGGCTGGAATGCAATGGCGTGATCTCTGCTCACTGTAACCTCTGCCTTTTGGGTTCAAGCAATTCTCCTGCCTTAGCCTCCCAAGTAGCTGGGATTACAGGCACCCACCACTACACCCAGCTAATGTTTTGTATTTTTAGTAGAGAGGGGGTTTTGCCATGTTGACCAGGCTGGTCTTGAACTCTTGACCTCAGGTGATCCACGTGCCTCGGCCTCCCAAAGTGCTGAGATTGCAGGCATGAGCCACAGTGCCAGACACTTTTTTCCCTTAAAGTTGATTTTGTGTGATATTAACATAAGTGCACACAGCTTTTTTATGGTTATTATTTGCATGGTTTATGATTTTTGCATCTTTTAACTTTCAATTTCTCAATGTCCTTTTAAAATCCAGGTTAAAAATCTTTGTTTCTAACACTGGAACATCTAGTCTATTTACATTGAAGGTAACCATTGATATATTTTTATTTAATTATGTTATTTTATTTTATTTATTTCTGTTTGACATACCTGGTCTACATTTTTTTCTTTGTTTGCTTTTTTTCCAGATTGACTGGCAATATTTTTTAAAATTATTAGCTTTGTAGTTATATACTCCAGTTTTATTCTATTAGTAATTACACTATACATTCTAACATGCCTAATTTACTTATCAAAATCTAAAGTTAATAGAAACTTTGCCCTTCTTCCAGATAATACAGGTAATTTATTAATAGTATTTCATTTCCCCTATGGCTGACTTTATTTTTTCCTCCATTTTAACTTTTTGAGTAACTTCAACATCATTACTCCACAGAATCATTGAAATGGATAGGCAATTTATTACTAGGAAGACAAGATAAATTTAACATTGTTAGATACAATTTCCAAACCAGTTTTAACTGGAAATTCAAAATTTACTTATGTGTGTCTTCCATTGAGTTTTGGAGCTGCTAAGGAACATGGAAATCCGTGTATAAGTTCTTATATTTAGACTTCTAGAGATTTTAAATATAAATATGTATTTTAAGAATAGATTTTTTACTTTAGCATAAATTTGGCCCACTTATTCTGTGTAGCACTTGGTGGTTGTTTTTAATCTGAAGGCTACTGTATTTCTTCTATTTTGGAAAAGTTTATGCCATTTCCTCAATGCTATTTATTGGTGCTCCCATTATATATATGTTGGAGATGCCCAATGGATCTTCCATATTTTTTATAATGTGTTTGCACCTCTTTATTCCACCATAATGGGTTCTGGGTAAATTCCTAGTACTCTTTCAATATATCAATTCTGGATTCCATTATCTCAATTATTAAGGTTTTTGAAAACTTAAACTCTAATTTTTAATTTCCAGGATTTCTAACTGTATCAGTTTGTTCTTAACATTGCTATAAAGAAATACCTGAGACTGGGGAATTTATAAAGAAAGAAGGTTTAATTGGCTCACGGTTCTCCAGGCTGTGTAGGAAGCATGGCAGCATCTGCTTCTGGGAGCCCTCAGGGAGCTTTTACTCATGGTGGAAGACAAAGTGGGAGCAGGTGCATCTCACATGGCAGGAACAGGAACATGAGAGAGAGAGGAGGTGGGGGGAGGTGTCACACACTTATAAACAAGCAGATCTCATGAGAACTCACTCACCATCATGAGGACAGTACCAAAGGGGATGGTACTGAATCATTCATGAGAAACTACCCCCGTGATCTAATCAGTTCTCACCAGGCCCCACCTCCAACACTAGGGATTACAATTCACCATGAAATTTGATGTGGATGCAGACTCAAACTAAATCAATAACTTTTTTTTTCTTTTTTTTTTTTTTTTGAAATGGAGTCTTGCTCTGTCGCCCAGGCTGTAGTGCAGTGGCCCGATCTTAGCTCATTGCAACCTCTGCCTCCCGGGTTCGAGCCATTCTTCTGCCTTAGCCTCCTGAGTAGCTGGAACTACAGGCACATGCCACCATGCCTGGCTAATTTTTGTATTTTTAGTAGAGATGGAGTTTCACCATATTGGCCAGGCTGGTCTCAAACTCCTGACCTTGTGATCCACCAGGCTCAGCCTCCCAAAGTGCTGGGATTACAGGCATGAGCCACTGCGCCCGGCCAATAATTTTTTAAAAAGGCAATTTTATTGGAAAAGTTTCAGGTTCACTGCAACATTAAGAGGAAGGTACAGAAATATAGCTTTTTCCAACTTCCTTTCCATTCTCTCTCTCTCTCTCTCTTTTTTTTTTTGGATAGAATCTCGCTCTGTCATGCAGGTTGGAGTGCAGTAGTGTGATTGTGGCTCACTGCAACCTCCTCTTCCTGGGTTCAGGTGATTCTCTTGCCTCAGCCTCCTGAGTAGCTGGGATTACAGGCTTGTGCCACCACACCTGGCTAATTTTTGTATTTTTAGTAGAGACGGGGTTTCACCATGTTGTCCAGGCTGGTCTGAAACTCCTGACCTCAGGCGATCCGCCCACCTTGGCCTCCTAAAGTGCTGGGATCCACTCTTGTCTCTTATTTCAAGCAGTGTGACTGGATTTGGTCTTCTACCTCACATAGGATGCTTACAGTCTTGATTTCCCTTAAGGATGTAAATTCCTGTCTGCCTTTGCCTACTGCATCCACCAATGTATTGCTTTGTGTTTCTGTTACAATTCTCTTCTGTTAGATCCTAAATTTCATAAGAGCAGGAACTTTATTCTGTTCAGCTCAAAATCCTTTGTATAGAACAATGTCTATCACATTGTTGCTAAATAAAAACTTGTTAAGTAAATGAATGAATGAATATTTGGTTTCTGACCCACAGAAATGTTTGTCTTTTTGTAAGCTTGGCTACAATTTTTTTTCAAATTTCTATTTTATCTTTCATTGCTATAAACTTATTTGGGGTGGGGAGTGGCCCAAAACATGAATTTATGACATTATCTCGATCTGAAGTTGTGGCTGAATATATATATTAATACAGTTAGCTTTTTGCCTAATAGGAATGGATCACATGTGCTGCATTATCAGTCTTTGTTATATCTCACACAATCTTCAAATGCTTAAAGTTTTAATAATTTGAGCTTCACAAACTCAAAGTACATCTTGATTTAATTTTTCTCCATACTCTAATGGTGAATAGCATTAGAATTTTCATATGATATTTAACTTGATGGAAGCCTTTCAAAAATAGTCATCAAACATAGCTTGTCTAATTAGCCTTTTTCTGTATGATTGTAATTGTGAAAGGGCAGAAAGTACTGCAGGATATATTATGCCCAGAGAATTAATTAGAAGCATACCCCAAAGAAGATTTGGCATATGTGTTAGTTTTCTCTTGCTGCCATAACAAATTGCCACCAATTTAACAGCTTAAAACAATATCCATTTGTTTTCTCACAGATCTGTAGAACAGAAGTCTGGCATGGCATGGCGTGGCATGGATTCTTTGCTCAGAATCTCACAAAGCCAAAATCAAGGTGTTGGTAGGGCTGCATTCCTTTTTGGCGGCTATTGGGAAGAATCTGTATCCAAGCTGTATCCAAGGTATTAATCATGCCTTTTTATTTCTGTATTTTTGATGCTTTGACAACTGGGACTTTACTGGCGCTCCCGTGCCTGTACCTTCTAGGGCTAGCCAATTCCTAGAGATAGTAAATGACTTGCCTTTGAGTGTACCTTTCATATGCAGATTAGCAAACTCAGAGCCCATACCCTAACCACCTCATTTATCAGACTCACACTCAGGACCTCTTTCCACTTGCACAATTATCCCAGGGCCCAGGTACCAGGCACGTGGGGAAAACCTCTATTCTCCAGAACCCAATGTAATTTTTCTAACTAGCCAGTTCTAAACCTTCATACTCTGCCTCACCCATTTCTTCCTATGGAAACCACAATTAGGATTCTTGTGTCCTGACCAACCCTGGTGCTTCCCTGTGTGGTGTGGCGTGCCCCCTCCTTTTGGCAGCTGTAACAAACTGTCTTTTTAATGACAACTGTCTTCTGATCTTTTGGCCCACCATACCTGAATAATAATAGGACTTACATTTTAAAGCACAAACTTATTCAGGTTGTTGTCAGAATTCAGTTCCTATACTCATGCCTCCTACATGGCCCCCTTCACCTTCGAGCCCACAACAGCACATTACATCTTTCTCATACTTTCAATTCCTTTGACTCCCTTTTCTATTGCATCTCTCTGACTTCCTCTCCTGCTTTTAAGGGTAAATGTGATTATTTGGGGTCCCCTTGGATAATCCAGAATAATTTCTCTATTTTAGGGTCAGGCGATTAGAAACCTTCATTAGATCATTAACATCCTTTTACCATGTAATGAACCATAACCATAGAAGTAATCCCAGGGGCAAAGATTAAAATGCATGCCAAAATTCTGCATACCACAACATTTTAGATGTTAAATAAGAAAAGAAAAGCTGGCTTCAAAATTTGGGAAGATATTATTAGAAGTTGTAATTTTTTTTATCTGTTCACATTACTGGCTGCAGGCTTTATTTATTTATTTATTTATTTATTTATTTATTTATTTATTTAAGAGACAGTGTCTCACTGCATTGCCCAGGCGAGTCTCGAACTCCTGGGCACAAGCAATACTCTGAGTAGCTGGGACTACATATGTGTGCCATTGTGGCTGGCTTACTGGCTACAGTCTTTGAGTTTCTGTGTTAAAAATTTCTATATTAAGATGGCTTTAGAATGGTATGATGAAATAATTACTCTTTGAGAAATGGACCAGTTAAGTATGAGTCTAATTTTGCTTCTATTACGCATAAGGGCAAGATATTAAGCTTGCTTGACACTTAGACTGTGTTCTCCTCTATTTGAAATTCCTAATATTTCTCCAAGGGGAAAGGTTAGGTGTTTTTGTGTTCTTTCATGCACAATTACCCCCACAGGACTCCTTAATACTCATTGTATTTTTCCATCATAGTAACTTTATATTGACTTCAACTGCTTATATGCTTATTGGGGAAAAAGTTCTGAGGCATAATTATACATTGATAGTTTAAAAAGTCTGACTTACATTGTCTAGTACTTGAACACAATTAAAAATACCTTATTTGCTGCAATTTATACAGGACCAAATAATGCAAATGTAAAACATCTCAAAGACAAACATTTTCCAAGATCATTTTGTCCCATTACCTGGGTGCCTTTTGAAATGTTTGCAAGTGTGTTCTTCTTGTCCTACAAGTGCTTAGTCCCTCACTTCCTCTAACCCTGTCTTCCTATGCCCTTTTCTCTTCCTTTGTCATTTAAAAATTTTTCTTATGTCTGCTCTTTGCTTTTTCCCTTCTCCATTTTATATTTATTTCTCTGTGTGCATGTCCTAATCTTGCTTTATGGATTTCCTCACTATGTGATTTCATCACTCACTTTGTTTATCCTAGTTTTTCAATTTCCTTGGATTGCTGTTTCCTTTTTCTTTTCATTGTGTTTTTTCCAACAAGCATTGTTGCCTCATATCATTTGCTCCTCAAACACAGTATTTTTTTCCAAAACATATCTATGCAATTTTTTGGCAAATAAACCTGTAGTACCCACTGAAGTCTACTGCTAGAAGAGGTAAGAGTAGTAATATTAGTGATAGTAATTGGCAATGTGAAGTTGAGTTTAGATATAGGGTCTTCCTCACCCTATTCCCAGTTACTCAAATTTTAGCTTTAGTTTTCCATCTTCAGAATTTTACGGATTGGAATAACATAATGAGGACAGATAACCATCCGAAGGTTAAGTGTTTTTCAATTTCTTGCCCAAACAGGAGGGCATGGCAGTCTTATGTGTTGGCTCAGGTTCAGAGGCATGCTTCTCATGTTTTTCATGCCTTTGTAAAAGAAGTTCAGAGTTGCTCCAGCCCTAACATCTCATATGCCAAGAGTTCTGAATTTATCCCTGTAGGGTATGCTGTGGTTAGTACACTATGTGCTTAATGAGTCTCTGTTTGGGGATAAAGCTTGACTCTGAGCTCCTTCAAATCTGAACTGTCATTATTTTCTCAATGTAAGTTACATTGACCGTAGCCTTGCCATTTGCTTGGTATGCTGCTCTGCTGCTGCTTTAACTCATGAAAGATGGGTGAAGTTTTCATTTGGCCATGGTAGTTTCAACAAAACCAGAGTTGGCTTTTGCAAAATCATTTTGCTTTTGAGGCCTGGCCTTTGAAAACCATTAGGATCTTTTGCAAGGCTTTTAAGGAAAATATTTTGTGAGAGTCAAGTCCAGTTTTGTTTTGTTTTTAAACTGCCACTATCAGGGGAAATCTGGGCAGAGGAATCAATTCCCCCTGTTTTCAGAGTTTAAACAATGCTGTACAAGATGCAAATGGGTAGCACTTTGCCTGTTAGGATCTTTCCACTACTTTTTCATCTGCTACAATTATTAAACAAACAAACAAACAAAAACCCAACAGCAAGTGATTCAGGTCTCTTTTTTTTCTTTGTTTCTTGGTTATTCAGGGCTTCTCTTCCCTGATATGACACAAGGAGCCTCCCATAAATGCCTGGCCTCAGAGATCCTCTTGCCTCGGTCCTCAATGAGTTATAGAGTATCATACTGTCTATGCTAGGCTTAAGATCAGGATCGCTAACTTGATGTAGAGTTTATATTCAGATTTCCTTTCTCTCTTTCTTCTTTCTTTCTTTCTTTCTTTCTTTCTTTCTTTCTTTCTTTCTCTCTCTCTCTTTCTTTCTTTTCTTTCTTTCTCTTTCTCTCTCTCTCTCTCTCCCCTTCCTTCCTTCCTTTCTCTGTCTCTCTCTCTGTCTCTGTCTCTCTCTCTCTCTCCCTTTCACCCTTTCTTCCTTTCTTCCTTTCTTCTCACTCTGTCACCCAGGCTGGAGTGCAGTAGCATGATCACAGTTCACTACCGCCTTGACCTCCTGGGTTCAATTGATCCACCTGCCTCACCCCCTGAGTAGCTTGGACTACAGGCATGCAGCACTACGCCTGGCTAATTTTTATATATTTTTTGTAGAATAGGGTTACGCCATGTTGCCCAGGCTGGTCTTAAACTCCTGGGGTCAAGCAACCTGCCTGCCTCAGCCTCCCAAAGTGCAGGGATTACAGGCATAAGCCACCATGCCCAGCCTCCCTTCATACTCTAAAACTTACAATACATTGAGGTACTAAAGATTTACACACACACACACATCTTCCACAGTGTGAAAAGAAAAAAAAATGTAACAGGAAAGATTTAAGCCCAAAATAAAGTAGAATTTATTTTCTTTCTTTTTCTTTAATTCCTTCCTTCTTTCCTTTTTTTAAAGACAGGTCTCTCTCTGTTACCCAGGCTCTAGTGCTATGGCATGGTCACAGCTCACTGACCTCCTGGGCTCAAGGGATCCTGTCATCTCAGCCTCCTGAGTAGCTGGGACTATAGGCACGTGCCACTATGCCTGGCTAGTTTTTAAAATTTTTTTTGTAGAGATGGAGTCGGGGTTGGGGGTGGTCTCACTATATTGCCTAAGCTGGTCTTGAATTCCTGGCCTCAGAGATCCTCTTGCCTTGGTCCTCAAAGTGTTGGGATTGGAGGCGTGAACCATCCCACCTGGCCTAAAGTCGAATTTCTTGAATGCTGAGATTATTAAGGGATTTAGTATTGATAGAGAATCCACTATCTACCTACACTTACATATATCATCTTATTTAATTCTGCTAACTACCATGTGAGGGAGGTATCACATTCCTCATTTTATAAATTAAATGAGAACTGAGAGAATTAGAAGTATTTAAGGTAACTGGGAGTGAGGAACACTAGGTCTGTCCTTCTCGAAGGTTTATGTTCTTTTCAGCACAGTGGCTAGAATAGATTTTGAGTTTTTCCCCCCTAAAAGCCTTTAAATTCTTATTTGCAGTAGTTCAGGATCATTTAATGGAAGTCTGGAGGTGAAAATAATGGAAAGATAGCTCTTGGAGGTGCCAGGAGATCTGGGTTGTAGAGCTGGTACTAGTTTCCACATGTGAAAGTAGAGACACGGCTGCTTATTTTGCCTGGATCTTGTCAGTTGCAAAGCAATCTTTACAGGCAAGGTCCTATTGAGTAAGAAAATGTCAGCCATGTTTTTTTTTTTTTTTATGGAGTAAACAGAACACAGTTTGAGGTTTTCCTCCTACTACTCACTTTACTAGATTCTCTACCTCTGGTGAAAAGTGATTATGATTAAAATTCACAAACTCATGAATCAAGAAGACATGAATAGTCAGCATAACTCATGCCTGTTGCCTTGCTTAGGATTACTAAATCATTAGAACAGGGAGAGAATGACTCCTGTCTTGTGGCAAAAAGTTAAAAACATGGTAACTTTGGAATTTAAGCCAGAATCATAGGTCTTGTTGTCAGGTAGGCCCTCATGAAGTAATCCGCCTCAATCCCACTTTTGGCCAGGCAAGGTATAAATTCCTACTTTATGGATAAAATAACAGAGGCTAAGAGGTTACACTTGGTAAGTTGCAGAAGAGTGCCATGAGAGGGGAGTTGGGAGTAGAATCGTCTCCAAGAGCAATCTTCTTCCTACTGCAAAACACCAAAGCAAGTCCTGGTGTCAGAGATGTCTCTTTTCTAACGGATCACTTAGTTTTGCATTCCCCAACCAGGGAATGATCTGTCTCCTCACCTTCTAAGTCAACCACTGAGGCTAATCTACAAATGATAACTAAAAATCTTTGAAATGAAAGGAACTTCCATAGTAGTGCTCTCTAACAGAACTTAAAACACCTGCATTGCATATGCTGGCCCTAGATCACCACATCCAGAACACCTGGGTTAATTCCTGTAGTTTTAGAAACAGGTTATTCATTGCTTTTATGTGAAGTAAGTAGTGAGTGTCGCAGATTTTTCCCACAAAACTTCTCTTGGTAGCCTCTTTTTACTTCAGGTGTTTAGAGTCTGCTATCTTATTAATCATTCAGTAAACCAAAATGTGAACATTTCACAAGTCTCTGATTGTACCTGGTGTATGTGCCTCTGTGCACCATTCCCCCGTTCAATGTTGTTTCATACTGGAATGGCCCTCATCAGGGTAAGTTCTTGCCAGCTGTTTGTTAGGAACTCTGTGAAGAGGATCCAGGCATAAGATTAAGATTCAAACTATATGAGTTTCTGGGGTCTCTTAATTCTGTGAAACTATGGTTTTGTGATATCAACATTGGTCAACTGAGAGCCATGAACCATAGATAACCACTCGTTAGTGATAGTGATCAGTACAGACAGCCACTTTGAGTTAGTGTGTGTGTGTTTTTAAATGGGGCTTATGTTTTAAATGCCTCACGAACTTTCAAAGGGGCACTGAGAGAGTTATATCTTTAAATGCTATCGGATAGTGGCACAGTAGCCTTAAAGATGATAGGAATAGGATAAATTTGTTAATTTCACTGCTTGGCAATTAGGTTAACCATAGTTACCCTAATTTTCCCTTCATCTTCATGGTTATAACAAATGTTTTATGTAAAGGGACAGATAGTAAATATTTAGGCTTTCTGGGTCACTTAAGATCTCTGTCACATATTGTCATTTTTTTTTTCCTCCTTCTTCTCTTTCTCTTATTTGTCCTCCTTGTCCTCAATTCTTTAAAAACCATCCTTAGCTTGGAGACAGTACAAAGGCAGGATATAGGCCACTTTTGGCTCAGGGGCCAATAGATTTCTAACTCCTAGGCTATATCATAGTTGTTTCTTTTTTAAACACTTCACTATTAATGGAAAGTTAGGTTGTTCACATTTTTCACTGTTTCAAGAAATGCTGTAGTTAAACTCCTACTACTTGTGTTTTTGTGGATATATGCTGAATTAGTCCATTTTCATGCTGCTCATAAAGACATACCTGAGACTCAGTAATTTACAAAAGAAAGAGGTTTCATGGACTTACATTTCCACATGGCTGGGGAGGCCTTACAATCATGGCAAAAGGCAAGGAGGAGCAAGTCACATCTTATGTGGATGGCAGCAGGCAAAGAGAGAGCTTATGCAGGGAAACTCTTGTTTTTAAAACCATCAGATCTTATGAGACTCATTCACTATCATGAGAACAGCGCAGGAAGGACCCACCCCCATAATCCAGTCACCTCCCGCTGGGCTCCTCCCATGACATGTGGGAATTGTGGGAGTTACAATTCAAGATGAGATTTGGGTGTGGACACAGCCAAACCATGTCATATGCTAATAGAATCCTAGAATTGTAATAAATGGTTAAAGGGTATTTGTATTTATATTGAGATGGATATTGCCAAAATAACCTTTGCAAAGTTTGTACCATTTATATGTCCACAGATAAGAGTGTGAGAGTGCTATTCCCTACACCCTTGTAAAAACTTGATATTATCAAACTTTTGAATTTCCACCCATCTGATGAATAAAAATTAGTACTTCACCTAAAAAAATTGTATTTTCCTCATTCTTAGCAATGTCAGGAATCTTTTCATGTGTTTATCAGGCATTTAAATGTATTTCCTGTGAATTTCCTGTTCACTAGTTTTTTGTCCTTTTCCTATTAACTTGGAGAGTTCTCATTAATTCTTTATTTTACATGCTGTAAAACTTCCAAGTCTGTCAGTTGTCTTTTAACTCTGCTTAGAAATTTCATATTTTTATTTTATACAAATGAATGATCCTTTACTTTGTGACTTCTGGGGATGTTGTGTCTTGCTTTGGATGTGTCATTATCAGATGAGAAATATGTATTTATGATAGGATATTTGACAAAATTCCTATCAGGATTTGATGTAAGGAAAACATCAGTTTCTTTCAAACAACTTCTATGCTTTTTTGTCTTGGTTGTTAGGAAACTCAGTTAAATTGATGATTAAAGTTTGATAACTATCTTACTTTTTAAGCAATGCAACGGATAACACACATTGTCAGTGTTAAACGGTGGTTACAAACCTGAAAACCAAGACTGGGGATAAGCTGGGCACTATGAAAAGCTAACTTCCAAATCAAAATCTATGGCATAGAAATATGACATCAGGAGACCCTAAATATGAATGGATCAGCTTTGAGAATTTGAGTTTGTGACAAACTTGATCAGCAGTACAAGGGCGTTGGTGGGAAGCAAGGCCTGGAAATAAGGATGGATGCATGAAATCTAGGGCAGTCTGTAGCCATATGTCCTGAACCTGTGAGCTCACAACTTCTCCAGGCTCACAATCCTTTATCCACAATTCAGAAACCCAAAAAGCTCTAAAAACCCAGGCTTAAAAAAAATTTTTGTTGTCAAAATCTGACCTAAATGGTTGTGAGACCACTTAAAGTCTTTATTCTACTTAGTTTTAAAATTCACACATTTTGTGGTATAAATAACAATGTGATTGATTTTACATTGTTGCTCCTGGCCTTACTGGAGGGTATTGTGTAATATATGGTATATGTATCTCTTAACCTTTCTGGAATAAAAAAGTTGTAAATTCTGAAACATATCTGCTCTCAAGGGTTTTTCCTAAGAAATTGTAGACTTGTAATAAATATCTTACCTGAAGGCCCAGGCACAAATAGTTCCCTTCTTGCCTCTTTATGGTTTCTGATTTGACTTTCTAACATTATTTTTAATGATTCTGATGCATATGCATTTTTAGTATGAGCTCTCAATTTTTTTGGCAATAGAGGTCCCCTAAAAGGATCCACACTAATCCTTGCCCTTATGTAGTACCATCCTATATTAAGTCAGAGCTGCTCTGTGTGCCCATATAGAATATGGACAGATGTGAAGATGTTAGACTTTGGAGGCTAGGTTATAAAAGGCATTTCAGCTTCTCCCTTGATCTCTTGAATCTCTCTGCTTCTGGGGGAAGCCAGCTGCTATGTGGTGAAGACACACAGAGCTGCAAGGAGAGGCCCAAAAGGAGAGGAGCAAATTTGCCAGCCACATGAGCAAGACATCTCAAAGTGGATCCTTCAGCCCCAATCAAGCCTTCAGATGATTGTAGTCCTTACATACACCTTGACTGCAAAGTTATGAGACACCCTGAGTCACAACTGCCCAACTAAGCCTCCCCCATATACATGAGCCCCAGAAATTATGAGAATAATATATGACTATTATCCTTTTAGACACTAAGCTTTTAGGTGATTTGTTATGCAGAAATAGATAACTAAAACACTGAGTAATAACTAATAAATAATGGATTAATTAAAAAGTCTACAGTTTGGAAACTGTTTTCTATGGAGCCCCAAAACTAATAGATTTAGTGTGTTATTTAATTTCGGAATTTTATTTCCTGCATAATTTGCATATTGACTTAATCTGGTATTTTATGTATTTAATATTTTGCCCCTTTTTCCCCCTTCTCTGTCTCATAGAACTGCTGTTATAGTCAAATTTTTATAAAACCTCTTCTTTTGGGACTGTTCTGATTAGGGTTCAGAAATAGTTTTGTATTGACTACTCATTACTGTGTAACAAGCTACCCCAACACTCAGTGTTTTAAGACAATGACAATTTACTGTATCTCATGACTCTGCAGATTGACTGGGCAGTTCTTCTACTGGTCTTGCTCAGATTCCCTCACAGAGCTGGTTCTACTGGAGCTGGAGAGTCTAAGATGGTCTCACCATCATGTTTGGGACCTTGACAGGGATGATTGCAAAGGTAGGACCTCCTTCTTCACAGAGTCTTTCCTTGGCATTTAACCCCAAGATTTTTTCCATGGTGGCTGGGTCCTAACAGAGCAAAGGTAGAAGCTCTAAGGAGTCTTGAGGTCGAAGGTCTGGAACTTTCACAGTGTCACCTCTATTACATTCTAAAGGTCAAAGCAAGTTACAAAGCCAGCCCAGATTCAAAGGGATGAGGAAAAAGTCTCACCTTTTCATCAGAGAAACAGCAATGTCACATTGAAAAAGGGGCACAGGCACAGGGAGAAGTGATTCATTGAGGCACATTATTATAATGATAAACCACAAGCTTTATTAAGAGAGACATAAATCCTAAATTAAGATTCTGGTAGCTTGAATTCCTCAACACAGGGCCAGAAGATTCACAATGATTAAATTCATCAAACACACACATATTGAGAATCTACTATGTGCTGGCTCTAGAAAAACAAATTATATAATTCCTTGCTTGAAGCAAGAAACATACTTATTCCCCTAGTTTCTTTAAATGCAGTTCATTAGGATCAGAAAATGAGGGTTCTACATCAACAAAGCAACAGATATTTCTGGAGTGCTTTCTGTGCTTAGAATTCTACTATTTATGCCTGAGGTACTTTGCTAGGAGATGAATGTGGCAGCTTCTGAGAGATACTGATGCTCTCTGCAGATGTGTCTGTGGATCACACACGCTTGGCCATAACATCTGCCCTCAGGGTGTTTGATAGGGCATTGGAGTCCCGTTGGGCTCCACCTGCCTTTCCTCTTACACATTTTCCCATATGGCAAAGATGCCAGAAGTGAACTCTCATGGCTTAAAATAATTGGAGTAGGTGTCAGAGGGAGGTTATGGAATTGTCTGCCTGTACTTTATGAATAGAACAAAGTGTTGAGCATTAGATTACAGAGACCTGAGTAAGACATAAGTCATTAAATCATAGAGCTGAGAGAAAAAATGCAAGTTGTCTGGCCATCCCTCTCATTTAAATGATAAGAAAATTGAGACTCAGGGACATTAAATGACATTAAAATATCTATTTAGCAGCAGTCCTGAAACTACAACCTAGGAATTATGATTTGCTCTATGGTGTTATTTCAACTAGTTCTTACCATCTTAAAGTCTTATCTTCTCAAAGAAGAGAAATATCTAAGCCTCACTGAGATTTAACTTAGTATGTGCCAAGCAGTGTGCTAAACTTGGAGTTTCTCAAAGAATCCTCAACCAGAGGAGTGGGTGTTGTTAGTATTCCTACTTACAGGGAAGGAGAGCTTTAGTAACTTTCCCAAACTGCCAATAATAATTTCAGAGGCAAGTTTTCACCTAGGTGTTCTTACTCAAGAGTGTGCTCTGAATCATTGTGCCAGTCCTACTCTACGCATGAGGGTGATAACACTGAAGAACCCAGAGGAGGCTGGGAGCCTGCTGAGGTTCCCTGTAAAGTTTTCAGGTTCCAAGTGGGGAGCGCTAGAGAGAGGGGACATGCACCCCTGGGGGCAGAACACAGCCTGGCTCATGGTAGAAGCTTAGGCTGGGTTTATTGAGTGAATGTTCAAATACCCCAGCTTACTGATGGACCAACAAGTCAGTAGAGTATGGATTATGAATAGAATCTTTTCTTTCTTTTCGTCTTTCTTTCTTTTCTTTCTTTCTTTTTTTCTTCCTTCCCTCCCTCCCTTCCTCCTCTCTCTCTTTCTTTCCCTCCCTCCCTTCCTTCTCTCTTTCTTTCTTCCTTTCCCTCCCTCCCTCCTTCCTTCCTTCCTTCCTTCCTTTTTCTCTTTCTTTCTTTCTTTCTTTCTTTCTTTCTTTCTTTCTTTCCTTCTCTCTCTCTCTTTCTTTTTCCCTCCCTCCCTCCCTCCCTCCCTTCTCCCTTCCTTCCTTCCTTTTTTTCTCTCTTTCTTTCTTCCTCCCAGGCTGGAGTGCAGTGGTGCAATCTCGACTCACTACAATCTCTGCCTCCTGGGTTCAAGTGATTCTCCTGCCTCAGCCTCCCAAGTAGCTGGGGTTACAGGCACCCACCACCATGACCGACTATGAATAGAATTTTTCTTTTACACTGACAGATATTGCTGATAACAATCTTGTCCTAAATGCATTAAAATCCAGCCATTCTATGGCACACATAATAGATCCTTTTTTCATAGTCTACTTCAGAAATAATTAGATTTGTGAGCCATTCATTCATTCATTCGTTTCATTCAAGAAATATTTTTGAACATGAGTTATGTGCAAGAAGACATTGTACTAGGCACTGAGCCACTTCAGGGCTACCTTAGAGGCTGTTTCTACTTTCCTTGTAGCTCGGATTGTGTCATCCTATTTAAAATGGCTCCTGGTGCTTTCTTCTTTTCCTTTCTTGAGGTGACAAGATTTGCACATTCTTATTTAAGTTCACAGCACAAGTAAAATTAGAAAGTCATATGTCTCACATGATTTTAGATCTGGCATTTTTTTAAGGGGATCCCAGAAGGAAGGAGCATAAATCTGTCCTTGGCCAATTTGAATTCAAAATACTTGTTTTATTAGAGGCTAACTGATGTAACAAAGCCACGGATATATAATGGCTAACACATAAAATAAGTTTATTTCTTGTTCACATACAATTCTATATGGGTTTTTCTGGTAGAGAGGTGAATCTCCTCCAAGTGATAACTGGGACACCCAGTTCCTCTCAAAGTTGTCACACATGTCCACATCAAGCAGCAGAAGGAGGAAGAGCATGGACGGTCATACATGTGAAGTTTTTATGGGCTTGACATGGAAGTGGCATACATGTTTCTAATTACATTCCTTTGGGGAGAACTCAATCACATTGTCAGAGTCTAATTGTGAGGGAGCCTGGAAAATGTACACCACCATATTCCCAGAAAAGAGGCAATCGTTTGATGAACAGCTGGCCAGTATCTGTCAAAGTGTTTATATACAACACCACACACACACACACACACACACACACGGGATCCTGTGAATTACAATATTTATTTGAAAAGAAGAGAAAGGACTGTAAAATCTTTGAGCTTATTTCACTTCTGTCTTAATACACTAACCCACTTTTAACCTACCCATTTCTTTGAATTTCACGTACTTAGAAATTTAAGTTTTTCATTTCATAAAATTAAAAAATTACATTAGCAGGTTTCTTTTGAAATCACGTTCAGACTTTTTGTCTTATAAATGAGAAATGAGGTCAGAGAGGTTAAAATAATTTGCCTAAGATCCCACGATTGATAAAGCTAAGACTTCCAGAGGTTTCTTGATTTTTTCCTTTATCTTAATTTGAAATAATATCAATAACATATGCTCAAACCGTTGTTACCTGTTTTATATTTAAACCTTACACAAAACAATTTTTTCAAATTCATTTTGTAGAAAGTCTGCTGCGAATATTTTTTTTTTCATGGCTAAAGAAGTTCTTACTATAACCTTTAGATGGCACAAGTTAGCTAATCCAAGGCTTTTTTGTAGCTACAGTAATTATAGGAGGTTAAAGAAAAGTTTATGGAAAACTGGAGCACTGAATAATAATTTAGATAAAGTAGGGATGTAATCAGCAAAATTTCCTTGCATTTAGAATCATTATTCTGAATGAGATTTTATATACAAGAGGCAAATGTTTAGAAGATTTTTCGGAGGTCCTCTAATTGTGCCAATGTCAGGAATAATTAGAAATAAATTACTCTTGGGATAGATTTTTGGGTACAAATTGGAATTGGAGAAGCTTTTCCAAAGTGGATAGAATATAAGTCTGGGAGATAGGAGGCCTCTGTTTTCCACAAGTCCCCAAATACACAGGACAAGTTCTCTCTCCGCTGGCTTATGCATGCTACTTATTGCAGCTCCTCATTTGCTAATTATTTATCTCACCTGGGTGTTCTGAAGACCTATATGACAATGACTGAAAAGCTTTTTATGTACCTCTGTAGGACAGGGCTACAGCACAATACTGTGCGCTTATTAGGGCTACAGGAATTGTTTGTAGAATTGAATTCTCCCACTTGATTTTCTTTTTCTCATTCCTGTGCCTTGGAGGAATGCGAAAAAGTAAATCCTAGGTGTTAATGAAAAATGGTATTTACCCAGTGCCTCTTATGTTGCCCCGCCCTCTTATAGATGGTGTGAGGAAATCTGCTGTTTCCTGAAATGTGGTTCGGTTCTGAAGACAATAATTAGCTAAGGAAAAAAAATCATACACAGAAGAGGCAATATAAAACCAAAACACTGAGTGATTGTATGCACAGTTAGTGCTTTTGTTGTGAGCATGAGCAAACAGTTGTCATATACACCAAAGAAAGCAAAAATGCATTGAATTGAGGAAGGAGATAGTAAGTGTTCCTTTGGTATTCACTTAGAATGTGCTCTTTGTCCTCACTGTGTCTAATTTTCAAATTTCTATGATTAATGAGTGTTGGAATCTGAATTAGAGTTTGAATATGCTAACTTCCTTTTTCCTGACAATGCCTGTTTCCAGGTTTATGTAACAATGCGAAGGAGGCAAAGCAAATCGATGGTGTTCCTTGGCTGTGCATGGTAGGTCCTTTCTTTTTTTTTTTTTTTTAATTTATTTTTTTATTGATAATTCTTGGGTGTTTCTCACAGAGGGGGATTTGGCAAGGTCATGGGACAATAGTGAAGGGAAGGTCAGCAGATAAACAAGTGAACAAAAGTCTCTGGTTTTCCTAGGCAGAGGACCCTGTGGCCTTCCACAGTGTTTGTGTCCCTGATTACTTGAGATTAGGGAGTGGTGATGACTCTTAACGAGCATGCTGCCTTCAAACATCTGTTTAACAAAGCACATCTCGCACTGCCCTTAATCCATTTAACCCTGAGTGGACACAGCACATGTTTCAGAGAGCACAGGGTTGGGGGTAAGGTCACAGATCAACAAGATCCCAAGGCAGAAGAATTTTTCTTAGCGCAGAACAAAATGAAAAGTCTCCCATGTCTACTTCTTTCTACACAGACACGGCAACCATCCGATTTCTCAATCTTTTCCCCACCTTTCCCCCCTTTCTATTCCACAAAGCCGCCATTGTCATCCTGGCCCGTTCTCAATGAGCTGTTGGACACACCTCCCAGACTGGGTGGTGGCCGGACAGAGGGGCCCCTCACTTCCCAGTAGGGGCGGCCGGGCAGAGGCGCCCCTCACCTCCCGGACGGGGCGGCTGGCCGGGTGGGGGGCTGACCCCCCCCACCTCCCTCCCGGACGGGGAAGCTGGCCGGGCGGGGGCTGACCCCCCCACCTCCCTCCCGGACGGGGCGGCTGGCCAGGCAGAGGGGCTCCTCACTTCCCAGTAGGGGCGGCCAGGCAGAGGCGCCCCTCACCTCCCGGACGGGGCGGCTGGCCGGGCGGGGGGGCTGATCCCCCCACCTCCCTCCCGGACGGGGCGGCTGGCCGGGCGGGGGGCTGACACCCCCACCTCCCTCCCGGACGGGGCGGCTGGCCGGGCGGGGGGCTGACCCCCCCAACCTCCCTCCCGGACGGGGTGGCTGCCGGGCAGAGACGCTCCTCACTTCCCAGATGGGGTGGCTGCCGGGCGGAGAGGCTCCTCACTTCTCAGACGGGGCGGCTGCTGGGCGGAGGGGCTCCTCACTTCTCAGACGGGGTGGTTGCCAGGCAGAGGGTCTCCTCACTTCTCAGACGGGGCGGCCGGGCAGAGACGCTCCTCACCTCCCAGACGGGGTCGCGGCCGGGCAGAGGCGCTCCTCACATCCCAGATGGGGCGGCGGGGCAGAGGCGCTCCCCACATCTCAGACGATGGGCGGCCGGGCAGAGATGCTCCTCACTTCCTAGATGTGATGGCGGCTGGGAAGAGGCGCTCCTCACTTCCTAGATGGGATGGCGGCCGGGTGGAGACGCTCCTCACTTTCCAGACTAGGCAGCCAGGCAGAGGGGCTCCTCACATCCCAGACGATGGGCGGCCAGGCAGAGACACTCCTCACTTCCCAGACGGGGTGGTGGCCGGGCAGAGGCTGCAATCTCGGCACTTTGGGAGGCCAAGGCAGGCGGCTGGGAGGTGTAGGTTGTAGCGAGCCGAGATCACGCCACTGCACTCCAGCCTGGGCACCATTGAGCACTGAGTGAACGAGACTCCGTCTGCAATCCCGGCACCTCGGGAGGCCGAGGCTGGCGGATCACTCGCGGTTAGGGGCTGGAGACTGGCCCGGCCAACACAGCGATACCCCGTCTCCACCAAAACCAGTCAGGCGTGGCGGCGCGTGCCTGCAATCGCAGGCACTCGGCAGGCTGAGGCAGGAGAATCAGGCAGGGAGGTTGCAGTGAGCCGAGATGGCAGCAGTACAGTCCAGCTTCGGCTCCGCATGAGAGGGAGACCGTGGAAAGAGAGGGAGACCGTGGGGAGAGGGAGAGGGAGAGGGAGAGGGAGGTCCTTTCTTATTTTGGGTGACATTCCCATCCTCAGCTCACTCCCAGAAGTCAAAGTCTTCTTGTTCTTTTCGTATAATTCCTGACAAAACCCACTCTCTCAACCTTCATAATAAGGCATATGGGTCTGATGCTGGCCTCGACTGTTCCAGATATCCAGCAGGTTTTCAATTTTTTTTTCTCCTCTTTTCATAGGTGTTGAAGCAGGTTTTTAATTTTAACTGGTCAACTGGTCTAAACCACTTCCTAAGCCAAAGGTCTACAGATGTACTATTTTTGTAAAAATGTATGCATCATCATTATAAAAATGACATATAAATAAGTACATCCCACATTCCATCTCCTAAAGATAACCACTACAAACACTTTGGTGAAAATTCTTCCTATGTGTATATACAAGCATACATATGCACAAAAACGGGATATGAGGTGTTGCTGGTAAAATTGAAGCCCTCTGTCAGGTAGCCTACCCTAACAACTATGTAACTTGTTTTGCCTAATGGTAAGACAGTTTGCATAAGGGTTCAGAAACTTAAAATACATTGTATTATACAATTATCTTCCGTGATTTAATGATTGTCTGTCTTAAATATTGTGAAATACAAATGGTTATTCCTGATGATTTTTATATTGGAATATAAGTTGTCAGGACTAGAAAGTTTATTCGTATTTTGGCACATATTCCTGCACAGTTGTTGGTGGAAGAGAACAGAGCACTTGCATTTTTGCCTTTAGGTCCTCACAAGGAGAAGTAGCAAAGTATGATTCCTGTTGATTGCAGGGGGGAAGAGGATTGATAGATGTTGGTTATAAGTCAGTGATGAAGTGACTGGTTCACTTCATCAGTCATGAAACATCCTGGTTCTAATCTATTAGTCCATTCATATTAGGTCTCCTAGAACAAAAGTTTGTTATCAAGGAAGATTATGGCTTCACTATACTACTATTAAATTTCAAAACTTTATTTAAATTTTTGTATGGAAATATCCTCTGTAGGAGGTAGAATTCTGTATATCTGGTTTCTTGAATACTTTTCTCCCACTTCAAATACCTGATTGTTATTTTTGTCTTTCACGTTTAGAATTTTTCCCCTCTCTTGTCTTTATTCTAATCTAGACCCACATATTTGTTCTCCTTTTTTCAACTCTGCGGAGTAAGAATTTTCATCTAAGTTAAACAATTAGTAATTAGTAATGTGATTAACATACTGCCCAACACTGTGAAGGTTACGAGAAGAGGCAGTGCTGCTTAGTGGTTTAGCACTTGGGTTTTTGACTCAGGTTGCCTAGGTTTGTACACTGGCTTTACTATTCATTAACTATGGGAACATGGGCAATTTCACCTCTGTGAAGTGAAGATGACAGTAAAAGAGGTTCCATCAAAGATCGTTGATATAATTCATTGAGATAATCTTGTAAACCACTGAGCCCAGTTCCTGGTACATAATGAAGAGACAATAGTTGGTGTTATTTTTATTTATTATTTACTTTATTAATTATTACCAAAGGTCATTCAACATGAAGTCTGTCCTAAACAAATTTACAGTCTAGCTGAATTAATATTTATATACGAGCCACAAAGAATAGAATAAAAATAATTAAGTGATATAGATTATGATATTGGCAATAAGACCTTTAACTAAGGAGGAATTCATGGAGGATGCAGAGATTTAGCTGAGCCTTGAAAGGTAGATGGGGTTCGGGTATGCAAAAAAGGAAGGGAGACAAGATTCCCATGTGCAGACAATGTGTATTACGGTTGGTTTTTCCTGAGCATCAAGAGACTTGGGATTCTTCCATATTTTCTAAAGAAGGTGGTTCTAGGGCCAGGTTCTGGCAAGACCAGGAACACTGTTGCTTCAGAGCCCCAGGGTTTGATGAATTTGTTCTGTGGGGATTAGTAGAGTAGATGAATGAGTAACAGAAATGGTAATTAAGCAATATGATAGGACAGACTATGGCATAACAGCGATTAATGGGATGCCTCAGGTGAGCATAGAGGCACAAGGCAGAACTGAGAGCTCTTGGTATCCAGAGAAGTGTCATTAATCAGCATTATCTCATGCTTGAGAGTGGTTTTATTGAAATTATAAAATAGGTACTTAAAATAACATTAAAAGCACAATTTTAAACCTGCACAATTGATTTTAGTGAAGTACTATGCCAGAGAAAAATTTCAACCTTCCAGAGGACTGTACTCCTAGAAAAAGAAAAAGAAAGCTGTGCTCCTCAAAGCTAAAAGTAGACCATTGACACAGTTTTGCTCTGCCAACTTTACCTTCTTAAAATTGTTCTTTTCATTGTAAACCACAGTAGAGACCAGCACAAACAGAAGTGAAATCTTGGCAGTGCTTCTTTCTGCCTCATGTGCCTTGTAATGTCTCCCAAGCTCTCAGCCAAGGTTGGCTATTTCCTCCACATCAAATTGCAAGGAAGTGTGTAAAGGAAGAGGTTCTGGACAACATGCAAGCATCTGTTGAATTTGGTACAATCTATTGCATCTACAGATCGAAGAGAAAACATGAGGTTTGGGATTTGATGGTCGGGGAAAGTGATTAGGTCTCTCACCTTGAGCCGCTATGATGGGTTCATCCCAGTAGGGATGTAGTTCAGTATCAAGCACTTTAAATCAAGGGATTATACAAGAGGTCAACATCTAGTCAGGTACAGGTTGCTAGTTGGGTACCCTGCGATTCAGAGATGAGCTTGAGTTTTGGAGAAGGCCTTTGCAAACTCAGATTGGAAACCTAAGGGCAGGGAAAGCAACATAGTCCAGAGCTGATGGACCTGACATGCCCAGGAGAGCTTGGTGTCATGCCTAGAATACCTAGTAAGGCTTCCTCCTTCACCTACCCACTTCCATTATCAGCGCCCCACCCCCCCACCTAAACTTGGTTCCCCTAAAAGGACTCTGATACTGATTCATCAGAATTAATTAAATAAGTGGGTACCTCCTTTCTTTGTGTATTAGAAAAAAAAAGAGTTGTGACTTCATACTCAACTAAAACAAGATGAAACAACACAAAACGAAGACCATTTGCCTTTTTTTCCTGCAAAAATCCTGCTCTAGTCATATTTAGATTACTGCCTCATTAGAATTGCACATTGTTTTTTTAGCTTTAATCTTGCCTCAGCCCTGAGAGTAGGTTGCATGGTTATCCCCTGAAAGATAGGTCCAACTACAACATGTGAATGTGAACCTTATTTGGAAAAAAGGTTTTTGCAGATGTAATTAAGTTGAGGATCTTAAGATGAAATCATCCTGGATTAGTATGGGCCCTAACTCCAATGACAAGTGTCCTTATAGAAGAAGAGAAGGGGAGAAGACACAGATAAGATGGAGGTCTAAAGAACAAGGCAGAGAATAGGAGTGATTGGCACTTACAAGCCAAGGAATTCCAAGGATTACCAGCAATCACTAGGAGCTAGAAGAGAAGCATGGAATGGATTTTCCCTTGGAGCCTCCAGAAGAAATCAAATCTTGCTGATAGCTTGATGTTAAACTTGTGGCTCCAAAAACTGTGAGAGAATACATTTCTGTTATTTTAAGCCACCATGTTTGTGATCATTTCTATGGCAGCCACAGAAAATACAACCTTGTAGAGCCTACATCAAGGAACAGTTTTAGTTGAAGGGGCTCGGAAACTTGCTAACTTGCTGACCTTAGTACCCAGGGATGATCTTCTACAGTTCAATCCAGATTTTGGGATTTCTGGAGTTAAGGGAGGAGAAACCTTTGACGTGGGTGGGATGGATCACTCTCCTAGTTTCATTGCAGACCATGCTATGATACTGTTCTTTTTCTGAAATGGGTGGAAGCCTTTTATTGTACAACTCATGCCAACCAGCTTGGTATGATACTTGACAAATTAAATGAGTTTAAATGCTTTAATGGACAGCTAAAATACCATCTTAAAATGTAAAGTTGTTAACCATCTGCTAAAAAGTACAATTCTGAGAACCACAGATAAGTACCCTGAGCTCTGGTTTCACTAATTTAATCATTAAATATACAATGAGCACATTCACGTTCTCTGTCTTTCTGGGATTTACATTCTGTGAAGTCACTGGATTCAGAACAATAGACTTCATTTGACTTGGTTTACTCTTTCTTTGTTCCTCTCAGTTGATATAAAGATCCAGACTTGCAAAATGGATAAGAAAGAGGATGATGATTTGCTTTACACAAGGATCCTTTGCTTTATAAAAGAATTAAATGTATGGTTCATCCATTCAGCAAGTATTTATTGAGAATCTGTGTGGCAGGTGCAGTTCCATATCCTGAGGATACAGGAATGAACAAGGCACAGTTCCTATCCTCATGGAGCTTACTTTCTAATAGGAAAGACAGGTGCTGAGCAGATAAACAGTCATATAAATTAATAAACATACTATGATATCAGACAATATTATGTAATATGAAGAGGTTCCTCCTCCCCCAATGCCAAGACATATTTTGAAGGGAATTTTTTTTTTATCTTTTCTGATTATTTTTTAACAAACCTTGGTTTTTCAGAAGGCAACAGTCTCCTAGTTGGTCTCCTAGTTTCTACTCTTGAACCACCTCAAATCTGTTCTTCATCCAGCAGCCATAAACAAGGTGATGTCCCCTCACATCCCCTGTTTTGTCCTTCACTTAGAAAGGAATCCAAATTTCTACAAGGTCTTGTGCTATCTGTCCCCCACATACCTCTACCCTTGTTTCTTGCCACTGGCCCTATGGTCACTTGTTCAGCCGCATTTGTCTTTCCCTCAGTTCCTTCAGGACACACATGTAGCCTCCTCTGCTTTTCATGTTTTTCACTCCTCTCCCCCTTCAATAGGTCGTTCTTGCTATCCCCCATCACATAAATCTGTCACAGCATCTATCACAGATTGGAAATGTACACACACACACACACACACATTTGCACACTAGTTCTCCCTTTTTGGTGGTTTTGCTTTCTGTGGTTTCAGTTACCTGCAGTCAACTGTGGTCTGAAAATATTAAATGGGAAATTCCAGAAATAAACTGTTCACAAGTTTTACATTGTGTGCCATTTTGAGTAGTATGATAAAATCTCTCGCCATCCTGCTCCAACCTGCTTGGAATGTGAATCATCCTTTCGTCCAGCGGATCTACGCTGTCTGCATTCCTCATCTGTTAGTCACTTAGTAGCCATCTAGGTAATCAGATTGGCAGATCATAAGAAGAAGGGTAAGTATAGTACAATACGATATTTGAGAGGGAAAGACAGACAGAGACTACATTTACATTACTTGTGTTATGGTATATTGTTCTAGTTGTTCTATTTGATTATTAGTTATTGTTGTTAACTCTTACTGTGCCTTATTTATAAATTAAACTGTATCATAGATATGTACATACAGGAAAAAAACCCATAGTATCTCTAGGGTTCAGTACTATCTGTGGTTTTAGGCATTCACAGGAGGTCCTGGGACTACTGTCTATTTATTTGCTTGGTACTTGCTCCCTGCAAGTCTTCTCATTTTACTAATCTGAAACTCCAGGAGGGGATGGGATCACAGCTGTGTACTTAGAACCTAGCCTGGCACTTGACACATAGAAACTGTAGGCAGACATTTGTTGAATGACTTAAAAAGAAAAAAAGAAAATGTGCTAATGAGTGAGGACCAAATAACTTTTAAGAAATTAATCAATTTCAAAGACCAAGTTACCTAAATTATTCTTACATTAAATTGTATTGCTTTGTAAGTTTATTATTTTCCAGTCCTTTTGTGCCTACAGTTGTAGTCTCAGAAAGGAGAAAGTTTACTGGAATCAGGTGAATTGTGGCCACAGAAATACTTTCATGTTCCTTTCCAGCACAAATTTGTTGGTTAACAAATGGAAGGCATTTAATAAATATGACTAGCTGTTGGTTGTGTATATCCTCAATGAAAGAGAAGATGCTGAGATAGTTCTTCAACATATTCTAGAAAGCAGCTCCCTAATTTGTGGGCAGTCACTTTACCAATGACCTTTTTGCACTAAAGGTTACTGTCCCCTTCTTTAACTAGGCAGTTTCATCTTCCTTCCGACTATGGAAAGCTTGGGTGCTTTTGTTAGTGCTATTTGAGGGAGGAGGTACCCACAAAGTCAGTTCCTGTCTGTGGCAAGTTGAAGTTAGAGATCACTGTTGTTTGGTGTCCAATGGGTGACAATGCCAAAATTCAGAAATAGCTGGCAAAGTCCCTGCCTCCTAGTGGGAGCCTAGAGGCTGGTGGCTTGGTGTTCTAGCTTCACCAAGCTAGAGTTCAGCTCCATTATACATCAAGGAGGATTTTGTGGTCTGATCTGGAAACCTAATATCCCCTCATGACATTATTTTAAAGGGAGAATGCAACCAGAGTGCCAGATAATAAACCTTTAAGGAAATTTTTGGAACTTAATGCCTCCTTAAAATAAGACAGAGTTTCACTTTTAAAAAATTCCCTGGAGAGAATCAGAAAACTTTTTTTTTGAATTATTGGGCAAAATCTAATACTTAGCCAAGGGCAATTGATTTTTATATTTTCTAAATTTTCTATAATGAATATATATTTTTTATTAAAATTTGTTTTTAGGAGAAAGGAAAGACATTACAAGGAAAAGGAAGGCCATTACAGGGAATATAATAACATAAATATAATAAATTATATAAGGGCCCATTGCAGTAGAGGCAAGGGTGGGAAATGTGCACACTGCAAGGAGCGACTCACATGTGATACTGAAAATCATTGGTGATGCCCTCAGCCTCAGCCTGAAAAGGTATGGACACAAATGAACAGATTAGCAACCCAGCTTACACTGATGTGGTTTCTTGAACCTCAGCAATAATCTTTCCTCTTGGAAGTGACCCACTGGACAATGCAGAAGGTGGCCAGGGAATGTATTTGCAATCAGGCTCTGCCCTGGACTCATTTTACCCTCTTCATTTCTGTTCCGCCACTGAAGCTGCTGAGTACAGATGCTGTCATTTTACACTAGGGGTCCTCTTTTTCCATCATCTCTTCTAGACATTCAGAGGATTAATAGTGAGTCAGATAAAATCTTTTGAGGAACCTGCTAGTTTATAAATGAAAAAGAATTAAAACTATCTCTAATAGTTTGCATTCCTACAGCACTTTATAATTATCAAGTATTTTTGAAATTACAAATTTAATGTACAATACATATAACATAAAAGTTACCACTTTAACCATTTTTAAGCATATAGTTCAGTAGTATGAAGTACATTCACATTGTTGGCAACCATCACCACCATCCATCTCTAGAACTCTTATTGTCTTACCAAATTGTAACTTTGTACCCATTAAGCAAATCTACCAAGTGTTTTCTTACACATTATTTCATGT
Organism: Homo sapiens; assembly: GCF_000001405.40. Classification (NCBI taxonomy): domain Eukaryota; kingdom Metazoa; phylum Chordata; class Mammalia; order Primates; family Hominidae; genus Homo; species Homo sapiens. The sequence goes on from NC_000002.12 coordinate 55,782,105, forward strand.
GCTCTTCTTGATATCCCTGAAAGTGGGAGGGAAGATATTATTAGCTCAGTAGAGCACAGTGGTTAGTGGGGCAGGCGCTGGAATAAGACTAGCTGGTTTAAACCTTGATCATCAAGTATTGTTAACAATAGAACCTATCTTGCCAGGTTGTTGTGAGGATTACATGAGATCATTCATAAGGTGTTTAGAACATAGCTATAATCATCCCCATTTCGCAGATAAGAAAAGTAAGACTAAGAGACCTTGAACATTTGCCAAAACTCACAGAATTAAGAAATGCTAGCCGGGTGTGGTGGCTCATGCCTGTAATCCCAGCACTTTGGGAGGCTGAGGTGGGCAGATTACGAGGTCAGAAGTTGGAGACCAGCCTGGCCAACATAGTGAAACCCTGTCTCTACTAAAAATACAAAAATTAGCTGGGCCTGGGGGCCTGCGCCTGTAGTCCCAGCTACTCAGGAGGCTAAGGCAGGAGAATCACTTGAACATGGGAGGCAGAGGTTGTGCTGAGCCGAGATACCACTGCACTCCAGCCTGGGCAACAGAGCAAGACACTGTCTCAAAAAAAAAAAAAAAAAAAAGCAAGTGGGAACCTGAATTGTGGTTGATTCAGTGTTCTTTCCTTTATACCCGTTAATAATTAATTAAGTCCCTGCTCAATACTGCCCACAGAAACACTTTTGTGTTCCTCAAAAACATGTAAAAATCTAGATTTTAGGCTAGCAAAAGGAGGCGATTTCACTTAAATATGTTTTGTGTTTTTGACTTCAGAGTCAAGGCCTTGCAAATTTCCTTATCAACCCTGACATCCCTTGGGAGGTGCTGACAGCACTGACCTCAAGGCATGTTGTGAACCCAGGAGAGCATGAGCTGGGGATGGGGAGATTACAGGAAGGTAGATGAAGTCAAGCAGGAGTGACAGAAATTTGGTCCAGCTCCAAGCTGGTATTGGAGGGCCAAGGGGAGCCTCCTTCAGGAGGATTGGCATAGGAAATAATTTTAAATTGCAGAATAGAAATGCTGATGGAACAAGGCAAAGCAGGCTTATGCCAGGATGAGGAATAGGGTAGGATCCAGGCCCAAGGCATAAGTTTGCAGAGATGTGTGTGTGTGTGTGTATGTGTGTATGTATGTATGTATGTATGTATGTGTGTGTACCTGATCAGGTACCTGGGATATAAGGCAGGAGTCTCTCCTCACCCTCCTGCCCCTCTCTTTATACTAGTGTCTGGGGATTTGAGAAAAACAGAGGAACTTCTCCACCATTACCAGAGGCTGGGTAGAAGGGGGCAGAAAGGTGATCTGATCGCTCTCTAGTTCAGAGGTTGGTGAGGATGAGAAAGAAAGGCTGCTTTTGATAGCCTTTTGAAATGCCCAAGCTTTGGCTCTGAGGCATTAGAGTTCTACCAATTATTTCCAAATTCCTAGGGTTTAGGTATTTAAAGCTCTTGGTCAGGGATTACAGGAATGAAGTGGGGTGGTGTTTATATAGCTGAATGCTCCCTCCAGAGCTGGGATGAGGCTAGGACAGGAGAGGAGATGACACAGGTAAGACTTGCAAGGTGAACTACATATTTCCCTACCCATGTCTCATTGTTTTCCCTCAGAAATCATCTTCATAAACTACTTCTTTCTTTTTCACTTTCTTTCTTTCTTTTTTTTTTGAGAGGGTGTCTAGCTCTGTCACCCAGGCTGGAGTACAGTGGCGTGATCTCCACTCACTGCAACCTCCGCCTCCCAGGTTCAAGCAATTCTCTCTGCCTCAGCCTCTCAAGTAGCTGGGATTACAGGTGCCTGCCATCATGCCTGGCTAGTTTTTGTATTTTTAGTAAAGATGGTGTTTCTCCATGTTGGCCAGGCTTGTCTTGAACTTCTGACCTCAGGTGATCCTCTTGCCTCGGCCTGCCAAAGTTCTGGGATTACAGGCGTGAGCCACAGGGCCCGGCCTACCTCCTTTTTTCTGTAGTATTAACCTGTTTTTCTCTGTGGCACATTTATTTTTGCATATAAGCATGTTCAATATTCTCAAATAATATGAAACAAACAAAGTCAACAAAATAACCCCTCATCCTTGGCTCCCCATCTTCTTTAAAGTTGCTGTTCATTATTCTTTTCTCCTGTATGGTCACACTTCTTGAAAGAGTTGTCTCCATTTTCCAGTGCCCTTCCTCACTTCTGAGTCTCACCTCAGTCCACTATAACCTAGCCTCTCACCTTCCCCTCCATTGAAACTGCTACTGCAAATTGCAAATGTTCTCCACAATCCCAAATTTCATGGCCGTTTTTCTCTTTTTTTGATGATAATGACCGGGCTTCTGTTTTTCACTACTCTATCCTCATTACCCACTAGCACATGCCTGGCACATAGTTGGTGCTCAATAAATATTTTTTGAATTGAATTGATCTCTCTGTGGTGTGTGACACTTTACCACTGAAGGGGATTAGACTATGCCAACCCAAAATATGCCAGTTTGGCACAGGGATCATTTTCAGCTGAAGAAAATGGAGAATCAACAGATGCAAAATGAAGTCCTTCTAGAGTTCCCATTATCTGACTAAAAGCAGAAACTTCTGAGAACTGAGGATTGCCATAAATCCCCTTTCTTGGGCAAATTTTATGACTGTGAGGAAGACGGCAAGTTGGCACCAAGATGGACCTGCACAAACAAAGCTTGATAAGATAGCCCTTATTTTCCATTAGTTTTCTCTATATATTTACCTCCCCAGTTTGCAGCCCTTAGAAGCCTAAAAACTTTCTTCCTTTGTCTTGTGCCATCTCTGCAATTTATCTTTCTTGTTGTTGTTAAAAACGGTATATAAACTCTCGTCTGAGAGAGTTTGCTTCTTCGTTCTTCACTTTTTTGGTAGGAAGATCCCTGTGTCATATAAAAGCTACGCATCAAATACAATTCATATGCTTTTGCTCTCCTGTTTGTCTGTCTTTCACCAGTTTAATTTGTAAATAAGTTGGGCATGGTGGCACGTAGAGATGGGGTTTCACCACATTGGCCAGGCTGATCTCGAACTCCTGACCTCAAGTGATCTACCTGCCTCACCCTCCCAAAGTGCTGGGATTACAGGCATGAGCCACTGTGTCGGGCCTCTCAGGCTTCTTTTTAATCTCTTCCCTTGGCTTGTTCCCTAAAGGTCAGTAGACTACAGGGTCTGTTTTCTGACCTCTGCTTTTCTCAGTCTGTAGACTTTCTCTGGATAATCGGATCAAAAGCCATGGCTTCAACTATCTGCTCTGAGATCATTATCTTCCAAATCTATATCTGCAGCTCAGACCCTATAGTCCAATTACGTGATAGAAATCTCCAGTTCGATGCCTGCCATGTACCTCAAACTGAACATATTCAGAACTGAACTCATCATCTGCCCCCCTCAACCTGCTCCCCTTGTAAGTGATGGCTCAGTGAATAACACCCACCATGCACCCAGTTGTCCAAATCAGAAACCTGCAGCTGTGTTTCCTTCTCCCTCATCTCTCACATCCAGTAAGTCATGGAATCCTGACAATTGTGCCTCCTTAATGGCTCTCAGACCCATCTCTTTTTCTCTAACACCACTGCCATTTCCCAAGTCCAGGCCACCATTGTCTCTCCTCTCCATTATTGCACTGGCCTCCTCACTGCTCTCCTTGGTATCTGGCCTTCCTCAGCCTCATTGCCTCTTCTCCATCCTTCTTGGCATGAATAACTCCTAGTCATTCCTCAAGTGCCACTCAATGTCACTTCAATTGGGAAGCTTCGCTGACTAAGCCCTCCCCACCCATGAACCCCAGGATATATTGAGTGTGTCTGCTATATGTGTTCCAAGCATTTAACTTGTCTTATTATAATTGCTTGTTTAATTGCTTAACTGTACCACCAACCCACTAGATTGTAAATACTCTGTTTTTCCCTGCACCTATTTCTAGCACCTTGCGCAGGGCCTAGATCATATAGTATGTAGTAGCACGCAGCACATGGTAGATACTCAAAAAATATTTGTTGAACGAGTCAAAGAAAATACTCGCTAAACTGAAGAACTACCATTTTGTAGTTCATCTAAAAATAAACAAGGATCAGTGGTTTAGCAAATAAATCTATGGTGTATGTGTGTGTAAACCTCCCACTCTCAGTTCATGTGGTTGATGAACCTCAACTATGTAAGTGAAACCTTATTTTCCAAATAAAAATATTCAATGTGAATGGCAATGTCATAATTTTTGGTGCTCATGGCAACAAACAGCTCAACAAATAAAATAAGCAAAGAAACAAAGGTAACAAAACCCCATTTATTCATCCAGATCTTTTCTGTTTAACTCTGCAGTCTTAACAGTTCAATAATTCAACTGCAAATTTGTTAAGATTCATTGCTTTCCAAGTCCATCACATGCTCAGGCTTATTTGCTTGTCTCTTTCTGCTGGGAAACTATTTGTCTGTGGAGTAGCCCAGAAAACAACTTTTTTTTCCATGTTAATTACTCAAAGATTAAGAAAGGTAAAATAAGAGTTATGTAACAGAGGGTTTGTTTTGCTCCTAGGATTACACAGTAATGAACATGCATATTTATCCTTGGGAATGCTTACAATGATATTATCTGAATGATGTATTCTCTTCTTGTATCCCTATGAATAAGGTACTAATTTCCATCTTCCCGTCCGCATTAAATAGTCTGAGCCCTCTTGCACCTGTAATTAAAATTTTGAATTATCTGCTATGTATAGAGCACTGTGAGGATTGCCAGAGCAGTTAGATGTGTCCTATATCCTTGATCCCTTTGGAAGAATGTGACCCAAACCCTCATGAAACACATAGGAGAGGGTATGAGAAGTAATTGTAACTAAAGCCTGTCAGGCCAGAGTTCCTTCCTACTAATCACGAACCGGTGTTTTTGGACTTAATATAATCACTTGGGTTAAACTTGAATACTTAAGTCTAAAGGTGAATGTTGTAAAAAATGAAGAGTTGGGGCAGTTGCTTTTTTTCTACAGTTGTAGTCTCTAGAACTATGGTTGTATAAATATTTTTATAGTATTACAGCATGCACATAAATCTACTTTAAGGAAATAACTTCATTCCTTCCTCCCTTCTTTCTTTCATTTTATAAAAAAATTAATATTTTCCTTTTTTTTAAACATCAAAGTAACGAGTACAAGTTTAAAAAGTCAAATAATGCTAAGAGGCTTACAGCAAAAACCAATATTCTCTTAATCCCTCCACCTCAAATTGCCTCGTCCTTCTGAATACTCCTACCTCCCTCAGGTAAACATTTTCAAAATCTTCACCACTTCTAATATCAAAACACTGTGCGAATACTGCTATTGCCTTTTTAAAGCATTATTTATTTTGGCCTTTTTATAGCTCTTTTCTTGAATCCATTCTTTGTGAAATAGTACCATCATAAATTTTGGTTGAATCTATACTCATCAATTTATTATAACCATTTTGTAGTTAAATATGTACATAGTTTGTATGTGGGAATATATATAATATATGGTTTGTACTGAGTATATATAATTATATATACTATATAGTATGTATATAATTTGTGCTATATGTATTATCTATATAGTTTATACTATATATTTATACTACTTAGTCATAATATGTGCATACAGTTTGTACCATATATATATTATAATATAAACTATGTATAGTTTATACTGTATATACTATGTAAAGTTTAAACAAGCTAAAGCATAGTATATATGTATATGTAGTATATAATTTATGCTATAATTCAATTTCTTATACAATTTCTGTTTTCTTGGAGTTAATAATTTTTTTATTTTTTCACTTGCCTGGTTTTTATATTTTTGGAAACTACAAACTTCTTTGTAAAGTAGTTCTCATTACAGCTTTCTACATGGTAAAATTTGTAAGATAATCTGCACATTCCATTTAGGAGGAGTTTATTCTTACCTTTTGTACTTGTGTTTCGATTAGGATTGGTTGCTTTTTGAACCTGCTACACATGTTTATTAGGTCTTCGCTTTGATACCATCTTGAGAATTCTCTTTATTTTATTTTATTTTATTATTATTATACTTTAAGTTTTAGGGTACATGTGCACAATGTGCAGGTTAGTTACATATGTATACATGTGCCATGCTGGTGTGCTGTACCCACTAACTCGTCATTTAGCATTACATATATCTCCTAATGCTATCCCTCCCCCTTCCCCCACCCCACAACAGGCCCCAGAGTGTGATGTTCCCCTTCCTGTGTCCATGTGTTCTCATTGTTCGATTCCCACCGATGAGTGAGAACATGCGGTGTTTGGTTTTTTGTCCTTGCGATAGTTTGCTGAGAATGATGGTTTCCAGCTTCATCCATGTCCCTACAAAGGACATGAACTCATCCTTTTTTATGGCTGCATAGTATTCCACGGTGTGTATGTGCCACATTTTCTTAATCCAGTCTATCATTGTTAGACATTTGGGTTGGTTCCAAGTCTCTGCTATTGTGAATAGTGCCGCAATAAACATAGGTGTGCATGTGTCTTTATAGCAGCATGATTTATCATCCTTTGGGTATATACCCAGTAATGGGATGGCTGGATCAAATGGTATTTCTAGTTCTAGATCCCTGAGGAATCGCCACACTGTCTTCCACAATGGTTGAACAAGTTTACAGTCCCACCAACAGTGTAAAAGTGTTCCTATTTCTCCACATCCTCTCCAGCACCTGTTGTTTCCTGACTTTTTAATGATCGCCATTCTAACTGGTGTGAGATGGTATCTCATTGTGGTTTTGATTTGCATATCTCTGATGGCCAGTGATGATGAGCATTTTTTCATGTGTTTTTTGGCTGCATAAATGTCTTCTTTTGAGAAGTGTCTGTTCATATCCTTCGCCCACTTTTTGATGGGGTTGTTTTTTTCTTGTCAATTTGTTTGAGTTCATTGTAGATTCTGGATATTAGCCCTTTGTCAGATGAGTAGGTTGCGAAAATTTTCTCCCATTCTGTAGGTTGCCTGTTCACTCTGATGGTAGTTTCTTTTGCTGTGCAGAAGCTCTTTAGTTTAATTAGATCCCATTTGTCAATTTTGGCTTTTGTTGCCATTGCTTTTAGTGTTTTAGACATGAAGTCCTTGCCCATGGCTATGTCCTGAACCTTATTGCCTAGGTTTTCTCCTAGGGTTTTTATGGTTTTAGGTCTAACATGTAAGTCTTTAATCCATCTTGAATTGATTTTTGTATAAGGTGTAAGGAAGGGATCCAGTTTCAGCTTTCTATATATGGCTAGCCAGTTTTCCCAGCACCATTTATTAAATAGGGAATCCTTTCCCCATTGCTTGTTTTTGTCAGGTTTGTGAAAGATTAGATAGTTGTAGATATGTGGCATTATTTCTGATGGCTCTGTTCTGTTATATTGTTCTATGTCTCTGTTTTGGTACCAGTACCATGCTGTTTGGTTACTGTAGCCTTGTAGTATAGTTTGAAGTCAGGTAGCATGATGCCTCCAGCTTTGTTCCTTTGGCTTAGGATTGACTTGGCAATGTGTGCCCTATTTTGGTTCCATATGAACTTTAAAGCAGTTTTTTCCAATTCTGTGAAGAAAGTCATTGGTAGCTTGATGGGGATGGCATTGAATCTATAAATTACCTTGGGCAGTATGGCCATTTTCACAATATTGATTCTTCCTACCCATGAGCACGGAATGTTCTTCCATTTGTTTGTATCCTCTTTTATTTCATTGAGCAGTGGTTTGTAGTTCTCCTTGAAGAGGTCCTTCACATCCCTTGCAAGTTGGATTCCTAGGTATTTTATTCTCTTTGAAGCAATTGTGAATGGGAGTTCACTCATGATTTGGCTCTCTGTTTGTCTGTTATTGGTGTATAAGAATGCTTGTGATTTTTGTACATTGATTTTGTATCCTGAGACTTTGCTGAAGTTGCTTATCAGGTTAAGGAGATTTTGGGCTGAGACAATGGGGTTTTCTAGATATACAATCATGTCATCTGCAAACAGGGACAATTTGACTTCCTCTTTTCCTAACTGAATACCTTTTATTTCCTTCTCCTGCCTGATTGCCCTGGCCAGAACTTCCAACACTATGTTGAATAGGAGTGGTGAGAGAGGGCATCCCTGTCTTGTGCCAGTTTTCAAAGGGAATGCTTCCAGTTTTTGCCCATTCAGTATGATATTGGCTGTGGGTTTGTCATAGATAGCTCTTATTATTTTGAGATACATCCCATCAATACCTAATTTATTGAGAGTTTTTAGCATGAAGGGTTGTTGAATTTTGTCAAAGGCCTTTTCTGCATCTATTGAGATAATCATATGGTTTTTGTTGTTGGTTCTGTTTAAATGCTGGATTACATTTATTGATTTGCATATGTTGAACCAGCCTTGCATCCCAGGGATGAAGCCTACTTGATCAGGGTGGATAAGCTTTTTGATGTGCTGCTGGATTCGGTTTGCCAGTATTTTATTGAGGATTTTTGCATCAATGTTCATCAAGGATATTGGTCTAAAATTCTCTTTTTTGGTTGTGTCTCTGCCCGGCTTTGGTATCAGGAGGATGCTGGCCTCATAAAATGAGTTATGGAGGATTCCCTCTTTTTCTATTGATTGGAATAGTTTCAGAAGGCATGGTCCCAATTTCTCCTTGTACCTCTGGTAGAATTCGGCTGTGAATCCATCTGGTCCTGGACTCTTTTTGGTTGGTAAGCTATTGATTATTGCCACAATTTCAGAGCCTGTTATTGGTCTATTCAGAGATCCAACTTCTTCCTGGTTTAGTCTTGGGAGGGTGTATGTATCGAGGAATTTATCCATTTCTTCTGGATTTTCTGGTTTATTTGCGTAGAGGTGTTTATAGTATTCTCTGATGGTAGTTTGTATTTCTGTGGGATCGGTGGTGATATCCCCTTTGTCATTTTTTATTGCATCTATTTGATTTTTCTCTCTTTTCTTCTTTATTAGTCTTGCTAGTGGTCTATCAATTTTGTTGATCCTTTCAAAAAACCAGCTCCTGGATTCATTAATTTTTCGAAGAGTTTTTTGTGTCTCTATTTCCTTCAGTTCTGCTCTGATTTTAGTTATTTCTTGCCTTCTGCTAGCTTTTGAATGTGTTTGCTCTTGCTTCTCTAGTTCTTTTAATTGTGATGTTAGGGTGTCAATTTTGGATCTTTCCTGCTTTCTCTTGTGGGCATTTAGTGCTATAAATTTCCCTCTACACACTGCTTTGAATGCGTCCCAGAGATTCTGGTATGTTGTGTCTTTGTTCTCGTTGGTTTCAAAGAACATCTTTATTTCTGCCTTCATTTCGTTATGTACCCAGTAGTCATTCAGGAGCAGGTTGTTCAGTTTCCATGCAGTTGCGCGGTTTTGGGTGAGTTTCTTAATCCTGAGTTCTAGTTTGATTGCACTGTGGTCTGAGAGACAGTTTGTTATAATTTCTGTTCTTTTACATTTGCTGAGGAGTACTTTACTTCCAACTATGTGGTCAATTTTGGAATAGGTGTGGTGTGGTGCTGAAAAAAATGTATATTCTGTTGTTTTGGGGTGGAGAGTTCTGTAGATGTCTATTAGGTCTGCTTCATGCAGAGCTGAGTTCAATTCCTGGGTATCCTTGTTAACTTTCTGTCTCATTGATCTGTCTAATGTTGACAGTGGGGTATTAAAGTCTCCCATTATTATTGTGTGGGAGTCTAAGTCTCTTTGTAGGTCACTCAGGACTTGCTTTATGAAACTGGGTTCTCCTGTATTGGGTGCATATATATTTAGGATAGTTAGCTCTTCTTATTGAATTGATCCCTTTACCATTATGTGATGGCCTTCTTTGTCTCTTTTGATCTTTCTTGGTTTAAAGTCTGTTTTATCAGAGACTAGGATTGCAACCCCTGCCTTTTTTTGTTTTCCATTTGCTTGGTAGATCTTCCTCCATCCTTTTATTTTGAGCCTATGTGTGTCTCTGCACATGAGATGGGTTTCCTGAATACAGCACACTGATGGGTCTTGACTCATTATCCAATTTGCCAGTCTGTGTCTTTTAATTGGAGCATTTAGTCCATTTACATTTAAGGTTAATATTGTTATGTGTGAATTTGATCCTGTCATTATGATGTTAGCTGCTTATTTTGCTCATTAGTTGATGCAGTTTCTTCCTAGCCTCGATGGTCTTTACAATTTGGCACGATTTTGCAGTGGCTGGTACCGGTTGTTCGTTTCCATGTTTAGTGCTCCCTTCAGGAGCTCTTTTAGGGAGGCCTGGTGGTGACAAAATCTCTCAACATTTGCTTGTCTGTGAAGTATTTTATTTCTCCTTCACTTATGAAGCTTAGTTTGGCTGGATATGAAATTCTGGGTTGAAAATTCTTTTCTTTAAGAATGTTGAATATTGGCCCCCACTCTCTTCTGGCTTTGTAGGGTTTCTGCCGAGAGATCCGCTGTTAGTCTGATGGGCTTCCCTTTGTGGGTAACCCGACCTTTCTCTCTGGCTGCCCTTAACATTTTTTCCTTCATTTCAACTTTGGTGAATCTGACAATTATGTGTCTTGGAGTTGCTCTTCTCGAGGAGTATCTTTGTGGTGTTCTCTGTATTTCCTGAATTTGAATGTTGGCCTGCCTTGCTAGATTGGGGAAGTTCTCCTGGATAATATCCTGCAGAGTGTTTTGCAACTTGTTTCCATTCTCCTCATCACTTTCAGGTACACCAATCAGATGTAGATTAGGTCTTTTCACATAGTCCCATATTTCTTCGAGGCTTTGTTCGTTTCTTTTTATTCTTTTTTCTCTAAACTTCTCTTCTCACTTCATTTCATTCATTTCATCTTCCATCGCTGATACCCTTTCTTCCAGTTGATCGCATCTGCTACTGAGGCTTGTGCATTTGTCACGTAGTTCTCGTGCCGTGGTTTTCAGCTCCATCAGGTCCTTTAAGGACTTCTCTGCGTTGGTTATTCTAGTTAGCCATTCGTCTAATTTTTTTTCAAGTTTTTAACTTCTTTGCTGTTGCTTCGAACTTCCTCCTTTAGCTCAGAGTAGTTTTATCTTCTGAAGCCTTCTTCTCTCAACTCGTCAAAGTCATTCTCCATCCAGCTTTGTTCCATTGCTGGTGAGGAGCTGCGTTCCTTCGGAGGAGGAGAGGTGCTCTGATTTTTAGAGTTTCCGGTTTTTCTGCTCTTTTTTCCCCATCTTTGTGGTTTTATCTACCTTTGGTCTTTGATAATGGCGACGTACAGATGGGTTTTTGGTGTGGATGTCCTTTCTGTTTGTTAGTTTTCCTTCTAACAGTCAGGACCCTCAGCTGCAGGTCTGTTGGAGTTTGCTGAGGTCCACTCCAGACCCTGTTTGCCTGAGTATCAGCAGTGGTGGCTGCAGAACAGCTGATATTGGTGAACTGCAAATGCTGCTGCCTGATTGTTCCTCTGGAACTTTTGTCTCAGAGGAGTACCCGGCCATGTGAGGTGTCAGTCTGCCCCTACTGGGGGGTGCCTCCCAGTTAGGCTGCTCGGGGGTCAGGGACCCACTTGAGGAGGCAGTCTGCCCATTTTCAGATCTCCAGCTGCGTGCTGGGAGAACCACTGCTCTCTTCAAAGCTGTCAGACAGGGACATTTAAGTCTGCAGAGGTAACTGCTGTCTTTTTGTTTGTCTGTGCCCTGCCCCCAGAGGTGGAGCCTACAGAGGCAGGCAGGCCTCCTTGAGCTGTGGTAGGCTCCACCCAGTTCGCGCTTCCTGGCTGCTTTGTTTACCTAAGCAAGCCTGGGCAATGGTGGGTGCCCCTCCCGCAGCCTCGCTGCTACCTTGCAGTTTGATCTCAGACTGCTGTGCTAGCAATCAGTGAGACTCCGTGGGCGTAGGACCCTCTGAGCCAGGTGCTGGATATAATCTCCTGGTGCGCCATTTTTTAAGCCGGTCGGAAAAGCGCAGTATTTGGGTGGGAGTGACCCGATTTTCCAGGTGCCGTCTGTCACCCCTTTCTTTGACTAGGAAAGGGAACTCCCTGACCCCTTGCGCTTCCTGACTGAGGCAATGCCTCGCCCTGCTTCGGCTCACGCACGGTGCACTGCACCCACTGTCCTGTGCCCACTGTCTGGCACTCCCTAGTGAGATGAACCCGGTACCTCAGATGGAAATGCAGAAATCACCCGTCTTCTGCATTGCTCATACTGGGAGCTGTAGACAGGAGCTGTTCCTATTCGGCCATCTTGGCTCCCCCTCTTCAAGAATTCTCTTTCAAGGAATTCTCTCTCTATTGTGCTGAATCTTCGTCTTTCTTGGTTTTAGTGGAGCACATTTCTCAATAGCTTCCAGAGAAAGGGCACCTAGGAATTTGCATGAGACTTTCTATGTCAGAAAATGACTTCATTTTATCCTCACGTAGTTTGATGTTAAAATTATTTTTCCTCAGAAAAATAATTGGTCTCTTTTGTAAAAATAACTTTTCTTCAAATATCTGGAAATTCTTGGCTGTTCATTTATCTTTAAAAGTGAGTCATTAAAAAGAGATCAAGTTCAGTGTTTCTGCTACATTGGTTTGATGGGGAAAGAGACAATGAGGCTGCTGAGGTGCTAGGGAGGCGTCACAAAAGGCTGTTTTCCAGCAGTCAATTACTGGTCTTTTCAAGTCTGTTTTTTCTTTTCAATTTTGTTTATTCTTATGTTTGAGACCTAAAAATTTCCATTTTGAAAATTTCGAACCTGAATTTTGTTTCTTTTCCTTTATTTTTTATTTTTTTGAGATGGAGTTTTGCTGTTGTTGCCCAGGCTGGAGTGCAGTGGTACAATCTCGGCTTACCACAACCTCCGCCTCCCGGGTTCAAGCGATTCTCCTGCCTCAGCCTCCTGAGTAGCTGGGATTATAGGCATGCACTACCATGCCCAGCCAATTTTGTATTTTTAGTAGAGATGCGATTTCTCCATGTTGGTCAGGCTGGTCTCGAACTCCTGACCTCAGGTGATCTGCCCCCCTCTGTCTTCCAAAGTTCTGGGATTATAGGCATGAGCCACTGAGACTGGGCCTTCTGTTCTGTATCTCTTAAAAAGAAAGCACAACAACCTGAGCTAATGTATTTTCTTTTTTAGTTTAAAAAGATTTTTAGGCCGGGCGCGGTGGCTCACGCCTGTAATCCCAGCACTTTGGGAGGCCGAGGCGGGTGGATCATGAGGTCAGGAGATCGAGACCATCCTGGCTAACAAGGTGAAACCCCGTCTCTACTAAAAATACAAAAAAAAAATTAGCCGGGCGCGGTGGCGGGTGCCTGTAGTCCCAGCTACTCGGGAGGCTGAGGCAGGAGAATGGCGTGAACCCGGGAAGTGGAGCTTGCAGTGAGCCGAGATTGCGCCCCTGCAGTCCGCAGTCCGGCCTGGGCGACAGAGCGAGACTCCGTCTCAAAAAGAAAAAAAAAAAAAAAAAAAAAAAAGATTTTTAAATTTTTAAATTTTTGCAGAGATGAAGGTTTTACTATGTTACCCAGGCTAGTCTCAAACTCCTGGCCTCAAGTGATCCTCCTGCCTTGGCCTCCCAAAGTGCTGAGATTACAGGAGTGAGCTACCATGCCTGGCAAATATATAATTAAAAAATAACTGATATTGCTTACATTCACTATTGTTGCTCTATCATTTAGTACTTAATTTTCTCTAAGAAAAAAACTGTTTGTCTGTCTGGTAGTTATAATTTCATTTCAATTTCTTCCTGCATTTTTGTCAAAATTTCTTTTACATATTCTCTTGCTATGTAGTTTCAATATGTACATTTAGTATTAGTAGGTTTCATTGTTAATCTATATTATCCACTATATAGTAACCATATTCATTTCTATTAATAATGTGTGCTTTAAGAAATTACCCTTATTCGCTACTAGGATAATAATCTATGTTTCTCCTATAGACATACAGAGATGATAAGCTTTGAGCATTAGATAATTTTCAGTTGAAGGGTTTTTAACTTGGCCTATAAGGTATCTGAAATTGTATTCCAAATTTTTCTGTATATTCCTATATGCATCTCCCCACCCTGACTCAAAGGATCCCCAACCTAACTACCAAATAGGTAAAAGCCATTATTAATGTGCCTTGGATGTGTTTCTCTTGCAGACAACAATTAGAAGTAAGACCACAACAATAACAACAACAACAACAACAACAACAAAAACAATGAAAATGAAATCTTATCTTTTAATTTAGCTGGTGATCTTGGGAGTTAAGGCTGTGGTACTTATTCTTTTCTTTTTATTTACATGGTTTCTGTGAACTAACTTTCTATTTATTTATTTATTTATTTATTTATTTATTTATTTATTATTTTCACCATTAAAATTGGTTTAACTATGAAAATTCTGGAAGATAACCTAGGAAATACCATTCTGGACATAGGTCCTGGCAAAGATTTCATGACAAAGATGCCAAAAGTGATAGTAATGGAAGCAAAAATTGACAAATGGAACCTAATTAAACTAAAGAGCTTCTGCACAGCAGAAAACTATCAACAGAGTAAACAGACAACCTACAGAATGGGAGAAAATATTTGCAAACTATGCATCTGACAAAGGTCTAATATCCAGAATCTATAAGGAACTTAAACAAATTAACAAGCAAAAAATGAACAACGCCATTAAAAAGTGGGCAAAGGACATGAACAGACACCAAAAGAAGACATACACACAGTCAACAAGCATATGAAAAAATGCTCAACATCGTTAATCATTAGAGAAATGCATATCAATTTGAGGAGCTTTTTGGATGAGTCTTCAGGGTTTTCTAGATATACAGTCATGTCATCAGCAAACAGTGACAGTTTGACTTCTTCTTTACTGATTTGGATGCCCTTTATTTCTTTTTCTCATCTGATTGCTCTGGCTAGGGCTTCCAGAACTATATTGAATAGAAGTGGTGAAAGAGGGCATCCTTTTCTTGTTTCAATTCTCAGGGGGAACACATTCAACTTTTCCCTGTTCAGTATAATGTTGGCTGTAGGTTTGTCATAGATGACTTTTATTGCCTTAAGGTATGTCCCTTCTATGCTGATTTTGCTGAGGGTTTTAATCATAAAGTGATGCTGGATTTTGTCAAATGCTTTTTCTGCATTTATTGAGATAATAATGTGGTTTTTGTTCTGCACAGCAAAAGAAATAATCAGCAGAGTAAACAGACAACCCACAGAGTGGGAGAAAAATCTTCACAATTCATACATCCAACAAAGGATGAATATCCAGAATCTGTAAGCAACTCAAACAAATCAGCAAGAAAACAACAAATAATTCCATCAAAAAGTGGACTAAGGACATGAATAGACAATTCTCAAAAGAATACAAACAAATGGCCAACTAACATGTAAAAAAATGCTCAACATCAGTACTTATCAGGAAAATGCCAATCAAAACCACAATGTGATACTGCTTTACTCCTGCAAGAATGGCCATAATCAAAAAATCAAAAAATAATAGATGTTGGCATGCACGTGGTGAAAAGGGAACACTTTTACACTGCTGGTGGGAATGCAAATTAGTACAACCACTGTGGAAAACAGTGTGGAGATTCCTTAAAGAACTAAAAGTAGATCTACCATTTGATCCAGCAATCCCACTACTGGGTATCTACCCAAAGGAAAAGAAGTCATTATACAAAAAAGATATTTGCACATGCATGTTTTTAGCAGCACAGTTCACAATTGCAAAAATATGAAACCAGCCCAAATGCCTATCAGTCAACAAGTAGATAAGGAGAATGTGGTATATGTATACCATGGAATACTACACAGCCATAAAAAAGAATGAAATAATGGCGTTTGCAGCAACCTGGATGGAATTGGAGACCATTATTCTAAGTGAAGTAACTCAGAAATGGAAAACCAAACATCTTATGTTCTCACTCATAAGTGGGAGCTAAGCTATGAGGACGCAACGGCATAAGAATGATACAACTTTGGGGATGTAGGGGAAAGGGTGGGAGGGGAGTGAGGAATAAAAGACTGCACACTGAGTACAGTGTACACTGCTCGGGTGACAGGTGCACCAAAAATCTCAGAAATCACCACTAAAGAATTTATTCAAGTAACCAAACACCACCTGTTCCCCCAAAACCTATTGAGATAAAAAAATTTTAAAATGCTCAACGTCACTAATAATCAGAGAAATGCAAATTAAAACCACAGTGAGATATATCATCTCAGATCAGTCAGAATCGCTATTATTAAAAAGTCAAAAAATAATGGATACTGGCGAAGTTGTAGAGAAAAGGGAACACTTATGCACTGTTAGGAATGTAAATTAGTTCAGCTATTGTGGAAAGCGGTTTGGAGATTCCTCAAAGAACTTAAAACAGAACTACCATTCAATGCAGCAATCCCATTACTGGGTATATACACAAAGGAAAACAAATTGTTTTACCAGAAAGACACATGCATTCATATGTTCATCGCAGCACTATTCAAAGTAGCAAAGACATCAAATCAACCTAAGGTACCCAACAATGGTGGATTGGATAAAGAAAATGTGGTACCACATATACATCATGGAATACTGTGTATTCATAAAAAACCAAAGTCAAGTATTTTGCAGCAACATGGATGCAGCTGGAGGCCATTATCCTAAGCAAATCGACCAAGGAACAGAAAACCAAATACCACATGTTCTCACTTAAAAGTGGCAGCTAAGCATTGGGAACACATGGACATCAAGATGGGAACAATAGACACTGCGGACTATTAGAAGGGAAAGATAGGTAGGGGGGTAGGGGCTGAAAAACTACCTATTGGGTACTATGCTCACTACCTGGGTGATGGGATCATTTGTACCCTAAACCTCATTTTCATGCAATGCTATATACCCACGTAACAAATATATATACATATGTACCCCTGCATACGTAACTCATGAATCTAAAATACAAGTTGAAATGATAAATAAATACATAAAAAAGAAAAAAGAAATGCAAATTAAAACTACAATGAGATACCATCTCACAACCAGTCAGAATGGCTATTATTAAAAAGTCAAAAAATAACATACCGATGAGGTTGCAGAGAAAAGGTAACGCTTATATACTGCTGATGGGAATGTAAATTAGTTCAGCTATTTTGGAAACCAGTGTGGTGATTTCTCAAAGAACTTAAAACAGAATTACCATTCATCCCAGCAATTCCATTATTGGGTATATGCTCAAAGGAATATAAATCATTCTGTCATAAAGACATATGCATGCATATGTTCATTGCAGCACTATTCACAATAGCAAAGACATGGAATCAACCTAAATGCCCATCGCTGTAGACTGGATAAAGAAAATGTGGTACATATACACCGCAATGTGGTACATGGAACACTACATACCCATAAAAAACCAGATCTTGTCCTTTGCAGGATCATGGATGGAGCTAGAGCCATTATCCTAGGTGAACTATCGCAAGAACAAAAAACCAAATACTACATGTTCTCACTTACAAGTGGAAGCGAAACATTGAGTACACATGGACACAAAGAAGGGAACAACAGACATTGGGGCCTACTTGATGGGGAAGGGTGAGGATTGAAAAACGACCTATCAGGGGCCGGGTGCGGTGGCTCACACCTATAATCCCAGCGCTTTGGGAGGCCGAGGTGGGCGGATCACCTGAAGTCGGGAGTTTGGGACCAGCCTGGCCAACATGGTGAAACCTCGTCTCTACTAAAAATACAAAAAAAAAAAGAAAATTAGCTGGGTGTGGTGGCGCTTTCCTGTAATCCCAGCTACTCGCGAGGCTGAGTCATGAGAATCGCTTGAACTTGGGAGGCGGAGGTTGCAGTGAGCCGAGACTGCGCAACTGCACTCCAGCCTGGGCGACAGAGCCAGACTCCGTCTCAAAACAAAAACAAAAACAAAAACAAAAACCTTCCTATCAGGTACTATGCTTATTACTTATGAAATTATCTTTACACCAAACCCCCTGGACGTGCAATTTACCTATAAAACAAACCTGAACATGTACCCTTGAACCTAAAATAAAGGTTAAAAAAAAAAGGGATTAAAAAGGCGAATTTGAGGGACAGGAAAAATAACTGGGCCACATAAATTTATAGCTATATTAAAAAAACTTAAAACAGTTTAACATATATATGAGTATACACGCAAATATAATACTGAGATACATAAATGCAAATATAAACATATATACATACATATAGATAAATATATATACTTTATCTGTATGCACATAGAGACTATATATAATATTTTTCATTTATAGTGAAAAGCAAGATTTTAAATTAACAAATTGTGAGTTTTCACAAGTTTATACACCTGTGTAATTAACACCCCATTAGGAAATAGAATATTTCCATGACCCCAGAAGTAGCCTTCAGTTTAAAGGCTTTTAAAAACAAAGTTGGAAGATAATTTTAACTCAACATATTCTGCTTAATCTATTTTCTTTTTTAAAAAAGCATTAGCACAGATATATAGAACTATTCTTTAAAATATTATTCTAAATTCTAAAATTAAGTAAAGTTTTAAATACTTTATAGAAGAGATAAAACATTTGTTTAGTCATGATTTTCTCTTTATACTAGAGTATAGCTGACTTTTTTCATCGAGACAGATGTGTGTTTTTTTTTTTCCAGGTTAAACAAATTCAAATATTCCACTGGTGCCAGCTTTTCTGGTTTTCTTCATATACCATTGTTCTTGCAAGTTAGATTTTATGGTTCCATTTCTTCAGGTATGTTTACAGCTGTGCATAGTTTCTGTTGTTTGTCTAAGCTCGTTGTCTTGTTAGTGCATCTTGTTAGTGGCGTTGCTGACTTCTTTGCTGTGCCCTTCCAAACCTGATATTTTAAGACTCTTTACATTTAAGAAAAGTTTCTCTGGTTTAATTAGTGGTGCCCAACAGAGGTTGATTTTGCCTCTGGGGGGACATTTGGCAGTGTCTGGAGACGTTTTTGATTGTCACCACTGGTTGGGGTGGGAGGAGGTGAAGCTGCTCTGGCATCCAGGGAGGAGGCCAGGGATGCTGCTGTCTCCCTGCAATGCACAGGACAGCTCCTCCCCAACAAAAGGAATTTTCTGGTCCAAAATGCCAATAGTGCTAAGATTGAGAAATCCTGACTTAGATGATTTACAAAGTTTAGTGTAGTTGTCTTCTTCAGGTGAATAATATTTCCAGCATTATGCATGACATGCAGATTCCTATCAGAGGTTTATTTTGAGGCCCTCCTTTTTTGTTTTCTCCAGAGACTTTCCAAAATTACCTGCAACATTTTTTTGGGTAGAAAACAAAATACAGTAGCCTTGCTTTATAGTTGCAGGTGTTTACTTTGGCACTTAAAACAAAGCTCTCACTTGAGGCTATTTCCAACAGTACATTATTTGTAAGTCTTAAGTATCACTTTTTCCACCCCCCCGTTTACTCAAGGGACTTCATAAATCAGTCAATAAAGAAAGGTGATTGCATTTATAAAGCTAGAATAATAGGCCTTGATTTTAACTTAGATCTTCTAAAAAATGTTATTGAGTGAAAAATATATTCTTAGCAAAGTCTTTTAAGACTGGATCATTTTAAAGGGATTCTCAGCATGAACACATCACAACATATGCTCAAGAAGTGATTTAGCATGTGTGCTGGCAACTCTCAAGTTGAGAAACTGAACAACTAGATCAATTTTTCATTCCCTCTGGTTGAACTTCAAGTACTAATAAACACTATAGCATGAAAACATATGGATATTTTGGGTCTGGGGCTTGGTTTGCAGCCTTGGTGAAAGGTAGTTTGTTTTGTTAAATTTTTTTCTTCTTGTATGCAGGGTTCGAACTAAGATACAAAAGGAAGTAGGAAAGTTGAAATGTGCCCTGAAGTTTTGAAAAGAGAAAAGGGAGGATTTTAGCCTACTCTGTACTTGCTGATTAGTGTATCTTAAACACCAACCAGGCAGATGGCTTCCAGAATTCCTAAACAGAAGTGGAGTCACTGTAACCTTCTCATGGTTTCCTGCACACATGGCCTTTAGAATATGGGAGCATTTTTTATTATAGTTTAAATCAAATATTTATTGACTACACATTGTGCTAGGTGTGGGGAATACAGAGAATTCTTAGATGTAGTCTTTGCATTTAAGGGATGCATATATTAAAATATAAACAGCTTTCCAAATTAGTACCTGCTAACTGCAGAAAGGATAACACAGGCAGTTCCTGCTACTGCAGTTTGCTTTCCCTTCTCCTGGAGTCAGCCTCGCCTTGAACTAGCTGTAGGGCAAAGTGTGCTCTCTTACAGATTTGCTTGGTATGGCCCCTCTTATTTCTCCTGTGCTGGGCTCAGCGCACCCAAGCTCTTGGGTATTCACCTTGATAATGGGGTTTTATATCTGTGGCTAGGCTTCCTTAGCTTGGTGATTGACTCAGACCTCTTTTCTATATTACTGACCTTAGTTCCCTGCCTGTCTCTGCTCTGCAGCCTGTCTTGATTTTGCTCCTTAGCAGCTTCTGGGAGGTAATAATCCCTCCACTGGCCCTGCAGCACTCTTACCAGCACTGAGCAGCTGATACCTCTTGCCACGCCTTTCTTCTGCCCTGCTCACTCGTTCCCTCCTGCCCAGGAAGATGCCAGACTTTATGGAAGAGCTGGGACTTTAACTGGAACTTGTGCAAAACAGGGTTTTAAAAAGATTAATCTGAGAGTAGCATGTTTACTGGAGAGAAGACAGGAAGACTTCATGGAAGTAACCCAGGACCAGAGGATAAAGGCCCAAACTGGTGGCAATAGGAAAAGACGGGATTGATGTTAGACATGTTTCTAAGAAAGAATTAGCCAGACTGACTTGGCAGAAAGAGAAAAGAAGAAGATGGATGTCTTTGAATTCTTAGAAATGCTTTGAAGATAAAAGCTCCACCTGGGGGAAAACACGAGAGACCTTTGAGGGTTCACCTTCCAGTAGGGTGACCAATTGTCTCAATTTGCCTAGGACTGAGAAAGTTCCCAAGACATGGGACTTTCAACTTCAAATTAGGATGGTCCTTGGCACACCAGATTGAGTTGGTCATCCTATTCCTGACCAGTGCCAGTATCATTCAGTGTGGTGTTGAATAAAAGCTTTTATATTTCTATGGGGCTCTTTTGACACTCCAAGTCAACTTGGCCTGGATCATCTTGAACAGGCATTTCAAAAAGCTGTTGGGATTTTAGTCAAAGGGGTTGAGACTTTTATAAGTAGGGCAGAATGCTACATATAAGAGTGGTTGGCCGGGCGCGGTGGCTCACGCCTGTAATCACAGCACTTTGGGAGGCCGAGGCAGGTGGATCACCTGAGGTCAGGAGTTCGAGACTAGCCTGGCCAACATGGCGAAACCCTGTCTCTACTAAAAATACAAAAAATAGCCAGACATGGTGGCAGATGGCTGTAATCCCAGCTACTCAGGAGGCTGAGGCAGGAGAATCGCTTAGAACCCGGGAGGCAGAGGTTGCAATGAGGTGAGATTGCACCATTGGATTCCAGCCTGGGTGACAGAGGGAGACTCTGTCTCAAAAAAAGAAAAAAAAAAAAAAAAAAAAAAAAAGAAAGTGGTAGGTGCCTGTGTCACAGCCAAGCTTCAGGCTTCCATTTTGGTGAGAAGCAAATTAAAAAAATAAAATGTTCAAATAATCTCAAATTTCAATGTACTTTCATGCTTCCCCCACCAAAAAAAAAATTGAAGTTCAATTTGCATAGATTAAAATGTTTTGCTCTTTCCTTCATGCTTTCTTTCCTGTTGGTGGATAATGTAAAGCTTACTGAAAATGACTCAAAGCAGGAATCAGACAAAGAGAAGATAAGAACAATCAGGAAAGAGGAGAACTTTGATGGTGAACAAATTGATTGCTGACCACTGAACTTAACTGTGAAATATCCAGAGACAAGTGTTTGGTAACCTCTCTTCTGTGGAATATGAATAATGAGCTGGAATTAAGTCCTCAAGACCTTTATACAACCAGAATAGATGTCGTGCATTTACATGAGAAGATAGAACCTCCTATAACTCTAGAACGGATTTATTTTTAATGGAGATGTTGTTGCAACAGATTTGTTTATTTAGGTTTCTAGCCATCTGCAAACTGGAGGCAATAAACCCAAAGTTTGTTTCTAGACTGATACAAGAACATCAGTGCAGAATGACTATGGATACTTTGATAGTACAGAAGGAGAGAAAAATAAAACACAAAAATTTGCCAAAGTAACAAAGGAAGCATAGTGGCCTGGGGCAATTTAATGTAGGGGCAACTCATTCTATGCATTTGTTATTGTTTTATACCCCTATGTAATGAGATAGTTTAAAGATGACCCTAAATCATCAAGAAAAAGTTAGATACATTTAGTGTACCTTGTTTGAGACCAAGGAAAGTATTTAACATTTTAGAAAGAATTTCCAACAAACTCTTACATTGAGTTTTCAGTTAATCTGAAAATTGACTTCTGTGGAATAACTTTATTCCATAAACTATCAATAAAGGAAATACTACATGTTTAAAACAAAATGAAATGGTGGAAACTAAGTGAGATTCGAGACTCTATGTTAGAGTACTAGGGACCCTGCATTTCTGAGAAAATTGACTTGCAATGTCCCTGTTCAGCTTGGGCTGTGCAATGAATGCCAACTGCAGGACAAAGCTGGGTCTTGCAGACGTCCTGTTGCCCTGACTGCCGGCAGAGAGCCATCAAAAGCTTCAGCGCAGCCCCAAGGGGTGCATATATTAAAGGAAAAACAAGAGCTATGCTCCAAAATGGCTTCATTTAAAATGCAAAGGGTAACAAGAGAGCAACATTTGGGGAAAGCCCAGCTCTCAGAAACAGGAAAGTAATACCGAATCTCGGTTAAAGTTGCTTGCTCTTGAACTAATTAGCTGAAGATTGAATTCAGCATGAGAAGTCAGAATGTGGGTTAAGAGTGAAGAAAAATGTTATTTTTCCTCTTAGGTACCAGCCTGGCACTTCAGAATGTAGTAGCAGGCAGCACATGAGACTCAGCCAATTTGATGAAATCACAAAATTGTAAAAAACACTGTGGCTGATTGAAAAGGGACTCTAGAGATGTAATGTGGGCCAGATGTTTGATAAAAGGCAGTTTTTATCTACTTTGGTGGTAGCCTCTTTGTAATAAGATATTGGCACATTTGTCATTAAGGAAAAATAAAGAGGAATGAATAATACAGAATCCAGTGGAACAGTAAATAATAAGTTCCCACCACTTTTGAAATACTATTCCTACCTAGAATTGATCTGCTATTTTTTTTTTTTTTACATCTCTTTTCTTGTTTTTCTAAGATGGGAGGTTTGTGGGAAATTATACATAAAAGAAGGAAGCGAAAATCTTTTGCTTTTGTTTTACTTGAGAGCCTTTAAGAAAAAGATGGAATTTATAAAGTCATATTTCCTATTGATGGCATCCTTCACAGGTTACAATCCCTTGACAGAACATGTCTGCAAATAACAAGATCTTATTTCTTAACAGGTCTGTGCTAGATTCAAAATTTTCGTGCCGAATTAACTGTGTAAACAAATTTGGAATTTCTATGTCACAAGGGAGTGAAAGTTTCCTACCTCTTTTTTTTGTAGATGGGTTCCCCACCTCCAAATCTGAAGAGTTCACATTTTCTGAATCTATGCTATTCCCTCAGTGTTGTTCCCTTTGACTCTTTCTGTGTGCATTCCATGTTAATTCTGCTGCTGCTTTTGGATTCTGAAGTATTCAGAGCCATAAGCAAGGGTATACAGTCTCAGAGAGAGTGACAATGCCCACAAATTGCAGAGCACACTTCAGCTGAGGGCTCCCAGCCCTTCTGGTCCTGCCCTGCCAAAGCCCAACTGTTATGTAAGATTCTCGTGCCCAGATCTCTGCCAAGCTTGGGGATTCTGTGAATTTCTCATTAGTCCATTGCAGAATAAAAGAAGAGGCAGGAAGAGTCTGTGCCAAATAAAGAGTTAGGAGAGAAATGGACTGATTGGGTATGGGCATCCATTGGCAGAGAGTGCTCACCTCAGCATCAGTTAAGAATCCACAGAAAAGCCAGGGGACCACATTGCAGGTCACCCGCAGGCTTTATCTTCTATGACTGACATTTAAACGGGAGAGCTCATTTGATGCTGTTCCAGGTTCGCTGCTGGGTGTTTCTAATTGTGTGTTTTAATTAATGTTTTTATTGTACTTGGTCCCAGAGACTGTTTCAACAGACCAGCATATATTTAGAACTCTCTAAATAAATAAATGTAAAACAAAGGAAAACTGACTCTGGTGGAATTGTGAGAATTACTGTTTCTAAAAAGATAGGGTAAAGTTTCAGACTCTACTGCTTGAAACCAACTCCTTGGCAATATCAGGGCCTGTCCACCTAAACACATCCTATGGGTATAGCAAAGCATGGCTTGAGACTCTTATCCAGTGTTTGGGTTTAGAAGTCTATACTCTGGGTCTTGAGACAGTTGGGAGACACTGTAAAATTTATTGTGTTGGGTTTTTTTTTCTGTATTTAACAAATAAATAGGGATATTGGCAGTGGTAGCAAATATCTGAGGCAACATTTATTTGCACCTGTGTAGGTCTCTTTCTGTTGCTAGGTAAAGAAGGTAACTAGAATTGGCTAGTTCCTTTGCACCCCTTATTGTTGTCTCTTGAATTTTGTTCTCCCCTTTAAAAGGGACAGTAACACCTGAGGGAGTGAATTTAATTCAATTCAGCAAATACTGAGCACTTCTTCATTCAAGCCAGGAGCTTGACTTTATGGTGGAAATGAGGTGTTTACAAGTTATAGGAAATGTATTTATAAGATACATCTTGCTTCTGAATATGTGCTGAGTTTGGAGTAGGTGAAAGCATATTTGATTTCTTCTTGTCAGAAACCATTATTAGTTAAATTCTTCAATTGTAATTTTCTTGGGGCCCTAGAGAGATCGTGAAAGTTACTCAGGAGCTGTAAGGCTGGAGTGTTAGCAAATTGGCAATAGTAATGAAGCCTGGTCCTGGACAGGAGAGTGAAGTTCTGAAGTCTATCTGGTTGTCTGCCATCACTTTTTGTGTTTCCTAATAGTGGCACCCTTTTCTTCCCTTTTCTCCATCTTCAAGGTGACCTAAATTAGTGGCTCTTGACCCTGGTTTGCAAAGAGAATTGAAAAAATACTGATGCCTGGGTTTCCTACGAAAGTCAACAAAAAGTGTCACGGCGATTCTATTGTGCAGCCAGGATGAGCCCCAGGTGCCTTTACCCACCTTCAGCACTCCTCTTCTGCATGCAGCATGGCAAGCTTGTCCTCAGGAAAATAACCTGCTTAAGTCACTCTAGTTCCTTGATTCTAAGATGCCACCGGTTCTGAGATATACTATAGATTGAATAACAGCTTTTTGATTAAAAAAAGAATGAACAAAAGGCCAGGCATGATGCCTCATGCATGTAATCCCAGCACTTTGGGAGGCCAAGGTGGGCAGATCATTTGAGGTCAGGAGTTCGAGACGAGCCTGGCCAACATGGTGAAACCCCATCTCTACCAAAAATACAAAAATTAGCCAGGCGTGGTGGCGGACACCTGTAATCCCAGCTACTCAGGAGGCTGAGGTAGGAGAATTGCTCAAACCCAGGAGGTGGAGGTTGCAATGAGCCAAGATCATGCCACTGCACTCCAGCCTGGGAGACAGAGTGAGACTCCATCTAAAAAAAAAAAAAAAAGAATGAACAAGAAAAAATATCACCACATTATGAGTACACCTTAATTTTAGGTCATGCCATGGTTTCAGAAATATTAAAATGTAAAACTCATGTAAATCTTGGAATAAAGAGAAAAATATAACATCACATTGGTTGAAAACAAAACTTTGCCTGCAGTTTTTTGATGGCTGTTTGCATTGTCAAAGAGGATGCTTTCAAAGCTAAAATATTGCAAATATTGCTTTTTTTAAGGACACATTTTTAAACTAGGTACTCTGCTAGGGAAAGGTTTCTGAATCTTGGCAGTATTGACAATTTGGGCTGGATACTTCTTTGCTGTGGGCAGCCGTCCTGTGCATTGTCAGATGTTCAGCAACCTCCCTGGCCTCTCTCTACCCACTTGATGCCAACAACACTTATTACCAACCACTCCCCCACCCAGCATCCAGCAGTCACAACCAAAAATATCTCTAGACATTGCCAAGTGTCCCCTGGGTAGGTGGCAAAATTATCTCTGGTTCAGAGCTGCTTGGCTAGTGGAATAGATATTTTAGGGGCAGTGGCTTGTATCAGTTAGCATTCAGTTGCAGAGAACAAACCCTACCGTAGCTGGCTCAAGCTGAAATGCATTAACGACAGAGTATTTAATGGTCTACAAAACCGGTCTGTGGGCTGAAGAAACAGACACTGGGCTGGAGCCTCCAGAAATGAGTTCTGAAGCTATACCACAACTGAATAATCAAAGGAACTGCTTCACTTGCCTTGATCTGGGCACTAGCAGTCAATGGAAAAGCTGTGGTCAGGAAGCCAATTCTGCTAAACTGGGAAGCTAAGAAGCCTTCTGCAGTAGCGGAAGGACAACTTGTGCCCAGCTTCTTTCCTTGCTTCACCCAGTTCTGAATTCAAGTTCTGAAAGTGCATTTGATAACGCAGCCTAAAACACCCCCAGACTGCAAGGGAGCCTGGAAGAAAAGTAGTTTTTAGCTTACCAGTCTCTGCAATTCACAGGAAGTCATTTTAGAAGGAGATTGGAATGGATATTGAATGAGCCCATTTTTGGTATCTTCCATAAGTCTCTTTCCAGAGATCCTCAACCCACACCAGCGGGTAACCACCTATTCTGGGCAATTGGGGTTGGCCAAAGTGTCCTCTTCACTCCCTATTTACTCATTTTATAATTAGTTATTTTCTTTTTTGTCTTTTTCCATTCTCATCCCTATTTTCTCTCTCATTACCATTCTTTTCACACCTCCTCCTTCTCTCACTCTCTAACTATAGACTTGAAGGTCTATAGTTTTCTGAGGACTTGAAGGTATTTCATACTTGGCCCTGTCCATGCACAGGACACGTGAAAAGTCTTTGTTGATGAGAGCTAAGGCCTAGGATACTTACCTGTCACAATCTGTGTCTCTAATCTGCTGAAGACACTATGGGAATAGATATTTTGGGGCACGGTTATATCTTTGAATAATATTTTCTCCATCTAGATGAATAGAGCACCAGGTAACATGAACAATCCCATTGTCTGATATGAAGTAAATGTTGATAAGTAGCCTTAAGTCCAAACAGGTAAGACTCAAACTATGTTTTCTGGCTCTGGGGTGGAGGCCTTTGCAATTTAAAAAACGACTCCTTATGGCTAGGAATAAGTGATTGCTTGTCTGATATATTTTTCTTCCAGTCTGTTGCAAAAATCTCCCAATTATTAATTTAGCTTATGGTATGGGGACTTTGACCCTAAGTTAAGATTCAGTCAATATCCTTAGGAGAGGTAAAAATACTACAAGTCATTTATTCATTAGTGCAGGGCAACCACATAAAATACAGGAGAACCAGTTATATTTGAGTTTCAAATAAGCAATGACAAATTTTAGTATAAATTATAGTAAAAGTATGTCCCAAATGTGGCATGGAACATACTTACACTAAAACATTATTTGTTCTTCATCTGCAATTCAAATTTAACTGGATGTCCTGTATTTGTTAAGTCTGATATGAATGAGATGATCAAGATATTTTTTGAGAAGGACAGGGGAAGAAGAAAACATGAGGATATTGGACTCCTGTGAGAAATAAAGATGAGCAAGTTGGGCTATGTACAGAAAGGAAGAGGGGTAACTCAAAAAATCCTGTTACTAAACTCACCCCAGTTATCAGTGACTGTTTACTAGACTTGCAAATGAAGCCCTGATTGGAAGATAAAGCCATATTGCTTCTCTGCAAATGTAGTCGCTTTCCTGCAGCATTTGCATCTGGTCCCAACGCGGCATTCAGTTGCCCGGGCCGAATATGCAAAGCTTTGAGGTAAGCAGAAGAGATGAGCAGCACAGGCACTGGATACCTTGGAGCCTTGTAATCTTGCTTGCACAACCTCCAGATTGCATGGTTCTTGGCTTTGGTGCAGTTGGGCACAATTTCAATGCACATCTATGGAGACCATGTCACAACAACAAAACAAACCAATGTAGCTGCGAGTTACATTAACAGCTTGAAAAAACAAGTCAACAGACTTGAAGACTGCTCTGGGAGCCCCTCCCTGGGAGTCAGCCTCTGGCAGAAGGGAGTTACTCCTTTTGGACATTTTTTCAGCTAAGATGATTCTATATGATCTGCATCTTGTCCCCTTCAAATATTTTATTTGTTTGTTTGTTTTTTGAGAGAATCCTTATTTGCTTTATGGTTGGTCATCGTTAGATCTTCCTGAGGTATGGAGTGGTCTGTATTGCATGCAAGTTTCTCATAAGAGATGACTTTTCACTCTTCTGATGTCACACCCAATGCAATGGTACATCCTTTCATAGGCTCTTATGTTACTGTTGGTCACAAACACATAGAGCCAGATTTTCCAAATCTTCTGATGCTTCAGTCACTGCCTGCTTGCAAATTGGTAGTTAGGAAGCATTTATACACCTTGCAGCAATATCTCATATGACAATTCTATAATAATTAGTTAGAGAAATGTTGCTACTTATGGAGAGTACATTAGTACACATAAATTAGGGCTGGTAACACCTTCCTTATTATTGAATTAAGAACAAACGGACTTCTTAAAGTATGTTCGTGGATCAGGCCCAGGAGTATGTGTGGATTGGAGGCTTGCCAATATCAGGAACCTCCTGTGCTCATATACTTTTTATTTCTGATTTTTATGAAAGATTTGATTTACGTGCCAATAACATCAGGGTGTGTGGGTGAACACACTGTGAGGAAGCCAGTGAAGAGAAGGAAACTGAAACATTTTGGAAGGGATCTTCTTAGCTGCTCAATGTGATTTCTTTAAAAACAAATGTAAGATATATTTATTTTGCATCTTCAGTTTTTAAAATATGATTTACATTTATTGTTAGACTCTCATATTTTACCTCAAAAATTTTCCCCTACATGTACAATACCTTGTAACAATTCTAATTTTTGTTTTGCTTAATAACTATAAACTTACACTTGTAAGAGAACAACAACAACAAAAACAGCAAACCATTTTCCTTATTTTTCTTCAGTTGTCTTTTTTTTTTTTTTTTTTTTTTTTAAACCCAGCCACCTCTGACTCATATCCTGGGCTATCTCAATTTGCACATGTTTCCAGAATTTTTAAAAGTTTTTTTTCCATTTTTATTATTTTCCCTAGTTGTTCTTTTTCCTATTATCCATTCCTCAACTCCTGTTTCCACATACCCTCCCTTTCTCTACCCTCTCTTCTAATTTCTCTAGACCTTTGGGGAAAGACACAACCTTCTTTTGCTCTTTTATCACAGAACTGTCATGAAGTTTTGCTCCAAGTCCCCCTAAAGTACATGGAACAGATTGCCCCAGCTCAAGGGAACTCTAGTGAGACATGGAATGACTTGGACTTGCAGGTGTGAAAGGGGATGGATTAGGATCTCTCTTAGGTCCATTCTTCCCTTAGGATACCATGATTCCATGAAGAAATACTTTTCAGATTGGTGGATCAGGTAAGCTCTTTTTGTTCATTTAGATTCTCCAACTCAAATATAGTTGAACCTCATAAGTTCCACTGAACTGAAAAACAAACAGACAAAAAAATTCCCAAGCCATAAGGAGATTTAGCTGTTTTTAGAGAGACCAAAAGATCAATACTATCAGATGGTCAGAAATCCTTATATTATCTGAGAGGAGATTAACTCTCAGAAGGGAGAGTAACTGTGGTGGGATTAACTCTGAATGTAACTAAAAGGCCTTTTTCCTATCACACCTTGGCTTTTCCCACCAATATGACAACTTTAAGCCTTCCTGGGAAATTAGAGGTCATCAATATCTACAGCAAGCCATGCCCTCCCTGGGATTCCTCTGGTGAGACTTCATTCAGGGTGAAAGAGCTGGAGCCTCTGTGAAACCATGCCCAGATGGGAGCTACTGGAAAGGGAGACTGCAGAGTTATATACCACAAGAGATAAGCATCAATTTGAATCTACTTATTTTGTTGAGGCGATTCATGTACTTGTTTGTTCCATAGCACACGTACTCTGTTCCAGGCACATTGTTAAACAGTGCCGAACAATGGTGAGCAAAGCCAGGTATGGTGCTCCCACCTTCCTGGAATATATAGTCTAGTGAGAAAGACAGTAACCACATGACCACAAATATACATGAAAAATTCTATCAGTCATAAGGGCTAAAAATGGGAAGTACATGGAGCTATTTGAGCATATAATATGTGGGTTTGACATAGTCATGAGACAATAGAAGAAAAGTGAAGGAAGAAGAGGACTTACTTGGAGGTTGCAGGTTGGGGTGAGCAGTTCCTGAGAGGCAGTGGCCAAGTGCTGAAGCTCCGGGATAGGAGGGATGGAGAGAACAGGCCAGTGCAGCTAGAATAGAGTGAGGATGAGCCAGCCACAGGGGACAGTAAGAAGAAGGGCAGCAGGGCCAGGTCATCCAGGGGCACAAAGGCCATGTTACAGATTATTTTGGTCTTAAATCCTAAGAACAATGAGAAGCCATCAAAATACTTTTGGGGGTAGGCTAGGAGAGGTGATCAGATTTACATGTCAAAAATATTTTACATTGACATCGTAGGAAACATCATGAGAATTATTAGAGGACCTCAAACATTTGAAACTCAGATATATTTTTTAAGAGCTAACATCCATTTTTGGCTTACTTCCTAGGTAATTGTGCACCTTGGGCAAATGTTTAATTTCTCCAAAGTCCAGTTATCATATCTCTCTAATGCCCTCATCAACTTTCCAGGGTGGTTGTGAGGATCAACTGGGGCCATAGGTGTGAAACATATTGAGAAGGGCAGACTGCTAAACAAGTAGACATTATTATTGAAACTTTTAGGAACCTTGAGCAATTATTATAGGAAAAAAAGCATGCAGAGGTAGCAGTTTTTGCTATGAATTACTGTGTTGCATTATATTTTTAGCTTAATGAACTTAGTATAGAGTTATTCCTAAAACTGAAATGGTTGCTAAGTTATGATAGAGAAGATAATAATGAGAGTTTCTTCTTTTTCTCTTTCAAGGGGGTCTTGCAAATGAGATATCATGTGTAAATGAAACAGGATATTTTGATCTCAATTTTTGATCTTGCTGTTTTGATTTTGTTATTTTGACTCCATCATGTTTACATTGAGGACATTTTGACCCCCCCATCTACTCTTTTCTCTACCACTAATAACAATATTAAGAATTATAATAGCTATTAAGTACTTACTACACACCAGATTCTGTTCTAGGTGCTCTGCATGTATTTTTTTCTTGTAATACTTTTGATAAAGCATATACTATTACTGGCCTGATTTTATAGATAAGAAAACTCAGTCACAGTCAGGTAGTTAGGTTAAGCAACTTGGCCAAAATAATTCAGTCAGTAACATAGTCAGTTCACAGGATACAAAAGTGATTAGAAGTATTCAAACCACCCAACTGGCTAACCATTAATGACGGGTCAATCCTGGATTAGTTGAGAGAAATTTCTCACAATATTATCATGAATCAACAGTTATTTCTAATCAATAATGAATATTACAGAAATACATAATGAATAAGAAATAATTATAATAATTAAAACATCACAGATAAAATGTATTTTTTACTAAATTTAAGAGATAAATAAAATATTCTTAGCAAAACGTAGATGGCAAAATTCTTACTTGGTATGAAAAAGCAGTCACAAAAAGAAAGCAAAATGGCCAAAGATAAAATCAGTAGAATCAGGAAAACCAGATATAGATGAAAACCTCATAAATGAAAAAAATCTTTGTTGTAAAATTTATCCCCAAGAGAATGGACCTGATAAAAAATAGTATCAGAAAATAAAAAGAAAAATGGAAATATTAGAAATACTGTAAGTATGTGTGCAGAAACTTGGTCAAAGAATTATAATGATTTGGGGGGTGGAGCAAAGATGGCCCAATAGGAACAGCTCCAGTCTACAGCTCCCAGTGTGAGCGATGCAGAAGGCGGGTGATTTCTGCATTTCCAACTGAGGTACCGGGTTCATCTCACTGGGGAGTGCCGGACAGTGGGCTCAGCGCACCATGCGTGAGCTGAAGCAGGGTGAGGCATCGCCTCACCAAGGAAGCACAAGGGGTCAGGGAATTCCCTTTCCTAGTCAAAGAAAGGGGTGACAGACAGCACCTGGAAAATTGGGTCACTCCCACCCTAATACTGCGCTTTTCCAACGGGCTTAACAAACAGCACACCAGGAGATTATATCCTGCACCAGGCTCGGAGGGTCCTACGCCCACCGAGCCTCGCTCATTGCTAGCACAGCAGTCTGAGATCAAACTGCAAGGCTGCAATGAGGCTGGGAGAGGGGCGCCCACCATTGCCGAGGCTTGAGTAGGTAAACAAAGCGGCCAGGAAGCTCAAACTGGGTGGAGCCCACCACAGCTCAAGGAAGCCTGCCTGCCTCTGTAGGCTCCACCTCTGGGGGCAGGGCACAGACAAACAAAAGGCAGCAGTAACCTCTGCAGTCTTAAATGCCCCTGTCTGACAGCTTTGAAGAGAGTAGTGGTTCTCCCAGCACACAGCTTGAGATCTGAAAATGGGCAGACTGCCTCCTCAAGTGGGTCCCTGACCCCCGAGTAGCCCAACTGGGAGGCACCCCTCAGTAGGGGCAGACTGACACCTCACACGGCCGGGTACTCCTCTGAGACAAAACTTCCAGAGGAACGATCAGGCAGCAGCATTTGCGGTTCACCAATATCAGCTGTTCTGCAGCCACCACTGCTGATACTCAGGCAAACAGGGTCTGGAGTGGACCTCAGCAAACTCCAACAGACCTGCAGCTGAGGGTCCTGACTGTTAGAAGGAAAACTAACAAACAGCAAGGACATCCACACCAAAAACCCATCTGTACGTCACCATCATCAAAGACCAAAGGTAGATAAAACCACAAAGATGGGGAAAAAACAGAGCAGAAAAACCGGAAACTCTAAAAATCAGAGCACCTCTCCTCCTCCGAAGGAACGCAGCTCCTCACCAGCAATGGAACAAAGCTGGATGGAGAATGACTTTGACGAGTTGAGAGAAGAAGGCTTCAGAAGATAAAACTACTCCAAGCTAAAGGAGGAAGTTCGAAGCAACGTCAAAGAAGTTAAAAACTTGAAAAAAAATTAGACGAATGGCTAACTAGAATAACCAACGCAGAGAAGTCCTTAAAGGACCTGATGGAGCTGAAAACCACGGCACGAGAACTACGTGACAAATGCACAAGCCTCAGTAGCAGATGCGATCAACTGGAAGAAAGGGTATCAGCGATGGAAGATGAAATGAATGAAATGAAGTGAGAAGAGAAGTTTAGAGAAAAAAGAATAAAAAGAAATGAACAAAGCCTCGAAGAAATATGGGACTATGTGAAAAGACCTAACCTACATCTGATTGGTGTACCTGAAAGTGACGACGAGAATGGAAGCAAGCTGGAAAACACTCTGCAGGATATTATCCAGGAGAACTTCCTCAATCTAGCAAGGCAGGCCTACATTCAAATTCAGGAAATACAGAGAACACCACAAAGATACTCTTCGAGAAGAGCAACTCCAAGACACATAATTGTCAGATTCACCAAAGTTGAAATGAAGGAAAAAATGTTAAGGGCAGTCAGAGAGAAAGGTCGGGTTACCCACAAAGGGAAGCCCATCAGACTAACAGCGGATCTCTCAGCAGAAACTCTACAAGCCAGAAGAGAGTGGGGGCCAATATTCAACATTCTTAAAGAAAAGAATTTTCAACCCAGAATTTCATATCCAGCCAAACTAAGCTTCATAAGTGAAGGAGAAATAAAATACTTCACAGACAAGCAAATGTTGAGAGATTTTGTCACCATCAGGGCTCCCTAAAAGAGCTCCTGAAGGGAGCACTAAACATGGAAAGGAGCAACCGGTACCGGCCACTGCAAAAACATGCCAAATTGTAAAGACCTTCAAGGCTAGGAAGAAACTGCATCAACTAATGAGCAAAATAAGCAGCTAACATCATAATGACAGGATAAAATTCACACATAACAATATTAACCTTAAATGTAAATGGGCTAAATGCTCCAATTAAAAGACACAGACTGGCAAATTGGATAACAAGTCAAGACCCATCAGTGTGCTGTATTCAGGAAACCCATCTCACGTGCAGAGACACACATAGGCTCAAAATAAAGGGATGGAGGAAGATCTACCAAGCAAATGGAAAACAAAAAAAGGCAGGGGTTGCAATCCTAGTCTCTGATAAAACAGACTTTAAACCAACAAAGATCAAAAGAGACAAAGAAGGCCATTACATAATGGTAAAGGGATCAATTCAACAAGAGAGCTAACTATCCTAAATATATATGCACCCAATACAGGAGAACCCAGATTCATAAAGCAAGTCCTGAGTGACCTACAAAGAGACTTAGACTCCCACACAATAATAATGGGAGACTTTAACACCCCACTGTCAACATTAGACAGATCAACGAGGTAGAAAGTTAACAAGGATATCCAGGAATTGAACTCAGCTCTGCATGAAACAGACCTAATAGACATCTACACAACTCTCCACCCCAAATCAACAGAATATGCATTGTTTTCAGCACCACACCACACCTATTCCAAAATTGACCATATAGTTGGAAGTAAAGCGCTCCTCAGCAAATGTAAAAGATCAGACATTATAACAGTCTCTCAGATCACAGTGCAATCAAACTAGAACTCAGGATTAAGAAACTCACCCAAAACCACTCAACTACATGGAAACTGAACAACCTGCTCCTGAATCACTACTGGGTACATAACAAACTGAAGGCAGAAATAAAGATGTTCTTTGAAACAAGTGAGAACACAACATACCAGAATCTCTGGGACACATTAAAGCAGTGTGTAGAGGGAAATTTATAGCACTAAATGCCCACAAGGAAAAGCAGGAAAGATCCAAAATTGACACCCTAACATCACAATTAAAAGAACTAGAGAAGCAAGAGCAAACACATTCAAAAGCTAGCAGAAGGCAAGAAATAATTAAGATCAGAGAAGAACTGAAGGAAATAGAGACACAAAAAACCCTCAAAAAATCAATGGATCCTGGCGCTGGTTTTTTGAAAAGATCAACAAAATTGACAGACCACTAGCAAGACTAATAAAGAAGAAAAGAGAGAAGAATCAAATAGACGCAATAAAAAATGATAAAGGGGATATCACTACCGATCCCACAGAAATACAAACTACCATCAGAGAATACTATAAACACCTCTACGCAAATAAACTAGAAAATCTAGAAGAAATGGATAAATTCCTCGACACATACACCCTCCCAAGACTAAACCAGGGAGAAGTTGAATCTCTGAATAGACCAATAATAGGCTCTGAAATTGAGGCAATAATTAATAGCTTACCAACCAAAAAAAGTCCAGGACCAGATGGATTCACAGCCGAATTCTACCAGAGGTGCAAGGAGGAGCTGGTACCATTCCTTCTGAAACTACTCCAATCAATAGAAATAGAGGGAATCCTCCCTAACTCATTTTATGAGGCCAGCATCCTCCTGATACTAAAGCCTGGAAGAGACACAACCAAAAAAGAGAATTTTAGACCAATATCCTTGATGAACATTGATGCAAAAATCCTCAATAAAATACTGGCAAACCGAATCCAGCAGCAAATAAAAAGCTTATCCACCATGATCGAGTGGGCTTCATCATCCCTGGGATGCAAGGCTGGTTCAACATATGCAAATCAATAAATGTAATCCAGCATATAAACAGAAACAAAGACAAAAACCACATGATTATCTCAATAGATGCAGAAAAGGCCTTTGACAAAATTCAACAACCTTCATGCTAAAAACTCTCAATAAATTAGGTTTTGATGAGACGTATCTCAAAATAATAAGAGCTATCTATGACAAACCCACAGCCAATATCATACTGAATGGACCAAAACTGGAAGTATTCCCTTTGAAAACTGGCACAAGACAGGGATGCCCTCTCTCACCACTCCTATTCAACACAGTGTTGGAAGTTCTGGCCAGGGCAATCAGGCAGGAGAAGGAAATAAAGGGCATTCAATTAGGAAAAGAGGAAGTCAAATTGTCCCTGTTTGCAGATGACATGAGTGTATATCTAGAAAACCCCATCATCTCAGCCCAAATTCTTCTTAAGCTGATAAGCAACTTCAGCAAAGTCTCAGGATACAAAATCAATGTACAAAAATCACAAGCATTCTTATACACCAATAACAGACAAACAGAGAGCCAAATCATGAGTGAACTCCCATTCACAATTGCTTCAAAGAGAATAAAATACCTAGGAATCCAACTTGCAAGGGATGTGAAGGACCTCTTCAAGGAGAACTACAAACCACTGCTCAATGAAATAAAAGTGGATACAAACAAATGGAAGAACATTCTGTGCTCATGGGTAGGAAGAATCAATATTGTGAAAATGGCCATACTGCCCAAGGTAATTTATAGATTCAATGCCATCCCCATCAAGCTACCAATGACTTTCTTCACAGAATTGGAAAAAACTGCTTTAAAGTTCATATGGAACCAAAATAGAGCACACATTGCCAAGTCAATCCTAAGCCAAAGGAACAAAGCTGGAGGCATCATGCTACCTGACTTCAAACTATACTACAAGGCTACAGTAACCAAAACAGCATGGTACTAGTACCAAAACAGAGATATAGAACAATGGAACAGAACAGCGCCATCAGAAATAATGCCGCATATCTACAACTATCTAATCTTTCACAAACCTGACAAAAACAAGCAATGGGGAAAGGATTCCCTATTTAATAAATGGTGCTGGGAAGACTAGCTAGCCATATATAGAAAGCTCAAACTGGATCCCTTCCTTACACCTTATACAAAAATGAATTCAAGATGGATTAAAGACTTACATGTTAGACCTAAAACCATAAAAACCCTAGGAGAAAACCTAGGCAATAAGGTTCAGGACATAGCCATGGGCAAGGACTTCATGTCTAAAACACTAAAAGCAATGGCAACAAAAGCCAAAATTGACAAATGGGATCTAATTAAACTAAAGAGCTTCTGCACAGCAAAAGAAACTACCATCAGAGTGAACAGGCAACCTACAGAATGGGAGAAAATTTTCGCAACCTACTGATCTGACAAAGGGCTAATATCTAGAATCTACAATGAACTCAAATTGACAAGAAAAAAACAGCCCCATCAAAGAGTGGGTGAAGGACATGAACAGACACTTCTCAAAAGAAGATATTTATGCAGCCAAAAAACACATGAAAAAATGCTCACCATCACTGGCCATCAGAGATATGCAAATCAAAACCACTATGAGATACCATCTCACACCAGTTAGAATGGCAATCATTAAAAAGTCAGGAAACAACAGGTGCTGGAGAGGATGTGGAGAAATAGGAACACTTTTACACTGTTGGTGGGACTGTAAACTTGTTCAACCATTGTGGAAGACAGTGTGGCGATTCCTCAGGGATCTAGAACTAGAAATACCATTTGATCCAGCCATCCCATTACTGGGTATATACCCAAAGGATGATAAATCATGCTGCTATAAAGACACATGCACACCTATGTTTATTGCGGCACTATTCACAATAGCAGAGACTTGGAACCAACCCAAATGTCCAACAATGATAGACTGGATTAAGAAAATGTGGCACATACACACCGTGGAATACTATGCAGCCATAAAAAAGGATGAGTTCATGTCCTTTGTAGGGACGTGGATGAAGCTGGAAACCATCATTCTCAGCAAACTATCTCAAGGACAAAAAACCAAACACCGCATGTTCTCACTCATCGGTGGGAATCGAACAATGAGAACACATGGACACAGGAAGGGGAACATCACACACCGGGGCCTGTTGTGGGGTGGGGGAAGGGGGAGGGATAGCATTAGGAGATATACGTGATGCTAAATGACAAGTTAATGGGTGCAGCACACCAACATGGCACATGTATACATATGTAACAAACCTGCAAGTTGTGCACATGTACCCTAAAACTTAAAGTATAATGATAATATAATTAAAAAAAAATTATAATGATTTAGTGAAATTTACTTCAGTATATCTCTCACCATAAAAAGGTGATCAAAATAGCACAGAGTACACTCTTGCCACTTCTAGTCACCATAGTACTGGAAGTTCAAACCAGAACAATTAGACAAGAAAAAAATAAAAAGCATCCAAATTGGAAAGGAAAAAGTAAAATCATCTCTATCTGTAGACAATTCTAAGGACTTAGAAAACTATTTGAACTATAAAAGAATTCTGTAAAGTTGCAAGTTACAAAGTCAACATACAAAACTCAGTTCTATTTCTATACACAAACCACGAATTGCATACAAAATTAACTGAAAAATCAATTCTATTCACAGTAGCAGCAAAAGAATGAAATACACAGGAATAAACTAAAAAAAGAAGTGAAACACTTTTAGACTGAAAATTATAAAACTAATGAAGGAAGTGAAATAAAACACAGATAAATGAAAAGACATCCTGTGTTTATGGATTGGAATAACTAATATTATTAAAATGTGCATACTATCTAAAGTGATCTATAGAGTCAATGCAATCCCAATTAAAATCTTCACAGAAATAGAAAAAAATCTTAAAACTTATATGGAACTACAAAAACCCTGAAAAACAATAGGAATCTTGAACAAAAAGAACAAAGCTGAAGGCATCACACTTCCTGATTTCAAAATATATTATAAACTGATAGTAATCCAAACAGCATAGTACTGGCATAAAAACAGACATAGACCAGTGAAATAGAATGGAGGGACCAGAACTAAATCTACAC
This sequence comes from Homo sapiens, assembly GCF_000001405.40. Classification (NCBI taxonomy): domain Eukaryota; kingdom Metazoa; phylum Chordata; class Mammalia; order Primates; family Hominidae; genus Homo; species Homo sapiens. Next base: position 55,820,926 of record NC_000002.12, read on the forward strand.
ATTATAGTCAACTGATCTTCAATAATGGTGCCGAGAACACACAATAGGGAAAGGATCACATCTTTAATAAACAGTGTTGGGAAAATTGGATATCCACAGGTAGAAGAATGAAATTGGACCCTTATCTCATATCATATACAAAATGAACTGAAAATGGATTAGTGAGTTAAGTGTAAGACCTGAAACCACAGAACTACTGCAAGGAAACATAGTGAAAAAGCTTCTTGACATTGGTCTGGGCAATGATTTTTTGGATATTACACCAAAAGCACAAGCAACAGAAGTAAAAATAGACAAGTAGGATTGCATCAAACTAAAAGTTTCTTCACAGCAAAGAAAAAAACCAATAGAGTGAAAAGACAATCTAGAGCATAGGAGAAAATATTTGCAAACTATATATCTGATAACTGGTTAATTTCCAAAATATATAAAGAATAACTCTTACAAATCAATAGCAAGAAAACAAACATCCTGATTTAAAAAATGGGAAGGACTTGAACAGATGTTTCTCAAAGAGAAGACAATAAAATGGCCAATGGCTATGTAAAAAGATGCTCAACATCACTAGTCATCAGGGAAATGCAAATCAAAACCATATGGTAACACCCCACACCTGTTAGAGGGGCTACTATCAAAAAGACAAAGTATAACAAGTGTTGGCAAGGACGTGGAGAAAAGGGAGCCCTTGTACACCATTGGTGAGAATGTAAATTGGCATAGCCATTATGAAAAATAGTATGGAGGGTCCTTAAAAAAATTAAAGATAGAATTACCATATGATCCAGCCATTTCACTTCTGGGTATAAATCCAAAGGAACTGAAATCAGTATCTTGAAGAGATATTTGCACTCCCATATTCTTTGCAGCATTATTCGCAATAGCAGAGAAATGGAAACAACTTAAATGTCGCTGAGAGATGAATGGATAAATAAAATGTGGTCTATATTATATACAATGGAATATTCTTGAGCCTTAGAAAAGAAGAAAAGCTGCCATTTACAATAATATGGAGTAACCTGGAGGACATTATGCTAAGTGAAATAATCTGGACACAGAAAGGCAAATACTGCATGGTTTCATTTATATCTGATATCTAAAATAGTCAAACTCACAGAAGCAGAGTAGAATGGTGGTTGCCAGGGGATCGGGGGAGGGAGAAATGGAGAGATGTTGATTGAAGGTTATAAAGTTTTAGTTTTGCAAGATGAATAAGTACTGGAGATCTAATGCACAGCAATGTGACTATAGTTAAAAATACTGTATTATACACCTGAACTTCCAAGACAGTAGATGTTTTTCAGCCCCTCACTCCCAACACACACACCAAAGTAACTATATGAGGGAATGGATATGTTAATTAGCTTGATTATGGTGATTGTTTCATAATGTATATAAAAATATCAAGTTGTATACTTCAGCTATATACAATTTTAAGGCAATAAAAAATGCAGAGTAAAATTGACAACACTCAAACAGTGTGGTAAAATTATTTGGGACCTATTTTTGAATTTTTAGGTATATTTTATCAGCATCTAATATGAGGTCCTGTTCATCACAAGTACTTTGCTAATTGGCATGCCTAGTTTACTTCTTTTTCTTTAAGTCAAGTTTTCATTTTATCTTATTTGGAAAACTAGTAAAAAATTAACTAGTCGGGACCCATAGCCAACCTGGAAAGGAAGAGCTAAAAACTGGCTGATCTTTAACATTTAATCAATAAGTAACTCTCTTATTTCTGCTTGTACATAATGTAGATATTTGTTTGGGACTGCTATTTACTAGTTAGTCACATTATAGTCATCTAATAAATTCCATTGAATTAAATTAAATTATTTTGAAAGTGAACTTAAAAATTTTGACAGTGATTCATAATTTGGAGGATTCTGATCAGCTTAAAAGTACAAGATAAGTATTTGACAAAGAAGTCATTTCCTATTTTGTCCGTTAAAAAAATTCATATTCCATTTCAAAGGGCTCACCTAGAGTGATAGTTAATTTCCCATTGATAAAATAAGTGGTCACTATCAAAATCTTTCATTTACTCTTAACAGAAAGTAAACCCATTTCCAATCTGCATGAGTTGTTCTGAAACTAAGCATGATTTCCACTAATAAATTATGAGAAATACAACAAGTTATGAATGATGACCAAAAGATACAGATGCTAAATGTTTAGTTAAAAAAAAGCAATCTTGTAAAGAAAAAAATCCAAGTTCTTGAAAAATGTTAAAATAAGTGCAGAGCTTTAGTTCTTAAGCTGGGAGCAGTCATATTAATTAGTTATAAAAATTAGCAATTGAAATAAAATGCAGCACATCAATAGAAAAGGCCGCTTGAGAATTGTGAGTCGAAATTATTCTACTGTTTTAGGTCAGAAATTTTATGACATACTATAAAATAAGGAAATTTCCAAATTCTGTATGTAGAATGAAACTTTTTTGAAGTTCTGGGAAACTGATTTGCAAATCACTTTCATGTATGTTGTTTACTTGTGTATGTTAAGCCTAAACCTAGGCAGTGCAGCCTAGTAGTGAAGAGGAAGCTACTGGAGCCTGACTGATTAGATCCAAATGCTTGCATTCTCATTTATCAGCTACAGGACCTCCAAGACCTTGGGAAATTACTTAACCTCTTCAAGCTTTGGCTTCGTCATTTCTAAAATGGGGATAACAGTCCTACTTCACAGGATTTTAGTCAGGATTAGATGTCATAATGCATCTAAAAATTTCTACTTATTATTATTACTGCTAGCTATAGGAGAGAATGCTCTGGCTTAATCCAAATAACTTTCTATTCATTTTAACATATAGTTGGTGTCTTGAGAATGTTCTTTCCTGCCTAAATTATTTAATCTTTATGTCCATGTTCTTCCTAAAGGCCTCTGAGTCAGCTGTGGGCTGTGTGTGTGTTTGGTGTGATTAAGATTAGAAAATGGAAAATATATTGTGGATCCCTCTACTTAAGATGGCTGACTAGGCCAGGGGCGGTGGCTCGTGCCAATCCCAGCAGCACTTTAGGAGGACCGACGGGACAAGTGCTTGATCCCAGGAGTTCGAGAGTAGCCTGGGCAACAAAAGGAAACGCCATCTCTACAAGAAATTAAAAAAAAAAAAGCCAGGCCTGGTGTTGCGTGCCTGCCGTCCTAGCTACTCCCGAGGCTGAGGCGGGAGGATCACTTGAGCTCGGGAGGTTGAGGCTGCAGTAACTCGAGATCTCGCCACTGCACTCCAGCTTCTGCGACAGAGCGAGACCGTGTCAAAAAAAAAAAAAAAAAAAAAGGCTGACTAGAAACAGCTAGTGTGCGCCACTCTCACAAACAGAAGAAAGTGGTAAGTAGACACTACCTCTTTTTTTTTTGTTGTTTGTTTTTGAGACGGAGTCTCGCTCTGTCGCCTAGACTGGAGTGCAGTGGCGCAATCTCGGCTCACTGCAAGCTCCGCCTCCCGGGTTCACGCCACTCTCCTGCCTCGGCCTCCGGAGTAGCTGGGACTACAGGCGCCCGCCACCACGCCTGGCTAATTTAGCTCTTTAACTAGATCATCCAGGTGGACACTCTGGGATTCAGCGAGGAAACAACACAACCCACGGAGAACAAAGACGAGTAAGACAGGAGAGCCTCCCACCAGGAGTGGTACGGAGCCAGGAGAGGCCCCCAACATGGGGAAATGGTGAGTGAGTCAGAGTGCCTGGGGACCCACACTTCTGCCAGGGGACTTTTGCAACACTGGGCTCAGGAGAACACCCATGACCTCTCCCAACCGGGGCCTGCAGACTGACAGGGAGAGCTAGGTGGAGTCTGGGTGGAGCCGCCACTCAGGCACATGCAGAGTGCTGGTGGCCTTGGATCCCAGGGCAACCCAACACCAGCGGCTGCAGTTCCGGCAACAGGGAAGGTCAGGCTCCTTCCCACACCACCAAGATAGAGACCACACCCACGGGGCTGTGCAGTGGACAAACTGCAGGGCTCACCTGCACTGCACCTCCTCAGACAAGGTCCACTGGCCTGGGACCTTAGCGTAGCCACCCAGCGCCAGCTGATCTCTCAGGCCACTAGCTGCTCTGCGCTTCCCTGGGACGGAGCTCCCAGAGGTAGCAGGCAGGCCGCCATTTTCGCTGCTCCACAGCAGTCCCTCCTGTTGCCCTCAGGCTCTGGAGGGAGCACCGTGATTACGCACTCACAGGGACCCCCAGTACAGCACAGCTGCCTTACAGTAAAGCGGCCAGATTGTTTTCCACATGGGTCCCCAGCCCAGCGCCTTCTCACTGGGCAGGGCCTCTTGACCTGGAATCCCAGCCACCCCTTGCTTGGACCATTGGGCTGGTAACAGTTCTGCACTTCCCTGAGATGGAGCTCCCAGAAGTAGCAGGTGGGTCGCCATTTTCGCTACTCCACAGCCCTTGCTCCTGTTGCCCTCAGGCTGAGGAGTGCAGTGATTAGGGACTCACGCGGGGCTCCAGCACAGTGCAGCTGCCTTACGGAAAAGGAGCCAGACAGTTTTCCATGCGGGTCCCTGCCCCTGCTACTCCTCACTGCGCAGGATCTCTTGACTTGGGACCCCAGCACAGCCACCCTGCCCCTGCTTGAACACTTCCGTTGGTGGCAGCTCTGCGTTTCTCTGGGGAGGAAATCCCAGACATGATCCACAGTCCCTCGGTCACTGAAGCTGCAGTGGTATTGCCCTTATTGCCCTCAGGCTGGGGAAGAAACAAAGGACCTGGTTGCCTCGCTGGAACCTCCAGCATGCTGCAGCCACCATACAGAGAGGAGCCCAGTCTCTCTTCTCTGTGAGCCCCTATCTCCCACCCTTCACCAGGCAGGGCCCCCCAGCTCGGGACCACAGAGCAGCTACCTCACCCCCAGCTGAGCATTTCCACTGGTAGTGGCTCTGTGTTTCCCTGGGGTGGAGCTCCCTGAGGCAACCGACAGCCCCGACAGCCCCATTGCCACTGCAGTGGTTCTGCCCTTGCTGCCCTAGGACTGAGGAAGGAACAAAGGGCCTGAGGGATTTACTTGTGGCACCAGCATGTCAAAGTCACCATATGGAGGGGATCCCAGTCTGCGCTCCCTGTGAACCCCCAACTGCCTGCTCTTCACCAGTTGCCCCCTACCTTGGGCCAGCTGCACAGACACCCCACCCCCTGACTGAACATTCCCATTGGCAGCAGCTCTGCATTTCTCTGAAGTGGAGCTCCCAGAGGCAACTGAAAGCCCCTCTGCCACTGCCACTGCAGTGGTACTGCCACTGCAGTGGTACTGCTCCTGCTGCCCTTGGACTGAGGAAGGAACAAAGACTCTAACTGCTTTACCTACACCTCCAGCAAGCTACAGCTGCCCTAAGGAGAAGCCAGTCCACCTCCCTTATGAGCCGCCTGCACCCTCCTGCTCATCACCAGGGAGGGCCTCCAGGCTTGGGCCCACAACATGGCTGCCCCACCCCGGACTGATTGCACCAATTGGTAGTGGCTCTGCATTTCTTTGGGATGGAACCCCAAGACACAAGTGAAAGGCCCTCTGCCACACCACTGCCAAGGTCCCTTCCCCCGCTGCCTCCAAGCTGGGGAGGGAACGTAAAACCTGAGCTGGCTCGAGGGCTGCAGTGTGCAGCCCAGGAGTGCCAAGCCAAGATCTGCAGCCAGCACTTGAGGGGAAGAGGAGCCCGCACTCTAAGAGCACTGAGAGAAAGCACAGCTGCAAACATGAGGAGATGCAGAAGAGCCATGTGACTGAGCAAGAGCCTACCTACTGGCCATTACGTTAACCGCCATCTACCCGATCGCAGTCTAAAGTTCAACACCAAAAATACTTTGCTAATACAACCCCTCATGAAACCAAGGACAAGAATTCAGCTAAAAATAAAGACCCTGCACAAAACTTTGGCATGCTGAAAACATTCAGAAATGAAGTCAGCTGATTATATTTTCAAATTACACTACAGTTAAGGAACATCAGCTCACACAGATGAGAAAGAATCAGTGCAAGAACTCTGGAAACTCAAGCCTAGAGTGTCTTTTTTCCTTCAAATGACTGCACTGGTTCCCTAGCAAGGGTTCTTAACCAGGTTGAAATGGCTAGAATGACGGACATAGAATTCAGAATATGGATAGGAATGAAGATCATTGAAATTCAGGGGAAAGTCAAAACTCAATCCAAGGAATGTAAGGATTACAATAAAATGATACAGGAGCTGAAAGACAAAATGGCCATTATAAGAAAGAACTGATCTGATAGAGGTGAGAAACACACTACAAGAATTTCATAATGCAATCACAAGTATTTATAGCAGAATAGACCAAGCTGAGGAAAGAATCTCAGCACTCAGACTGGGTCTTCAATTTAACTCAGTCAGACAGAAATAAAGAAAAAAGAGTAAAAAAAAATGAACAAAACCTCCAAGAAATATGAGATTATGTGAAGAGACCCAACCTGTAATCACCCAACAGTTTCACCTTGTCTGCTGCCTAAACAGCTGATTTATCAAGACAAGGGAATTGCAATAAAGAGTCATTCATGCAGAGCCGGCTGTGCGGGAGACCAGAGCTTTATTATTACTCAAATCAGTCTCCCTGAGAATTTGGGGATTGGAGTTTTTAAGGATAATTTGGTGGGTGGGGGTGGGGCCAGTGAATCAGGAGTTCTGATTGGTCAGGTTGGAGATGAAATCATAGGGAGGTAAAGCTGTCCTCTAGTGCTGAGTCAGTTCCTGAGTCAGACCAGATGGTCCAGTTTATTGATCTAGGTGGAGCCAGCTGATCCATCTAGTACAGGGTCTGCAAAATATCTCAAGCACTGATCTTAGGTTTTATAATAGTGGTGTTATCCCCAGGAGCAATTTGGGGAGGTTTAGAATCTTGCAGCCTCCAGCTGCATGACTCCTAAACCATAATTTCTAATCATGTGGCTTATTTGTTAGTCCTACAAAGACAGTCTATTCCCCAGGTAGGAAGGGGGTTTGTTTGGGGAAAGAGCTTTATCATCTTTGTTTCAAAGCTGAACTATAAACTAAGTTCCTCTCAAAGTTAGTTTGGCCTATGCCTAGAAATGAACAAGGACAGCTTGGAGGTTAGAGGCAAGATGGATTCGGTTAGGTCAAATCTCTTTCACTGTCTCAGTTATAATTTTGCAATGACCATTTCAAACTTATGACTCATTGGTGTCCCTGAAAGAGAGGGAGAAAAAATATGCAACTCTGAAAACATATTTGAGGATATTATTTACAAACATTTTTTCAACCTTGTTAGACCAACATTTAAATTCAGGAGATGCAGAGAACCCCTGTGAGATATTATACAAGATGATCATTCCCAAGACATATAATCAGATTCTCTAAGGTTGACATGAAAGAAAAAATATTAAAAGCAGCTAGAAAGACAGGGCATGTCACCTATTAATACAAAGGGAAACCCATTAAGATAACAGTAGAATTTTCACTAGAAACTCTATAAGCCAGAAGAGATTGTGGGCCTGTATTCAACATTCTTAAAGAAAAGAAACTTCAACCAAGAATTTCACATCTAGTCAAACTAAGCTTCATAAGTGAAGAAAAAATAAGGTCCTTTTCAGAAAACCAAATGCTAAGGGAATTCGTTACCACCAGACCTGCCTGCCTTACAAAAGGTACTTAAGGGAATGCTAAATATGGAAACAAGAGACTATTACCAGCCACCACAAAAACACACTTAAGTATATAGACCATTAACACTATAAAGCAACCACACAATCAAGTCTGCATAATAACCAGCTAATGACATGATGACAGGATTGAATCTGCACATATCAATATTAACTTTTAATGTAAACAGGCTAAGTACTCCAATTAAAAGGCACAGAGTTGCAAGTTGGATAAAGAAGCAAGACCTGGCTGTATGATGTCTTCAAGAGACCCATTTCACATGCAATGACACCCATAGGCTCAAAGTAAAGGGATGGAGAAAAATCTATCAAGCAAATGGGAAACAAAAAATCAGGTTGCTTATTCTAATTTCAGACAAATCAGACTTTAAGCCAATAATGATTTGAAAAGACAAAGAAGAGTATTATATAGTGGTAAAATGTTCAATTGAACAAGAAGATGTAACTATCCTAAATATATTTTCCCCCTATACAGGAGCACCCAGATTCATGAAGCAAATTTTTAGAGACCTAGAAAGAGACTTAGATAACCACACAATAATAGTGGGAGAATTCAACACCCCACGACAGTATTAGACAGATCATTGAAGCAGAAAACTAATGAAGATATTTGGGACCTGACCTTGACACTTGACCAAATGGGCCTAACAATTATCTACAGAAGTCTTCACCCAAAAACAACAGACTATACATTCTTCTTCTCATGTGCACATGGCACATACTCTAAAATTAACCACACAATTGGCCATAAAACAGTCCTCAGCAAATTCAAAAAAACTGAAATATGAAATACATTCTCAGATCGTGGAACAATTAAAATGTAAATCAACACTAAGAAATCACTCAAAACTATACAAGTATATGAAAAATTAAACAACCTGCTCCTGAATGACTTTTGGGTAAAAAATGAAGTTAAGGCAGAAATCAAGAAATTCTTTGAAACTAATGAGAACAAAGATATTACATACCAGAATCTCTGGGACACAGCTAAGGGAGTATTAGGAGGCAAGTTTATAGTGCTAAAGGCTCACTTAAAAAAGAAAGATCTCAAAGTAACAACCTAACATCACATCTAGAGGAACTAGAGAAACAAGAGCAAACTAACCCCAAAACTAGCAGAAGACAAGAAATAATCAAAATTAGAGCTGAACTGACAGAAATTGAGAAATGAAAAACCATACAAAAGATAAGCAAATGCAGTAGTTTGTTCATTGAAGGAATAAATAAGATTGATAACCTGCTGGCTAGATGAATAAAGGAAAAAAATGAGAAGATCCAAGTAAACATAATCAGAAATGACAAAGGGGACTTTACCACTGACCCCACAGAAGTACAAAGAACTCTCAGAGACTACTATGAACACTTCTATGAACACAAACTGGAAGAAACCTAGAAGAAATGGATAAATTCCTGGAAACATATAACCTCCCAAGATTGAACAAGGAAGAAATTGAATCCCTGAACAGACCAGTAATGAGTTCTGAAATAGAATCAGTAATAAAAAGCCTACCAACCAGAAAAAGCCCAGGGCCAGATGGATTCACAGCTGAATTCTACCAGATGTCTAAAGAAGAGCTGGTACTGTTCCTACTGAAACTATTTCAAAAAATTGAGGAGAAGAGACTCCTCCCCAGCTCATTCTATGAGTCCAGCATCACCCTTATACCAAAACCTGGCAGAGACACGACAATGAACAATAAAACTTCAGGCCAATTTCCTTGCAGATGACATTATTCTTACCTAGAAACCCCCAAAATCTCTGCCCCAAAACTCCTAGATCCCATAAACAACTTCAGCAAAGTTTCAGGATACAAAATTAATGTACAAAAGTCAGTAGCATTTCTATACACCAACAACATCTAAGCTGAGAGCCAAATCAAGAATGCAGTCCCATTCACAATAACCACAAGAAGAATAAAATACATAGGAATATAGCTAACCAGGGAGGTACAAGATCTCTACAATGAGAATTATGAAAAACTGCTCAAAGAAATCAGAGATGACACAAACAAATGGGGAAACATTCTATACTCATGGATAGGAAGAATCCATTTTGTTAAAATGGCCATACTACCCAAAACAATTTACAGATTCAATGCTATTCCTATCAAACTACCAATGATATTCCTCACAGAATTACAAAAAAAATTTTAAAATTCATAGAGAACCACAAAAGAGCCGGAATAGGCAGAGCAATCCTAAAGAAAAAGAACAAAGCTGGAGGCATTATGTTACCTTGTTACCTGACTCCAAACAATAAAGGCTACAGTAACCAAAGCTGCATGATACTGGTACAAAAACAGACACATAGACCAATGTAACAACATAGAAAGTCCAGAAATAATGTCGCAGTCCTACAACCATCTGATCTTTGACAAAGTTGACAAAAACAAGCACTGGGGACAGGACTCCTTCAATAAATGGTGTTGGGATTACTGGCTAATCATATGCAGAAAATTGAAACTAGCCACTGTCCTTACACCATATACAAAAATCAATTCAAGATGGATTAAAGACTTAAATGTAAAACCTAAAAGTATAAGAACCCTGGAAGATAATGTAGGAAATACTATTCTGGACATAGGCCCTGGCAAAGATTTCATGATGAAGATGGCAAAAGCAATAGCAACAAAACAAAAATGGACAAACGAGACTTAATTAAATCAAAGAGCTTCTGCACAGCAAAAGAAACTATCAACAGAGCAAACAGACAGCCTACAGAATGGGAGAAAATATTTGCAAACTAGGCATCTGACAATGATCTAGTAACAAGCATTTATAAGGAACTTAACAGGCAAAAACAAAGAGCTTCATTAAAAAGTGGGCAAAGGACGTGAACAGATACTTTTCAAAAGAAGACATGCACGCAGCCAACAGGCATATGGAAACATACTCAACATTATAAATCATTAGAGAATTGCAAATCAAAACCACGATGAGATACCATCTCATACCAGTCAGAATGGCCATTATTATTATTATTTTTAAATTATTATACTTTAAATTCTAGGGTACATGTGCACGAAGTGCAGGTTTATTACATAGGTATACATGTGCCATATTGGTTTCCTGCACCCATCAACTCGTCATTTACATTAGGTATTTCTCCAAATGCTATCCTTCTCCCAACCCCCATCCTCTGACAGGCCCTGGTGTGATGTTCCCCACCCTGTGTCCAAGTGTTCTCATTGTTTAATTCCCACCTATGAGTGAGAACATGCAGTGTTTGGTTTTCTGTCCTTGTGATAGTTTGCTGAAAATGATGGTTTCCAGCTTCATCTGTGTCCCTGCAAAGGACATGAACTCATCCTTTTTTATGGCTGCATAGTATTCCATGGTGTATATGTGCCACATGTTCTTAATCCAGTCCATCATTGATGGACATTTGGGTTGGTTCCAAGTCTTTGCTATTGCGAATAGTGCTGCAATAAACATACATGTGCATGTGTCTTTAGAGTAGCATGATTTATAATCCTTTGGTTATATACCAAGTAATGGGATGGCTGGGTCAAATGGTATTTCTAGTTCTAGATCCTTGAGGAATTGCCACACTGTCTTCCACAATAGCTGAACTAATTTATACTCCCCTCAACAGTGTAAAAGTGTTCCTATTTCTCCACATCCTCTCCAGCACCTGTTGTTTCCTGACTTTTTGATGATTGCCATTCTGACTAGCATGAGATGGTATCTCATTGTGGTTTTGATTTGCATTTCTCTGATGACCACAGACGATGAGCATTTTTTCATATGTCTGTTGGCTGCATAAATGTCTTCTTTTGAGAAGTATCTGTTCATATCCTTTGCCCACTTTTTGATGGGGTTGTTTGTTTTTTCTTGTAAATTTGTTTAAGTTCTTTGTAGATTCTGGATATTAGCCCTTGTCAGATGGGTAGATTGCAAAAATTTTCTCCCATTTTGTAGGTTGCCTGTTCACTCTGATGGTAGTTTCTTTTGCTGTGCAGAAGCTCTTTAGTTTAATTAGATCCCATTTGTCAATTTTGGCTTTTGTTGCCATTGCTTTTGGTGTTTTAGTCATGAAGTCCTTGCCCATGGCTGTGTCCTGAACGGTATTGCCTAGGTTTTCTTCTAGGGTTTTTATGGTTTTAGGTCTAACATGTAAGTCTTTAATCCATCTTGAATTGATTTTTGTATAAGGTGTAAGGAAGGGATCCAGTTTCAGCTTTCTACATATGGCTAGCCAGTTTTCCCAGCACTATTTATTAAATAGGGAACCCTTTCCCTATTGCTTGTTTTTGTCAGGTTTGTCAAAGATCATATGGTTGTAGATGTGTGGTATTATTTCTGAGGGCTCTGTTGTGTTCCATTGTTCTATATCTCTGTTTTGGTATCAGTACCATGCTGTTTTGGTTACTGTAGCCTTGTAGTATAGTTTGAAGTCAGGTAGCATGATTGCCTCCATCTTTGTTCTTTTTGTTTAGGATTGTCTTGGCTATGCAGGCTCTTTTTTGATTTCATATTAACTTTAAAGTAGATTTTTCCAATTCGTGAAGAAAGTCATTGGTAGCTTGATGGGGATGGCATTGAATCTATAAATCACCTTGAGCAGTATGGCCATTTTCACAATATTGATTCTTCCTATCCGTAAGCATGGAATGTTCTTCCATTTGTTTGTATCCTCTTTTATTTCATTGAGCAGTGGTTTGTAGTTCTCCTTGAAGAGGTCCTTCACATCCCTTGTAAGTTGGATTCCTAGGCATTTTATTCTCTTTGTAGCATTTGTGAATGGGAGTTCACTCATGATTTGGCTGTTTGTCTGTTATTGGTGTAGAGGAATGCTTGTGATTTTTGTACATTGATTTTGTATCCTGAGACTTTGCTGAAGTTGCTTAACAGCTTAAAGAGATTTTGGGCTGAGACGATGGGGTTTCCTAAATATACAATAATGTCATCTGCAAACAGGGCAATTTGACTTCCTCTTTTCCTAATTGAATACCCTTTATTTCTTTCTCCTGCCTAATTGCCCTGGCCAGAACTTCCAACACTATGTTGAATAGGAGTGGTGAGAGAGGGCATCCCTGTCTCGTGCCGGTTTTCAAAGGTAATGCTTCCAGTTTTTGCTCATTCAGTATGATATTGGCTGTGGGTTTGTCATAAATAGTTCTTATTATTTTGAGATACATTCCATCAATACCTAATTTATTGAGAGTTTTTAGTATGAAGCGCTGTTGAATTTTGTCAAAGGCCTTTTCTGCATCTATTGAGATAATCATGTGGTTATTGTCATTGGTTCTGTTTATGTGATGGATTACCTTTATTGATTTGCATATGTTGAACCAGCCTTGCATCCCAGGTATGAAGCCCACTTGATCATGGTGGATAAGCTTTTTGATGTGCTGCTGGATTTGGTTTGCCAATATTTTATTGATGATTGTTGCATTGATGTTCATCAGGGATACTGGTAAAAATTCTCTTTTTTTATTGTGTCTCTGCTAGGCTTTGGTAGCAGGATGATGCTGGCCTCATAAAATGAGTTAGGGAGGATTCCCTCTTTTTCTATTGATTGGAATAGTTTCAGAAGGAATGGTACCAGCTCCTCTTTGTACCTCTGGTAGAATTTTGCTTTGAATCCAACTGGTCCTGGACTCTTTTTGTTTGGTAGGCTATTAATTATTGCCTCAATTTCAGAGCCTGTTATTGGTCTATTCAGAGATTGAACTTTTTCCTGGTTTAGTCTTGGGAGGGTGTATGTGTACTGGAATTTATACATTTCTTCTAGATTTTCTAATTTATTTGCATAGAGGTGTTCAAAATATTCTCTGATGGTAGTTTGTAATTCTATGGGATTGGTGGTGATATCCCCTTTATCATTTTTTATTGTATCTATTTGATTCTTCTCTCTTTTCTTCTTTATTAGTCTTGCTAGTGGTCTATCAATTTTGTTGATCATTTCAAAAAACCAGCTCCTGGATTCATTGATTTTTTGAAGGTTTTTTGTGTCTCTATCTCCTTCAGTTCTGCTCTGATCTTAGTTATTTCTTGCCTTCTGCTAGCTTTTGAATTTTTCTGCTGTTGCTTCTCTAGTTCTTTTAATTGTGATGTTAGGGTGTCGATTTTAGATCTTTCCTGCTTTCTCTTATGGGCATTTAGTGCTGTAAATTTCCCTCTACACATTGCTTTTAATTTGTCCCAGAGATTCTGGTATGTTGTGTGTTTGTTCTCATTGGTTTCAAACAACATCTTTATTTCTGCCTTCATTTCGTTATTTACCCAGTAGTCATTCAGGAGCTGGTTGTTCAGTTTCCATGTAGTTGTGTGGTTTTGAGTGAGTTTCTTAATCCTGAGTTCTAATTGGATTGCACTGTGGTCTGAGAGACAGTGTGTTGTGATTTCTGTTCTTTTACATTTGCAAAGGAGTGCTTTACTTCCAATTATGTGGTCAATTTTAGAATAAGTGCTATGTGGTGCTGAGAAGAATGTATATTCTGTTGATTTTGGGTGGAGAGTTCTGTAGATGTCTATTAGGTCCACTTGGTGCAGAGCTGAGTTCAAGTCCTGGATATCCTTGTTAACCTTCTGTCTCATTGATCTGTCTAATATTGACAGTGAGGTGTTAAAGTCTCCCATTATTATTGTGTGGGATTCTAAGTCTCTTTGTAGGTCTCTAAGGACTTGCTTTATGAATCTGGGTGCTCCTGTATTGACTGCATATATATTTAGGATAGTTAGCTCTTCTTGTTGAATTGATCCCTTTACCATTATGCAATGGCCTTCTTTGTCTCTTTTGATCGTTGTTGGTTTAAAGTCCGTTTTATCAGAGACTAGGATTGCAACCTCTGCTTTTTTTATATTCCATTTGCTTGTTAGATCTTCCTCCATCCCTTTATTTTCAGCCTATGTGTGTCTCTGCACATGAGATGGGTCTCCTGAATACAGCACACTGATGGGTCTTGACTCTATCCAATTTGCCAGTCTGTGTCTTTTAATTGGGACGTTTAGCCCATTTACATTTAAGGTTAATATTGTTATATGTGAATTTGATCCTGTCATTATGATGTTAGCTGGTTATTTTGCTCGTTAGTTGATGCAGTTTCTTCCTAGCGTCGATGGTCTTTACAATTTGGCATGTTTTTGCAGTGGCCAGTACTGGTTGTTCCTTTCCGTGTTTAGTGCTCCCTTCAGGAGCTCTTTTAGGGCAGGCCTGGTGGTGACAAAATCTCTCAGTATTTGCTTGTCTGTAAAGTATTTTATTTCTCCTTCACTTATGAAGCTTAGTTTGGCTGGATATGAAATTCTGGGTTGAAAATTCTTTTCTTTAAGAATGTTGAATATTGGCCCCCACTCTCTTCTGGCTTGTAGGGTTTCTGCTGAGAGATCTGCTGTTAGTCTAATGGGCTTCCCTTTGTGGGTAACCCGACCTTTGTCTCTGGCTGCCCTTAACATTTTTTCCTCATTTCAACCTTGGTGAATCTGACAATTATGTGTCTTGAGGTTGCTCTTGTCAAGGAGTATCTTTATGGTGTTCTCTGTGTTTCCCAAATTTGAATGTTGGCCTGCCTTGCTAGGCTGGGGAAGTTCTCCTGGATAATATCCTGAAGAGTGTTTTCCAACTTGGTTCCATTATCCCCGTCACTTTCTGGTACACCAATCAAATGTAGATTTGGTCTTTTCACATAGTCCCATATTTCTTGGAGGCATTGTTCATTTTTATTACTCTTTTTTCTCTAGTCTTGTCTTCCTGCTTTATTTCATTAATTTGATCTTCAATCACTGATATCCTTTCTTTCATTTGATCAAATTGGCTATTGAAGCTTGTGCATGCATCATGAAGTTCTCATGCCATGGTTTTCAGCTCCATCAGGCCATTTAAGGTCTTCTCTATACAATTTATTGTAGTTTGCCATTTGTGTAACTTTTTTCAAGGTTTTTAGCTTCCTTGTGATGGGTTAGAACATGCTCCTTTAGCTTGGAGAAGTTTGTTATTACCGACCTTCTGAAGCCTACTTCTGTCAACTCCTCAACATCATTCTCCGTCCAGCTTTGTTCCATTGCTGGCGAGGAGCTGTGATCCTTTGGAGGAGAAGAGGTGCTCTAGTTTTTACAATTTTCAGCTTTTCTGCTCTGGTTTCTCCCCATCCTTGTGGTTTTATCTAACTTTAGTCTTTGATGTTGGCGACCTACAGATGGGTTTTTGGTGTGTTATGTCCTTTTGGTTGATGTTGATGCTATTCCTTTCTGTTTGTTAGTTTTCCTTCTAACAGTCAGGTCCCTCAGCTGCAGGTCTGTTGGAATTTGCTGGAGGTCCACTCCAGACCCTGTTTTCCTGGGTATCACCAGCAGAGGCTGCAGAACAGCAAGTATTGCAGAACAGCACATATTGCTGCCTGATCCTTCCTCTGGAAGCTTTGTCCCAGAGGGGCACCCACCTTTATGAGGTGTTTGTCCTCCCCTACTGGGAGGTGTCTCCCAGTTAGGCTACAAGGGGTTCAGGGACCCACTTGACGAGGCAGTCTGTCCATTCTGAGAGCTCAAACAGCATGCTGGGAGACCACTGCTCTGTTCAGAGCTGTCAGACAGGGTCGTTTAAGTCTGCGGAAGTTTCTGCTGCCTTTTGTTCAGTTACGTCCTGCCCATAGAGGTGGAGTCTATAGAGGAGTAGGCCTTGCTGAGCTGTGGTGGGCTCCTCCCAGTTTGAGCTTTCCGGCTACTTTGTTTACCTACTCAAGCCTCAGCAATGGCAGACGCCCCTCCCCCCGCCAGGCTGCAGCCTCGCAGGTCAATCTTAGACTGCTGCACTAGCAGTGAGCAAGGCTCTGTGGGTGTGGGACCCACCAAACTAGGCACGGGAGAGAATCTCCTGCTCTGCCAGTTGCTAAGACCATGGGAAAAGCGTAATATTTGGGTGGGAGTGTCCCTTTTTTCCAGGTACTGTCTGTCACAGCTTCCCTTGGCTAGGAAAGAGAAATCCCCCCAACCCCTTGCACTTCCTGGGTGAGGCAACACCCTGCCCTGCTTTGCCTTGCCCTCTGTGGGCTGCACCCACTGTCAAAACAACTCCAATGAGATGAACCAGGTACCTCAGTTGGAAATGCAGAAATCACCTATCTTCTGCATCGATCACGCTGGCAGCTGCAGACCAGAGCTGTTCCTATTTGGCCATCTTGGAATGGACCCGGCTATTATTATTATTGTTTTTTATTGTACCACTGCACTCCAGCGGTACAATCTTGGCTCACTGCAACCTCCTCCTCCTGGACTCAAGTAATCCTCTCACCTCAGTCTCCCAAGTAGCTGGGACTACAGGTGCATGCCCACCACACCTGGGTAATTTTAGTATTTCTTATAGAAGCTGGGTTTGGCCATGTTGCCCAGGCTGCTCTTGAACTCCTGGGCTCAAGCGATCCACCCACTTCAGCCTTCCAAAGTGTTGGGATTAAAGGCGTGAGCTACCATGCCTGGCCTAGAATGGCTACTATTAAAAAGTAAAAAAATAATATGGTAGGGAGATGGCAGAGAAAGAATGCTTATACACTGCTGGTGGAAATGTAAAGTAGTTCAGCCATTGTGGAAAACAGTGTGGTGATTTTTCAAAGAACTTAAAATAGAATTACCATTCATCCCAGCAATCCCATTATTGGGTATATACCCAAAGGAATGTAAATTATTCTACCATAAAGACACATGCACACATATGTTCATGGCAGCACTATTTACAATAGCAAGGCCATGAAATCAACCTAAATGCCCATCAAATGATAGACTGGATAAAGAAAATGTGGTACACCATGGAATACTATGCAGCCATAAAAAAGAATGAGATCATGTCTTTGCAGCAACATGGATGGAGCTGGGGGCTATTATCCTAAGCAAACTAATGCAGAAACAGAATATCAAATACTGCACGTTACAGAAACTGGGGCCTACTTGAGGAGGGAGGGTGGAAGGAGGGAGAGGATTAAAAAAAACTACCTATTTGGCACTATGCTTATTACCTGGATAATGAAATAATCTGTATACCAAACCCTGGTGACACATAATTTACCTATATAACAAACCTGCCTATGTACCTCTGAACCTAAAATAAATGTTTTTTTAAACAAGATTGTAAAGTGTAGCATGCAGTTATATTGCGATCGAGTTCTAATATTATAGGTATTAAAAACAGAGGAAACACAGAGAGTAAAACTAATTCTGAGAAGACGCTTATAATTATGTGATCTTGGTAAAACTCATGTCTCAGCTTGTTAAGTTAAAAAAAAATGATGTAAAATGCTGGCATTGGACTAAATCCTAATTTCCTTCCTGGGTGTCAGATTTAGCTGACTCTTTCTCCTGCCTGAAGTGCTCTCCTTATACAGCTTGTTCCACTTTTATGATGCTATTCATCCTTGAGCAATTGTGGGATAGATCAGTGTGAAGTGTATCATTTGTTTTTAACCTGCTCTGGTTGTCAGTGGAAACCACAATATAAGGGGTAAAGACACCCAGAATTGAAGTGTGCAATATTATACACAACATTAATATGAAAGCAGTGCCAAAATGGCAAAATGAGGTGGTGAAAAGAGGCGACCACCCAGAATCCTGCAGTACTTAGTGTTAATAGATATTTACAAACTTACTAACTTGAAATTCCTTTAGGCATCATATTCCAGATTGAAGCTGCTGGGAATTCCTACCCTTATTAATTTTTATCTCCTCTACTCTGTCCTCCCTACATTTATAAAAAGCTACTGCTCAAAGGGTTATTTGTTAGTGGTGTCGAGTGTCTCCACCATTGAGGACTCGCCGTATTTAAAGTACTCTACTGGTGTTGAGTAAATATTTGCCAATGTTCTAAATGCCAGGGCCTCTTGACAACTCAACAGGAATGTTGCTTAGGCAGGAATGGGGGAAGGGCAGAATATTTCCTATCCCTGCAGCTGTGCAGCAAATTTTGGAGGACTGGGCTTAATGCCTCCAAAAAAATGTACCGCATTACTACCACCTTGATTGTTGTTACTGTGTTGGTGACCACATCTCCCTCAGGCTGCCTTAAAATATTGTCTTTCATGTTGACACTTTGGAGGAGATCAAGAATTCTCTTCTGCTTTGGATTTCGATAAGTGTTTGAAAAAGGAATCATGAAAACGTAGGTCTGCAAGGGTATGACAAAGCAAGCTGTCGACCTCACAATGAGGGCTCAGCAAGTTGCTTCATGTTTTCTATTCATAGCCTCCTCCTCTCTGTCAGCTCTTTTGAAGTACTCATAAAGCAAAATAGGCTCATTAAATATGAGGGGGTAAATGAAGTTGGCAGTTGCACCTAGTTCAAAAAGCCTTTCCTTTTTAGATGTTTACGCTCCAGAAAAAAACAAAACAAAACAAAAAACTCAGAAGATGAATGCCTGCTATCAGTGGCTATTCATGGCCTCCCTTTTGGGTAAGTGATGTCAGCCAGGCTTTGGAAGATGTGGGTATTTTGTTCCAGATCTAGCACTAAACTGGTCCACAAAATTAATGTCACAATGAAAAGCCAGGAAAGTCTTGTTTACCATTTCATTTACTAAGTTTGCATATAAGGATAAAGACTATTTAGAGTTCCTTTCTAAACAGTAAAGGAAATTTCTTCATCACTCTTCCCACATGGGCAGCGGCTTGTCCTATGTGTACCCTCTTGCTGGCAGGGACAGGCAATGGTTCTGCCCTGTGGATCAGCTCTTCCAACCCTTAGATTCTGTTCTTTGATGAACCTTTTCCTGCACATTTGGCTCCTTTTCTGAACCTACAGCATCTACATTTTAATGAGCTGAAGGGGATGCCAAGATGCATAAGAGATGGTCTTAACCCTCAAGATCTTACTGTCAGTAAATGAGGTAACGTGATGATGTTCACTAAACTGCCATATGCAAATGTGAGGTAACTTGAGCAGATCCTTGAAAGATGGAAAATGTTTCTTTGGTTTCTGGTTGTGGGAAAGGACATCCCAAACCAAGGGTATAGTTTGAGCAAAGGCACAGTGGCTTTTCTAATCAGTGGACACTCTTTTTAGTCCTTATTCTATTTGGCCTGAGTAATATTTGATGCTGTTGTCCACTTGCTTCATCTTGAAGTTATTCTCTTGGCTTCAGACACCACATTCTGCTGTGTTTACTTCCGCTTTTCTGATGGCTCTTGTCAATCTCATCTCCAGGTTTCTATGAGTGTATATATATACTGATGATGCCTTGCCTATGTCTCTAGCCAGGCTGCCCTCTTGAAGTTCAGACCTATATAGCTAACTTTCTGCTGTGCACATTCATATACACAGCTCTTACTTAAATGCCTTAAGTTCTGCATGTTCAAAACCAAACCCATTATCTTTCTCCCCAAATCTGCATCTTCCTCAGTTTCCTATCTTAGTGAATAATGTACACCCAGTTATTCAATTCAGAACCATGGTATAATCTTGACTCCTCCCTCCCCAACACCTTCCATGTAAAGAACCACTAGATCTTTTATATTTTATTTTGTTTTATATCTCTGTATGTGTCCAGGTCTTTCCATCTCTATTGCTACCTTTTTGGGTCAGCTCACCATCATCTTTTGCTTGGATGACTGCAGTAGCCATTTCCCTTCAACTTTCCCTCCAGGTAATTCTTTCTCTACGTTGTAGCCAAAGGAATCTTTCTAAGGCACAAATACGATCATTGTGTTTTCTTTCCTTACAACCCTCTAATATCTTCCCTTTGCTCTAAGGATAGTGTCCAGGTCCCCAATAAGGCTTCTTGTCTTTCTCATTCTGGACCTGCTGACCTCTCTTGCCTCATCTCTTGCCACCACTCCTCAAGCTCCCTGAGCTTCAGACATTTTGAAGTGCACCTGCAGTTCACTCACATACCAGGCAGGTTTTCCTATCTCTCAGACTCCGTGCACGCTCTTCCCTATCTAGCACACTCTTTTCCCTTGCTCTTTCTCTGGTGTTAGCTGGGAAGTCACTGCTTCTACTGTATCCTACTGGCCTGTTTACTTGTCTATATTCATTTAGGCCAATACTCCTTATAGAGTCTGGAACATTCTAGATAATCGGTAGACACTTTTTGGATGAATGAGTGAGTGTTAATGCATGAGATGGCTTAAAGGAATGGCAGATCACCCAGACTGACTGGAGTGGAGGATATACAAAAGACAAGAGTGGAAGATATGAAAGAAAGGTGGTTGGGTGTCTTACACTGGGTTTCCTGAGCACAAACTGTGAGATGAAGATTCCAGTGCAGGCAATTTATTGGGGAGTGCTCTTGGGATTAACTCCTGTGAGAGAGTGAGGGAGTGAGAGGGGCAGGATATGGCAGAAGGTGAAGTTGAACTGAAATGAAATTGCAACAGGGCTGTCAGCTGATCCCATGTGGTAATTAGAAGCTGGCATAACCTCACAAAGTTCTGAATTGAGGCAAGGGGCTGGGGCTGTGTATCTTCACAGCAATCAGTCATTGAATGTGGGCTACCTCTGGGGAGGGGGCGAACTCAGGACAAACTGCTCCTTTGCCAAAGGCGATTTCTGGCAAGGGGTTCAACTATGACCTGGCAGAAGCCAACATTGCTGGTATCTAGGGGAATGATTATCCTGGTAGAGGAGGATCTGGGTGGCATTACCACATCCACTACACTGGGCCCACTTCAGGCCAGATTGAGGAAGTTTTGCTTTATTTGGTAGGCCTTGGGATGCCATTGGAGATGTTTACACAGATAAATCATGTGAGTCAGAGCTGTATTTGAGAAGATTAGTCTAGTTGTATGCTCAGATTGGATTGGAGGTGGTGGATAAACTGCAGATAGAGAGGCCATTGGGAGACTATTGAAATAGTCCAGATGAAGAAATAAAGGCCTGAACAGGGGTGTTGGCAGCAGAAATGGAAAAAGCGGTGGTTGCAAGAGATATGTTAATGCTAAAATTCCCAGGCCCTGGTGACTAATTGAATATGGGGAATATGGAAAAATCAAAGGTGATTTCATAATTTTGAGCCTAGCTGAAATGTATGAATGATGGTTCTGGCAGTAGATATTTAAGAAGGATATAGGTTTGGTGTAGATTTGTTGAATTTGCAGTATGACTGCCACCCAAGTAGAAGTGGCTTACAGGTGGCTGGGCAGTTTCTTGGGAGGGCAAAATACACATACATAAAAAGTTCTATGATGATATGAAGATGTTCATGTAGCAGTATTAGCATCAAATTTGTGTAAAAGAAGTTAATGCTACAAGAGGCCAGAGAAGACAGAAATCACTGTAGCCAAGAAGTGTTCATGGAGGAGGTTGCCTTTGAATGGGGTCTAGGTGCAGGTGTTAGATTTATGATGAGGAAGAAGAGATAGGGAGGGCAGGATGATGACATTCTGAGTGGAGCCAATGGTTTGAGCAGAGACAGAGAGGTAGAAATTCATACTGCATATTTAGAATACCATGAGAAGATCAGTTTGATTGGAACATAGGATTCATTTAAGGAAAGTTTGGTTTAAAAAGTTGAACAATTGATTGCGGAGAAACTTGAATGACAGGCTAAGTGATAGGGAGCATAAAGGAGTTTAGGTGATTTTTTGGTAAAACTTTGCCTCTGTTTCTGAAGTTTGATCCTTTCATCTGCCTGGATGTGGGTCTTCAGAACCCACAGAACTAGAACTCTCCACTCGAGAGACACTTGTGCTTGTGATACAGAAGGCTACTGGTCACTGAGAGTCTTTTTCATGGAGATTGTGTGACGGCACATTGGAGGAAATTCCAGCTGCATGTGTTTCTGAGGCTTTTACATCCACAGTCTTTGCTTAGCTTTCATGAGGCACAAAGAATGTGTGGCCTAATTGGTGAGCTGGTTTACTGGCTCACCCTGAAAAGTAAACATTGTGTATCTGTAAGTGGAAATTCAGTATGTGTAATCTAGCTGCCTAGTCACGCCTGCCCCAAACGCTGTTGAAAACTTTGACCAAGGACTATAAAACTGTCAAGATCTGGGGCCCAAGCTTGCTTTCACACCAAATAATTCATTACTGAAGCTATGGGAAGATAACAGGACATGCATTTGACTTGCTGCTATTCCTTGTTTGCTACAGAAGCATCTGGCAGAGCTAAATGGCTTTGTATTACATCATGTTTCATTTCTTCTTTTTATTTATCATCTATTTTTATTTGTGTGACATGGAAACTTGCCCCACCCACCTCTGAGCACTCTCATTGAATAAAAAATGTATCTTGATATAACTTCAGTGACTTCAAAATGGAATCCTCAGATCGACACTTGGACCATTAAAAAAACAATGTCAACAAAATTTCTTTTGTGTCTTTGAGCAGATGTTTAATTTTATCCTCCTCCCAAGTGGTCATAGGCTGCTATTAGACTTCCTGACTGCCATTTTGTAACATCCAAAGGATCACTTGTTTTGTTTCCTTTGCATAATTTCATCACAGAGTGTTTGAAACGGTTTTTGGGAACAAGAAGAGAATTGCTGTTTAAGGAACTATTTTTTTTTGGAACAGGAAGTAAATGATATATGCTGAAGCCCCCATGGAAGCTTTTGGAATGGCCTGCTAGATTTAGGACCAGAGATGGAGAATATGCAATTCATAATGTACAGCTACTTCTGTTAAGGCAAAGTGGCCCTAACGTGTCTATAGCTTTCCTCACAGGTAATTGCATGCATGGGCTTTCACTCAACAGAAAAAAATGTGCCAAATCTTGAGCAATTAAAAAAAAATGCAAAAATCTGAGCATGTTATTAAGTTGCAACTGATATTCAACAGCTCTACATTAATCTCTAAGAAGCATACAAAGGAGTACTTACTGTTTTATCAATTCTTCAGTCCTACACAATTGAATATATTCTTCAGCCCACATAAATGTTTACTGCATTATAAGGGATTTTTATGTTTAAACTTTATATTTAACAGTGTCCTTTAGATGTTTGGTCTAAAGGAAGTGCATTTCAGTGGTCTAAAAAAGAATCTCACAGGTATGTGTATTGTGTTTTCAATTTAAATTAGACATTGTAACTGCTTAATGCCTTACCTATTCCATTTAGATCCTTCATGAAAACAGACTAATTTTAATAGCTGCCTAGATATTCCTAGTCTTCTTTCTTTCTTTCTTTCTTTCTTTCTTTCTTTCTTTCTTTCTTTCTTTCTTTCCTTTCTTTCTTTCCCTCCTTCTCCTTCCTCTTCCTCTTCCTCTCCTTCTCCTTCTCCTCCTTCTTCGATAGGGTCTCACTCTGTTGCCCAGGCTAGAGTGCAGTGGTACGATCATAGCTCACTGCAGCCTTGAACCGTGGGATCAAGCGATCCTCCTGCCTCAGCCTTTCAAGTAGCTGGGACTAGAGGCACGCACTTCCTAGTGTAAAGTTAGTTTTTTCTTTATTTGCCTTGTCTAGAGATGGGGAAGAAGAGTCATCTCCAGTTTCCATCATGTGATGTTAGGGGTGTTGAGAAGACTTCTGTATTTCGTAAATTAACTTTCATAAATAGTTTTCTATTAGTACAATTACTTTAACAGAGACCAAAGACCTTAATGCAGTTTACTTACTTATGATGTCTTCCAGCCCTACTTTTGGTTTATTGCTGTTAGTCTAAATCACAGAGAGAGGCCCTCTAAAAGAAAATGATATTTATTTGGGAATAGAGCATTGCAATGGGAATTGCACAGTCTTTTTTTAGCTTTGATGAGGCAACCTTTGCTTACATGTGCCATGGTAAACTATGTGCATACTCAGGCGGGTAAAAGGAAGAGAAAACTTTTTAAAGGAAAAATAAGGAAAATTACATAATTGTTTTGAGATAATTATCCTTGGCTACAAGGATCAACAACAATGATGACAGCAGCCCAAAGTTAGACAGGCACTTGCTGGGGAAATGTCCTCGAAGAAGTATTTTTGTGTGTGCAAGTCTGCAGTTTTTGCAAAATCTTTTGTGATAGTTTTTATCATTCATTTATGAATGAGAACTGCCCTCTTCATATTTATTCCTGGCCTTATTTGTCAGGGTTTTTTTTTTTTTTAACACGGGTGACTATATTTTGATTCTAACAACTCTCATATTTTCACCCACTGCTGCCATTTTTTTTTTTTTTTTTTGAGAGAGAGTCTTGCTCTGTCATCTGGGCTGGAAAATCATAGCTCACTGTAGCCTCGAACTCTTGGGCTCAAGTGATTCTCCCACCTCTGCCTCCTGAGTGGCTAGGACTATAGGTGTGTGTCAACACACCTATAGTGTACAGATGGGCTCCTTCCATGTTGCCCAGGCTGGTCTTGAACTCCTGGCCTCAAGCAGTCCTCCTGCCTTGGCCTCCCAAAGTGTTGGGATTTTAAGTGTGAGCACTGCACCTGTCCCATTTCCCACTTTTGATCAAGATCTCTCTCCAAACACATTGTTGATCAATCATCCTGTAGTTAGATTTTGATGGCCCTTTGTGCCAGGATGGGCCTGTCCTGGGTTTCTGGTCTGGTCCCATATTGGAGAGAGTGAATGGCAGCTAGCAGTCAGTGTTAAAACTCTTTTAGCCACATTTGAGCAACAAAGGAGATTTGAAGGGAGAGGCTCTCAGGCTAAGGCTACTTGGAGTTCATTATTAAGTTTAACCTTGTTCTATAGTCTTTTCCCATCATCTCAAAGTACTGGGACAGCATTTAGGAGTTATATTTCTGCAAAAATTTAACAAGTACCAGACGCAAAGTTTACAAAGAGAAGATAGTCTAGTCTATAGGCAGATAACAAGAACTTGGAAACAATGCACAGGGCTACAGTCTAATAACAGGTGTATTGTAGCTTTTCTTTAGAAACATAACTTCTTCTCTTTACATTGATCACATAGAAACTTCAGATTTACAAGCCTCTTGAGGCTAGGCAGCCAAGCTAAGGCAGACTTTAGATTTTATCTACAGTCTTCAGGTTCCTGGGCCTGTCAGAGAGTGACATTTTTAAATGTACTCGCTGTAAGGCTGGGAAGCCAGGTATTCTATGCACATTCTCAAATATGACACTAAAATCTTGGCAATATAACCAATATTTCCAATTGTAACCTGCTATAAAGAGAGAGCAGCTTTTTATTAGAGTTACACAAGTAACCATATTGCCATCAGAATACTTACAAATAGTTTCTGAATTTTGGAAGAATCAAGTAAGGAGCAAAAGCAAATGCTTTCATTCTTGTTCACAAAATTATATTTTACTAAATTGCTGTAAACTATAGATAGCTTAAGACAGAAAATTTCCTTAAATCTGGGAAACAACACATTTATGTATAGAACTAATGTTTCTACTAACAGTAATAAAAACATTATTTTCATTAGTTACTTAATCTTGCATAATTAATTTTTGTTCTGTTTGATCTTCATTAGCAGTTTCATGAATTCTTCAATTTCTTTATTATAGTTCTGAAAATTTTATTTAGTCTGTTGGTCTTAAAGTTATTGGAAACCTGTGTTATCTTAAACATACTGTTAGAATCTTTTTCATGGAAAGCAATTATAGGCCAGTTGTGGTGGCTCATGCCTGTAATCTCAGCACTTTGGGAGGTATAGGTGGGTGGATCACCTGAGGTCAGGAGTTCTAGACCAGCCTGGCCAACATGGTGAAACCCTGTCTCTATGAACAATACAAACATTAGCCAGGGATGGTGGTGGGTGCCTGTAATCCTAGCTACTTGGGAGGCTGAGGCAGGAGAATCACTTGAACCCGGGAGGTGGAGGTTGCAGTGAGCCAAGATTGTGGCTCTGCAGACCACTGCAGCCTGGGTGACAGAGCGAGACTCTGTCTTAAAACAAAACAAAACAAAACAAAAAAAAAAGAAAAGCAATTATAGCTGATTGCAGATGCTTTTAGAGAAAAATCAAAACAATAACTGTGGATGACAAAAACTTAGAATAGTCATGGTTAAAACTGATGAAAGTTCACAATTGGCAGGGAAACTTAGTTATTTCTATTACGTATTTTAAGATAACAACCAGAATCATGACTGAGTTACATCAAGACTTTTATAAATTCCATATAATCTTTAGAGTATTCACATCAACAATATCAACACAAATATAACTTTTACGAAAATTTAACATAACCAAAATTATCACTAACGTATTATATTTCTATGAATTTATATAATTTTCCAAATACTTTTTTCAATAATATACCCATAAATGTAACTGAAAGAGGATATAGAGTCACCTATTATTTGACAATGTTTCCTATATAATTTACCAAATAATACTAATCATTTAATATCTCTACAAGATAAGAGATGTGTCCTTTGAGGCTCTCCAGGGGCTCAACTGGAAAATCCCAAAGTGAATTCTAGATCAAAAAGGCTTGATTTATAATTGTGATCCTGGGTAAGCCTGACAAAAATATTAAAAGGTCAAAAATACCCACTCAAAAGAGGATCACAGGTCATGGTGAAATAAGTCATTTATTTAAACAGTGATAACAAAAGTCTTTGAAAACAGCACAGAAAATTAGGTGTATGCAAAACCTTAACCATTTCAAAGCTCAGTTTTTCTAAGTAATAAAAAACCTAATAAAGAGGACACAGGAAATTATCCTAATGAAATATAAATTCTTTTTTTTTAGGCCAGTTACAAAAAAGGTAAAGAAAAATCCCCTGCAATGTGATTGCTTTTTCTTGTAGGAAGCTTATTTAGATAAACTGGAAGATGAACTTGATTTTTAAAAAAGAGTATTTGAATTTAATCAGACACAGGAAGAAGTATGTCCAAGGTCATAAGTGTACACTTTACTATAGAGGAATGTAAACAAGAAAACTAGTACTTTGAGCAGGGGAATATATGGTTCTTAGTAACAGCACAGGATATTTACTGGTTACACGGAAAATTCAGATACATCAACAAATGCCAAGAGTCCAGAATCAAGTTATACTGGAGCAAAACATTGCTTTTCTGGGCCTTCAAGATAAGCATTTTAGTGTCAGGTGATAACAGAGTTAGAAGTGGGAAAAAAGATGTTCCACCAGCTAATGAAAGGTTGAAGGAGAAAGTTATCATCCTGGGCCTTCTCAAGGGGAGAAAGAGCTGAAGGCAATGATGCATAACCTGTAAACCACGTGCTTAGAGATACAGCAAAAGTTGAACTTCTGAGATATGAATTGGAGAAGCTTATGAGGAAAATTATACCTGAATAAATGAAAGTACCATTCTAAATGAAGAGAACAGCATTCCCAGCCTGAAACTAGGAAAATTAAAAATTGAGCTCAGGAAAGAAATGTGGCAGAAATGGAAACTGTCTGCAGTTTAGAAGATGGCCATAAAAGAAACAGATTTTAGATTTTAAAATCAAAACCTCTTGCAACTTTACTATGAGCAGATCAATACTTTAAGAAAAGTTGTTGTTCTCGGGAGGCTGAGGCAGGAGAATCCCTTGAACCTGGGAGGCGTAGGTTGCAGTGAGCTGAGAACTAACCACTGCACTACAGCCTGGACAGCAGAGTGAGACTCTGTCTCAAAAAAAAAAGTTGTTGTTGTAACACAGAGGACCACAGTTTTAGTTTCGTATTAGTGTATTTTTAATATCAAATGCAACCTTTGGAAAGACATAAATAATTCCTTTCTGATTATAGCCAATTAGATCATATACAAAATTCTTTCATAAATTCATAATCCATCCTTCCTAAACTTTATTATGACCTACTGAGACCTTATGTGACATGTTTAGACTTTCTGCTTTGTCCTGTACTTCCTCTTTCATAAATAACCATTTTACTTTAGGACAAAAATTTATCACACAAGATTCTTCCTCATACAAAAGTGTTCTCTTTTTAAAAAACTTCCTTGCTAAAAATACATCTTAAACTCCATAACTTTCTTCATATCTCTCACTCTTACTTACTGGTTTCTTTATGTCTTGTTTCTGTATTTTGAAACAACCTTTAAATAACCTCTGAATTAGACAAAATTACTTCTTTCTAATAAGAACACATTTTTTAATGACTTTCTTATAACTTTTCTCATCCCATATTTTTTTGGTACACTTTGTATACAGAATTATATATATTAATTAGAATTTTAGCTCTTAGTAATCTTGCATACTTTAAGGTCCTGAGTAATTTTGAACTCTTTGTCACATATCAGTATTTTATAGATGAGAACCATTTTATAATTACAACATAATTTTACGTGTATTAATAAATGCAAATATATTTAGTCTTTCTATAAAAACCCTTATATTTATATTCAGCAATTTTAGGGTTTAAAAAAAATTTTTTTAGACAGTCTTACTCTTATTGCTGAGGTTGGAGAGTAGTGACATGATCATAGCTCACTGCAGCCTCAAAGTCTTGGGTTCAAACAATCCTCTTGCCTCGGTCTCCCATGCAGATGGGACTATAGGCATGTATCACCATGCTCAGGTACTTAAATTTTTTTTCTTTTTTTTGTAGAGATGAAGTCTCACTATGTTGCCCAGGCTGGAGAAATTTATGTTTTAGCTTTGGTTTGCTTTGGAAATTTGATCCCAGACATTTAGTGGATATCTATTGCTTAATTCAATGTAACTTTAAAATCTCAAATTACATGAAAAGTTGATTGATAAACATTTATCTCTTTTACATTATCTAACTTATTTGTTTTTTAAAAATTTACCTAGATTATGTGTGAAAATGGAAATATTAGACAAAGCTAGTCATCATTTAAAGTTATCCCTGTTAACCATTTTTATAGCCTGTTAATATCAGATATTCACCCAACTCAGAACTTTAAAGTTAAATACATTGGTGTTTTGTTGACAACTCAGAAGCTACAGTCATTTTTATTAAGCCAACAATATTAAATTAGTGTTACTTATCAAAAAATTGCACAAGCAAAGATCATTCTCTTTTAGGCTGGGCTTATAATTTTGTAAACTTTGTGTCAAATTTTGATACCTTAAAACTTCTAGCAAGGACAAATATATAAAACCGTCTGATCAGTAAACCCAGGAAAAAAAGTATGCTGACAATTCTGAAGACATTTCTATTTTGATTTTGCCAATAATTTTAAAACCAGCTTATTTATTAAAGATTTGCTTAAGTCACATTAACTAAAATGCATTTGTTAATTAGTATTATTTTATATGAGTGCTCATTTATCTAAGCCAATCTAAGTAGAGTTCCTTAGGGAATTTTTGGCCAACTATGCCCTATTTCACTATGTAGACACAACATATAATACATGTACATATGTATAAACACACATAAACATATATATATGCACATAAATATATCGGTTTCATTTTAGAATTTTAGTAATATGTACAAATTCACTGGTTTGTAAAAGATAGTTGGATCTAACTTATATTTCTGAAAAAAGAAGCTTGTTTACATGGCTAAACTTCATTTGTTCCAATAGATAATGTAATGAAAGTTATGGACTAAAATCCTGACTAAAGCAGTTACCACACCAGTTTGGTTTTAAAAGCTGGCCCTCCAACATTTTTTTAGTTTCAGATGAGTTTAGGGTTAAGTTTTCAATGTTTACATTTTAGCTGAGACTGGCTGAATTGTATAAAAAAACAACATTCTCAAGTAGCCTTGAATCTATTTTTTGTTTGCTAGTCTGTTTTTCTTGACTAATCAATGCAGGTAAATAAGTATTTTAAAAGGGTTTTTTTTCTGCCTTTTTCTTTTTGATTCCTGCATGATAGACAAACGCAATTTTTATGCTAAACAGAGATACCTTATATTATTGCTGTGAGCTCAAGATTTTGACCTGCTTTATCCAAGAGCCTAATTTGTATAAGCATTTATCTAGTTCTTTTTTAGACTGTCAATTCTTCAATTAACTCTTCCATCCCCCAAAAAAATTGTTAGCTAGGCAAACCTAAATTTACATTAAAAGGGATGGATCAGGTGCAGTGGCTCATTTCTGTAATCCCAGCACTTTGGCAGGCTGAGGTGGGAGGATTGCTTGATCCCAGAAGTTCAAGACTAGCCTGGGCAACAAAGTGAGACCTTGTCTCTACCAAAAATAATAAAAAAATTAGCCAGGAACAGTGGCATGGACCTGTAGTCCCAGCTACTCAGGAGATTCAGGTAGGAGGATCCCTTTAGTCCAGGAATTAGAGGTTGCAGTGAGCTATGATATGGCCGCTGCACTCTAGCCTGGGTGACAGAGCCATACCCTGTCTCAAAAAAAAAAAAAAAAAAAAGGTTGGGGGGCGATGACTCTTAGGTCTGGGTTGTTGATTACTATGGAGCTGTAATAGTTTGTAACTGGTTTGAAAGCTATTTAAGACTTGTTTCCCTCTCTCTCTTTGCTGAAATGCCATAAACAGTGAGTTTTATCTCAATACCAGCAAAAACATCAGCATATTCACAGTAGGCAGAAAAAAAGTAGAGTAGACAAGAACTCAGAAGGCTGTACATGTTAACTCTGTAGCTGCAGGGTTTTAAAACCATAATTTGAACATTAATCATTTGAGCTCTCAATTTCTCTCAATGTAATTTGTCCATCAGTTTAAAAATGTGTATGAGAATGAGCAATATATGTAGCCAGCTAGAGTTCCAGAAAACTTGGCATGCCTTAATATTTAGGAATACCATTCTATTTCTTACTAATCTCTCAAGAGCAAATAAAATCCTGTATATTCTGTTAGAGAATGTCAGGAGTTTGGACCAAGATGATGGCAACCAACCTAGTTGCTTTTATTTAGCCATCCTGCATCTACCATTTAGAATGTTTATTTTGCTCTAAGAAGATTTTCAGAAACAGGCAAGGGAAAAGAGACAAATCATTTACAGATGCACGTAACCAAACCAAAGGAAACTAAGATAAGAGTGTTCACAAAAATTTTAACCTAGGTATGTGAATAAAACAAAATATTAAATTAGGCAGACAGGAAGAACCAAGAGTAAATTCAGCAGAAAAGACATGCCTTACAGACAGGGTGTAAATTCTGTAGAAACCAGAGTACTCAAACCAGAAAGACGCTTGTCTTTATACCAGAAAAGACTTGCCCGTCAATACAAAATGTCTTTTATCATCCCAGGATGGATGTAAAGTCATTTATTAAAGCAGCCTTATTCAAATGAGATCCCAAATGATGTTAAGATCTTCTACCAGAAAGAGGGAGGATTTGCCTAAGAGAAGACCATCAGGGCAGAAAAAGTGAGCCATGGAAGCAGAGAGCTCGAAGGGCTCATGTGAGTACTCCATACACATTTCAAGAATCATCTATTCCTTCTAGTAGTAATTTTCCTCCAGGTCCCATTTCTGACACCATTTATATGTCAATCTAAATAAAGAACAGAGAGGGGCTCTCCAAAAGAAAATGATATTTATTTGGGAATAGGGTATCGCAATGGAAACACACATGCCATAATAAACTATGTGCGTATTCAGGAAGTAAAGGAAGACAAATACTTTTAAAAGAAAAATGAGGAGGATTACATAATTGTTTTGAGATAAGTATCCTTGGTTATGAGGATCAATAACAAGGGTGACACCAATGCAAACTGCACAAGCACTTGCTGGGCAAATGACCTTGAAGTATTTTTTTTGTGCAAGTTTGCAGTTTTCACAGTCTTTTGTGATAGTTTTTATTAGGCACTTATGAATGAGATCTCTCTTCATGAACTTCCTTGGCTGTATTTGTGAGGTTTATTATTATTTTTTTTTAACATAAGTGATTCTATCTTGATTCTGACAACTTTCACATCAAAATTTTTAAAAAAGAAACTCAGAAAACATCAATGATCACAAGGAGTTAGCCATTGATCATTAAAGACATGATTAAGACTGCAGGTTATGGAGTCAAACTGACCTGGATTCAAACCTGGCTCCACCCATATCTAGTTTTGTGACTTAGGCAGTTTTTTATTTCTTTGAGACCAAGTATCTTTATCTTTAAAATGGGAAGGAAGTGCTCATGCAATAAAATGAGATAGTATCTGTAAAGCACAGAAAGCCTTTAGCACAGTGTGAGGCCACTACATAATAGGTGCTCAATAAATGTTTGCTATTATCATTACTATTTAAATATCTAGGCATTAGAAATGCCTTTCTTGGAAAATGCCTACTCAGATATTTGGACACTAAACCATTTCTGTATGAAGTTTGAAGGCAAGAAAAAGTGGGCCTTAGATATTTAAGTTAGGCACTAGCCTAAATCTCATCCTAGGAAATTAATGTGAACTGCCCAGCACCTGAATCCTTGCTCCTGAACCTCACTTAACACTTCTGAATTCAATATGCTCCCACAGCTTTTGCCTGTTGGATCTGCTTGTTTGGTGTCTGGTACTTCTTGACTGTTCTATTGTAGCCAATCTCTGTCCTTTCTCCTCGATTCTCCTTAACCATGAGTTTGGCATTTTTACCCCACCTCATCTACCCAAGTGTATCAGTCCGTTCTTGCACTGCTGTGTAGAAATACCTGAGACTGGGTAATGCATAAAGAAAAGAGGTTAAATTGGCTCATGGTTACACAGGCTGTATGGCTTCTGGGGAGGCCTTAGGAAACTTTCAATCATGGTAGAATGCGAAGGGGAAGCAGGCACGTCCTACATGGCTGGAGCAGGATGGGGAAGACAGAAAGTGGGGAGGTGCCACACACTTTTAAACAACCAGATATTGCAATAATTCACTCTGATGACAACACCAAGGGGGATGGTGTTAACCAAGAGAAACTGCCCCCATGATCCAATCACCTCCCACCAGGCCCACCTCCAACATTGGGAATTACAATTCAACATGAGATTTGGGTGGGGACAGAGATCCAAAACGTATCACAAAGACTGACCCTCTGGCCTGAGTTCTGTTTTTTACTTTGCCCTCCCTGCCAGGTCAGAACTGATGGATCTGTCCATGGAATCCATGCATGACACTATGATGTTAAAGTCCTCAGTTAATGGGACTGGTGGATTCCATACTACAACAGTATTGAACAAGCACTCATATGGAAGATTCT
The DNA here is from genome assembly GCF_000001405.40 of Homo sapiens. Taxonomy (NCBI): domain Eukaryota; kingdom Metazoa; phylum Chordata; class Mammalia; order Primates; family Hominidae; genus Homo; species Homo sapiens. The sequence continues at coordinate 55,854,391 of NC_000002.12, forward strand.
GGTAGGGAAGATTTGGGACTGAACCTCCAATTTAGTTTAATGCCCATTTTGCCTGGGAAGCATGCATATGACCCGGCTGTGATTTCCTGTCATATTTTCAATCTCCTATGGCTTCCTTGAATTTCTTTGAATTTTTAAAAAGAACTTTTAAATCTGATCTGAAATTTATTGCAAAATAGTTTCTGACATAGGAAAGTACAGAGAGGGGAATATACTGTTCCTTTAAACCTACCTCAGAAATATAATCCTACCTCAGTACCTTTAATGGCAAAAACTGCAATTACTTTGCACCAACCTAATAACTACAGTTAACATTTGGTTATGCACTCTTCTTTTTTTAAAAATTAAATTATTATTTTTAATTAACACATAACATTTGTACATATTTATGGGGTACAGAGTGATATTTTGATGTATGTGTACAATGTGTAATGATTAAATCAAGCTAATTAGCATATATATATCAGCTCAAACATTTATCATTTCTTTGTGTTGGGAACATTCAAAATCTTCTCTTCTAGCTATCTTCTTTACATATATATATTTATGTAAGTGAGATAGCACTTCCTGCTATTTTCCACTTAACACTGTATTGTAAACGTTCCCCACTCTAAAAATTCTCTTTATAAATATGATTTTAGTCACTGCACAATATTCTACATACAGATGTACCGTAATTTTAACTTAGCCATTTCTCGTTATGTACATTTAAACTGTTTTTGTTTATTTGGTCATTAGAAATAACACCAAGGAAATGATATTTGTGCATACTTTTTTCTTATAAATTAAAAACCCAGTTCTAATTACCCCTCTCATCCCCACTTTTTAAGAATAAAATATTAGTTGTCTTTGTTCCTGCCGTCCTTAGACATGAAGTAAACAACTAGGCTAAGATAGCAGACAACTAAATATCTACTAAATAAATAAATAGTATTGGAAAGGTGATTTGCCCCCATTAAAAATGAATATATGCAAGTGGGGAACTCTAGTTACTTTTGTAAAGAAAAGAGCTATAGGGATAAGGAGAAATAAGTGAAAGTAAACAAATCCGAAAGGTAGAAAACTGTTCTCTGTCCCCATGGAACACTTCCATGACCAGAATAAAGAATATGCTCATTTTCTAGCTTGCCCATTGAGGCAGAGACTGCTAACTAGTGACCAAACCTGTTTGCTCTTCTTCCTGGAGAGATAGCCAGACTCTGTTTCCCAGCCTTCCTTGCAGCCAAAGGAAGAAGAGCAGAGTGATGTAAGCACCTTCCACACCTTCCCCCTAACAAGTTCTCAGATTCTATCCTTCATGCTTTTTTCCACCCACCTCCTGATGTGGGATGAGCACAGTGACCTTGGAAGTCAGCTGTTGAAGGTGATAGAGCTCCAACATGGGAGAAGCTCAGATAGATCCATGAATCTACTTGGAAACAATTGCCTGCCTATCAGATTATGGGAGCCAGAAACCTATACTCATTCTCAGCATGTTCCTCTGCCTCACTTTCTGCTTCCAATCCATTGTTAAGTCCTAGTTTTCATCTCCTATATACAATATAATCTGTTCACTTCTCATGCTCTCTAGCAACACTCCTGCCCAAGTTAACATGTCATCTTTCCCCTGGCTGCTGCAATAGCTTTCTAACCTGCATCCATCTGAGCCCACTTCCAACCTATCTCCAGGCTAAACGGAATTTTTCCAAAGTGTGAATCTGATTGTTACTTACCTGCTTAAAATATTTAAATACCTTCCCATTGATATAAGAGTAAAGACACAACTTCTTTACTCTAAAGTTGTGTCTTTACTCTTTACTTTGCTCTTTACTACTTCTTTACTTTAAAGTTGTGTTTTTACTCTTTATAGATTATACTGTAGCCAGCCTTATCTGTGGCTCCAGCTACACTGGTATTTTGGTTGATTGGACTGGGTCCCAGAAAATGTTCCCTCCCTCCAAAGGATGTTTGCATGAGCAGATCCCTTTCTGAATGTTTTTCCCTACCTATTTTATGTAGTTAACTCCTACTCATCTTTTTTTTTTTTTTTTTTTTTTTGAGACGGAGTCTCGCTCTGTCGCCCAGGCTGGAGTGCAGTGGCGGGATCTCGGCTCACTGCAAGCTCCGCCTCCCGGGTTCACGCCATTCTCCTGACTCAGCCTCCCAAGTAGCTGGGACTACAGGCGCCCGCCACTACGCCCGGCTAATTTTTTGTATTTTTAGTAGAGACGGGGTTTCACCGTTTTAGCCGGGATGGTCTCGATCTCCTGACCTCGTGATCCGCCCGCCTCGGCCTCCCAAAGTGCTGGGATTACAGGCGTGAGCCACCGCGCCCGGCCACTCCTACTCATCTTTAAGATCTCAGTTCAAGAGACACTTTTCCAGGGAGGCTTGAGTAGGTCATTTGAGTTTCTCCTTATAGGCTCCTGTAGCACCACATTCCTTTTTTTGTAGCACGTGTCACAGTTGCAATGTGCAAAGTATATTAACATGTAATTTCTAAAATTACATTCGTCTGTAAGATTATTTGATTACTTTGTCTCTCCAATAAACTGTATATTCCTTAAAAGTAGATATGGTGTTTAAACAGCCATTGTATCCATGTTTATGAAGAGGAGTAAGGAAAGAGAGAAAAAAGGTTAGGTAAATAAACTGATGGATGGAGTGAGATTTTTCACCACATGATTCATTATTAGGAGTCAGGATCTTGGTTGAGTGTTTGGAACAACGAGGTTTACGAGGTTTCTTGACATGTTGCTTGTTGTGTTTTGCTTCCTTGCCTTTGTGCATAAATTCCTTTCTGCTGAAACACCCTTTCCTTACTTGAAGAAATCCTATTCTACCTTTAAGATCAGCACAGGTGTGCTTTCACTGACCTGCTCTGATCAGGGTTAACTGCCCTCAGCTATGCTACCCTAAGAACATATTCAGTCTCTGGAGAAAGACGGATCTTGTTTCCAGTCTTGGTTCTGCCCCTGCTTGATATTTGGGCCTAAACAAATCACTGAATCTGTTTCTTCACCAGTAAAATGAAACTAATAATTCCTTCTTCACAGGGTGAATGTGAGGAGTCAGATAAGGGGTTGAAAGCAGCTTATGAATAATAGATGGTCGAGAAATAGTGACTTTAAAAAAAATGGAACCCAAAACATTGTTTATTTTCCCCACCATATTGTAAGTTTTTTGAGGTCAGAGACCATGCCATTTTTATCTTTGCTTCCTTAGTACTTAACATAGTGCCTGGCACAGGGCAGATGCCCAGTAAAATGTTTATTGAAGTGAATGATACTAGAATTATAAGGCAAGATCCAGGAGCTGGGGTATGATCAGGGGTTTAGACAGTCACAGATTGACCTCTTTGAGGTCTTTGCCTTTTTATTAATGGCTGGTCAATAGATCTTAAAGGGAAGTCAAGGCAGATAATCACTGCTAAGAGACAAGCAGGGGAAATAGAATGTTGAAGCACCATGAGAAAAACTCATCTGTGGAGACCAAGGGTTGAAATATATTTTTCAACTCTTCAGCTTGAGCGAGACATCGGTAACTCTTTAATCTACAGTTGCTATTAACAAGAGTAAATGTTGCTATTGGCAGTGGGGAAAGTTTGAAATAAAGGGCCACTTCCTGTACCTACAATATGTACCTTTTTTCTGCCTAGTCAAATATTGCAAGGCCCAGAATATGTGTCCTTTCTAATTTGCACAAAAGCACTATTTAAGCTAGTGGCAGAACTGCTTTGTGCTCTTATTCCAGGGATGTATCCAGGTTTTGAATGAAGCTTATATGTATTTGAAGGCTCACTTTAAAGAAAAAAAATATAAAATTGTAAGTACAAAATTAGACACAAAAGTAAATTTTTATTTAGAATGATGTAAGAAATTACAATAAATTATACATTTTAAAAGCTGATAAATACAGCAAAAATCTCAAAGTCTGGGAAAATAACATTTTTTGTTAATTAACTGCCTAACACTCCTTTGTAATACTTTTTTCCTACTTTTTTAATGCATATTCTGGTTGCCAATAAATGCAATTTTGTATTATTTTCTGTAGAAAGAACAGTAAAATAAACCAGGTTTTCCTCTAGCCTGGTTAAGTTTTTTTTAAATTGGTAGTTTATAAAAGTTTCTTTGATTTCACAATTCATTATTACAATATCATGCAAATTTTTGATATTGCTCTCAGATTTGGGAACCTCTATCAGATTTCTGTCATATCAGATCTATATGAGTTCAGATCACTCCAAGTGTTCTTGTGCAGGGACTACTCTTAAATATCCTTTGAAATGGTCACACTCATTAGCCAGTGAGTTCTGATGTCCTGTTGTGGTGTATAATTACCAGTTTTCTGTTACCTTCACTGATATTAGTGTTCTAGATCAAAGTAGCAGGACATTTATGTTCTTCCCCAGTGTGTTCATATGATTCATAGTCCTCTCCATTAATTTATTAATCAACTCAAGAGTCTATTTATTACTTCTATTTGAAATTTATTTCTTCTTCTCAAAAATGATCACTTTTGGTATTATCTGAACATCTTTTTGGTTACAACTCACTTTTTATTGTCAGAATAATTTCTGGTGAGTTCCTAGAGAAATATATGAAAATATTTTCATGGTATGGTGCATTTATAGTTGTATATGCTGCATAATTAGGTATATTCATGAGTAGGCATTGATTAAAACCACATCCTCTGCTTATTATTTTACATGTCTGGTGAATGGAAGGATTTTCCATAGATTAATTTATAGCTCTGCATATTCCAAAACTTGTTTTTCCTCTGCTATTTACATCCATTGTTGGATGCTGTAGAATGTTATAGTGTGATGGGACTCCTGGCCCTGAACTTTTGGGCATGCTGTCAGCTATGGTCAACACAGAGGGTGGTGGGAATATTTCTAGAGGCTATTCCTACCCCAGACAGGAGCTCAAATTAACCATACATAGAAATGAATGTTAACTATATAAATATATCCTACTAAATCCAAACTAAATACACTCTCCTAACTCCACTTTCCCAGGCTGGATCTCAAACATACTTTTGACGCACTTCAGAGCCACGTGACATGTGAAGTGTGATGAGGGGAGCCCAAGATGAAAGAGTAATTCTAACCAATACAGCTAAAATGTATTATACAAATTTTACAAAAATATATAACTATGTGAACATAGGGTCCCTTTCAGGACCTTGGAAGGGGCTGGTGCAAGGGAGGAGCCTTGAAGCTTTAGCTTCATTAGCTTCCCTGAACATTCACTTTTGAAGGGCTACTCATTCTATTTAGTACTCTGCAATTGGACTTGTGATGAGCTCTAGAATCAGATAGGCTCGTGGTATTAACTATACAGTACCACTTTGCATAGTATTATATGTGTCCTTGAATCTAATTCAGTGTCATTGGCTGAACCATGTCCATTAGCCTTGGACATGGTTAGTGCCTGAGCAGAAGAAGAGAATGAGAGAGGAAAAGGAAGAAAAGATGGGAGAATGACCAGAAAAAGGTCAAGGAAGAGATTTATGTGGTATGAAGCCATCAAGCCAGTAAGTAACAGAAGCTCCATTTGTCAGAATCATCTAGCATTGCACTGGCGTCAGTCAGCAAATGTTGATGTCTGCCGCAGATCTCCTTAGCCATATGAGTTTACTGCATGGTGCAGTAGCAGTTTCTAGTTTGCCAACAGCATCCTCTATCAAACCCCTATCTTTCTTACCCTCTGCCTGAGGGCTTTCTCCAGTATGAGGAAGCACACCCTCCTGCAGGCAGTGTGTATGGGCAACACTTACCACAGGGACGGGAGTTGGTAGATAAATGCTGCAGCCCATGTGGCCTCTAGTGGAATGTTTCTCAGGTGAGTTCCATATGATTTATCAGAGGACTTGAGCTACAGTTGCTCACAGAGGTGATCCACTCATTTACTCACGAATTCATTGGCATCTCTTTCTGGCTCACTTTCCCCACTCACTCAAGTTTGCTTCCCAAGAGAACCTCTCAACCTACCAGAACTCAGTTTTTATGTCCGAATCTGCATCTGGGGCAACACAAACCAAGACACCTTGTTTAAGCCATTTGCAAGTAATTTACCACTTAAATAAACATAATGTAAATATTAAAATACAAAAACATAAAATGGGGTTTTTAAAGGAAATAAACAATTTGGAGATACTCAACTCAACAAAATCATTTGTGTTATATGCATCTGTTTAAATATCATGCTGAGATTTTGCAGAAACTACTTTAGTTTCTATGGGAAGATAAAAAAGAACCGAATTATTGCATTCAGGTCTTTAAAATTCTCTTGCATTTATATTCCAACTCTGGCTTATTAAAGGGGTCTGTGCTCCGTTAACATACACATGCGCTTACTATATAAACAGCTTAACTAGACATCTGCATTGACTGCATATAAGAGGCAGTTAACTTTTTGCCTTGTTTCTGTTCAACGATCTTGATATTTTAGTCTGCTGGCCAGATGAAACAAGATTGGTTTTTGGGTACCAGATGTGTCACAATTTGGGTTTGAATTTTGCAGGTGCTCCCCCCAGCTGGGAAGATGGAAGTTTGCCATCTTTTAGAGATGATGATTTGGGATAGAAGTAAAACTGTGTTAAAAATAATTCAACATATTAATAGAGGGCCTTGTCCCTTGTGGGCTTCTTATGCATAACATATGAGCAGACCAGCAGCTGTTCTATATTTTAAAAGGAGCGTTAGAAAGTTAGAAGCATACATAACTATTCAAAACACAAGCAACCGCTTGAAGTCATGGAAACAAGACTCAACAATAAACTTTTATTTGTGAAGCTTCCCCAAAAATAATAATCCCACTGGGCTGTGTTCAGGTGGCCTTAGGGTACTGAACAATCTTTCCATTTCCATCATTTGAATTCACTAAAGCATCTCCCTTGTAAATGAAGAGTGGTAGAAATTAGTACATGTACTAGATATGGGGATTGGTTTCTAGCTGATTTCTACTCTTCAATACTTATATTTTTAAATTATAATTTAAAAAATACCTATGTATTTTTGCCATTTTCACATGTGCAAGAACCTAAAGCCCCATTGAGGACTGAGTTCTTAATAGTGTCATATCTTGTCTTACTCTCAGCCTCTAAAACAGAAGCTGTTAGGTGATGATGTTCCTTGTACATATTTGCACCTTCGAAATTCACCTAATGAATGTTAACCAGTGTCAAGGAACGGCAATGTTCTTTACCCTTGGCTTTATAATAATCCTTACAGCAGGAAGGACGCTGTATGCTTTTTTGTCCAGCTCCTGGACCAGGGGAGTGTTAGACTCATTCTATCTTCACCACTGTGTTAGGTCGCCCTTGCATTGCTATAAATAAATACCTGAACTGGGTAATTTATAAAGAAAAGAGGATTAATTGGTTCACGATTCTGCAGGCTATACGGGTAATGTGATACCACCGTCTGCTTCTGGTGAAGACCTCCGGAAGCTTACAATCATGGTGGAAAGCGAAGCAGGGAAGTAGGTATATCACATGGCCAGAACAGGAGCAAGGGAAATGAGGAGGAGCCAGACTTCTTTAAATAACCAGCTCTCATGTGAATGTGTTCCTGCAGGGAGGGCACCAAGCCAGTCATGAGGGACCCACCCCATGACCCAAACACTTTCCACCAGGCCCCACCTCCAACATTGGAGGTCACATTGCAACATGAGATTTGGAGGGGAGAAACATCCAAACCGTATCAATCACTATTGCTCTCAAAGCTCCCCATTATTGGTAGAGATCCATCTGGATCTCTACTAATGGCCTCTTTTCTTCTGGAAACTGCTGTCCTCTCAAGTATAGTGAGGTCTACATGACTGGTGTTTGCATTTCAGTTTCCAGAATTCAGGAGTATTTTGGGTAACACAATTACTTCTGCCTGTCTGGAGTTAAAGAGAACAATAAACTACAGTTCAAGAAGGTTATAAGAATCAGGTTGGTGGTATCTATGTTATTTCAATCCGATTGCATGTGAAAGCAGCGATGAAAAAGTCATGCAGCCAGAAAGGCTGGCCCATGATGTGGAATGGACACTGTTCAAGAAGGGGTTTAAAAGGAAAGAGATTGCTTGTTGGTGTTGAAATTTGGAGTATGGCCAATGAAAAGAGCCCTAATCTAAGTCATAAGAACTGCATTCTAGGCATAGCACTCTTGCTCAACAAACTGCGATGTTGTGCAAGTCTTAAAAATAAGAGATTTTTTACAGGATGGTATCTAAGTTCTAGAATCCTATTATTATTAAAAATAAGGGTATGAAATAGGAGATATTTTATATTTGGAGGAGATGGAGATTGCCAGTTGTTAAAGAAACTACTTAAGAGGGAAATTTGGCAGCTGAAGTTAAATTATTCTCTTTTAGAGAGCTTAACAACCAAGAGGTCTTTCCTAACCACTGTAAAAAAATAACTGTGTCCAGTCAGAGAGCATGGAAGTCTCAGAGCCCAGGCCACAGGTATTACAACAGTGAAGTGTTGGAAACATCTACGTCAGTCCTCATTACTGAGGCTCACTGAGTAAAAACATAGGCATTTCCCTGAAAGCATGTTTGGAAGTGTGGGAACTCATGACTGGCCATTTTTTCCACTGGTGAGATAAGGTATAATGACTTCCAGTTTAACATGAGTAATCAGATTGCAATTAGTTTCAGTGGAAAGGAACAAAAACATGCATAAGAGTGAATACTAAAAGTAATTGTTGTTTGAATTGCAATTTAAAAAACATAGTTAAATTGGATTATTTCTTACGTGCTCAGCGTTAATAATGAGACCATAAAGTGAAGATATGTTTTTTTTTGGTGGGCACTATTCATTTTTTTCTTCCACCAATGATAATGCTTTCTAATAGTCGCTGCGTACAAAGAAGACTCAGATGCTTTCAAAGATTTGGCAAATAGAGCTAACTCTTCTTTCAATGGCGCATTCCTGGGAGATATATAGATATATAGATATAGATAATTTTCTTTCCTGAGACAGGGTCTTGCTCTGTTGCCCAGGCTGGAGCGCAGTGGTGTACTCACAGCTCACTGTAACCTCTACCTCCTGAGTTCAAGTAATCCACCCACCTCAGCCTCCCAAGTAGCTAGGACTACAGGAACATGCCACCACACCTCAGTAATATTTGTATGTTTTTGTAGAGATGGGGTTTCGCTATGTTGTCCATGCTGGTCTTGAACTCCTGGCTCAAGTGATCCACCTGCATTGGCTTCCCAAAGGGATAGGATTACAGGTGGGAGCCACCACACCTGGTTTTCAAAGCTGGAGGAAAACCTTGTTTCAATATCCCACTTTTATAGATTAAACCAAGGTACTGAGAAGCTAAGTGACTTCCCCAAGATCTCTTGGCTGGTTATTTTAGAATCAAGACTAAATAGACTCTTGGTTCTTCTATACCATCACACTATTAGACATTGGAAGGAATTACTTTAGAATTTTCTCAATAAATGCTGAGAAAATTATGATAATAAATGACTGTGACAATAAATTATTTCCATAATTTTCATCTATGGGAGCAGGCTTAAATCAGTGATTTTCATGGAGGGAAGGAAAGAATCGTGTGTAGTTTGAAAACAGCAGAATTTTGTCCTACTGCTTTGATTTGTTTTTAGACATGATATTTATTTTCAATTTCAAATTAAGAGAGCATGAGATATTTACGTTTATTGAGGATGATTGCACCTATAAAGGAACTCATGTATTAGCTTCTCAAAGCTTTTTCCAGGTTTTTGCTTCCATGAATTAAAACAATTTTTTTAAACTTGCTATTCTTTTTAGTCAAAGGCCAAACTAAAAATGGGTGAATTTAGGCTGTGAAACTAGTGGATGAATAGTCTAGGAAACAGTTTCTTTTTGACACCCAAGATTGAAAAACAATAATCACAGGTATAAACAGCTTATCAGCTGATGTTCATTAACTGATGAATAAACAAAGTGCGATAGATCTATACAATGGAATATTATTCAGTTGGAAAAAGAAATGAAGTACTGACACATGCTATAACATGGCTAAACCTTGAAAACATGCTGAGTGAAAGAAGCCAGACACAAAAGGCCACATATTATTGTATGATCTTATTTATATAAAACGTCCGGAATAGGCAAATCCATAGAAAGTAGATTGTTGACTCCCAGAGGGGCTTATGGGAAGGGGAAATGGGAGTGACTGTTAACAGGTATGGGGTTTATTTTTGAGTGATGAAATGTTATGGAACTAGATCAGTGGTCCCCAGCCTTTTTGGCACCAGGTTTGGTGGAAGACAATTTTTCCATGGGTGGGGATAGTGGGGGATGAGGGTGGGGAGGGGTGAGGGGATGGTTTGGGGATGAAACTGTTCCACCTCAGACCTCAGATTACCAGGCATCAGATTCTCATAAGGAGCACACAACCTAGATCCCTTGCATGCACAATAGGGTTCATGCTTCTATGAGAATCTAATGCTGGGATGATCTGCCAGAAGGCAGAGCTCAGGTGGTAATGCTCGCCCACCACTCACCTCCTGCTGTGCGGCCCGGTTCCTAACAGGCCATGGACAGGTACCAGTCTGCAGCCCAGTTGTTGGGGGAGTGGTTGGGGGCCCCTGAACTAGATAGTGACGATATTTGCTCAACACTCTGAGTGTACTCCATGCCACTGAACTGTACACTTTAAAATGTCTAAAATGGTAAATTTTATCACAACAGAACAAAGAAATTGCCTCAGTGAAACTTCAGTATCAACCCTCTTCCTTGTGTCTGTAATTTGTGGGTAGGACTAGGCTTTGGGATAAAAGGGCAAACATCTTGTCTGCAGTTAATGGCTTCCGCAGGCCCAGAAAATATATATATATATATATATTTGGAGGTAGAAATTGAGGGCCAGGGCTTAGCATAAACATTTCAGAGATTCCTGTTTCTTCTACAATTCCCTGGGGAGCCATAGACAAGACCGGTTTTCTTGTTTAAGAGGGAAAAATGTGTTGGAAGAAGGTCTTAGGCTTTTTTTCTTTAACTGTTGCTATTCCCAGCTCTCACTTGAGAGCTGTTTTTGTATGTAGGAAAATCACTAGATTGATTAAAAATGGAAACATTTAGATCAAGCTGTAATTTATCTTGACTGTAAGCAACCATGTAGACAGGGTAAGAGGAATGAACTCAACAGTCTTGCTGTGTTGTGGCTGGTTGTTGACTCTGCTTCTGTGCTGTCCCTTGGTCAGATCTGTTCTCTCTCCACTGTTTCTGTGCCCCTTTAACCTTTAAGAGCCCATCCCCTACTCTCACAGAAGGAGTTTGTGTTTTGTTCCTTGGGCTTTTGCTGAACTTTCTTTTTGGCAATTTCTGCACATGAGTCAACTCTTTGAGAGGTATTTGTTTTAGCAGCAAGATTACCTGGTGACAGAGGTTATGCATATATGCTGTGAAACTAGACTTAAGAAAAAGTTGGCTGTTTTGTGGCATGATTTTAACTGTATTTTTGCTTCCTCATCTCCCAGTTTATTTATTAAAAAAAAAACCTAATGGTAGTTCTTGTGCTGGCACCTATAACTGATGTTTATCCCAGATATAAAAATTATATTGGGGGCTACTGACTACACTGAAAAACCTCCAAAGATAGAGTGATCTTCTAAAGGAATATTTATTTTTATTTAAAAATATGATACATCAAAGTAAAGCAGTGACATTTTAAACAAGGAGACGTATAAAATATTCCATAGAATTGGGTAGGAGGGTAATTTGCTTAAGTTCACTGTCACTCTGGATGCCAGGAATAAAAACCATCATCATTTTCTTCCTCTGTGAGCATCAAGTACGAAGATGAGAAATTTTAGTTATAAATTAGTGAAGTGTTAGGATTTAAATTTTACTTAGAAATTAAAACTTCTCCAGTGAAATACCTTTTATCCATTTTGTTCTGCATCTTGTGGAAGTCCTGAATTCAGGGATGTTATTATATTTTCCGAGTTTGCTTCTTCAGGTCAGTTCCAATGTGGTTTAGAAGGAATTTATTTTCTCATATCCTCCCCATAGATTTCTCAATAGTATAATTTTCTAGGGGATATCTGGTTCATTTTGGGAATTCTGGAAAATTTTGCTTACTGTTTTTTACAAAATATTCACAATCTAAAATTTCTGACAAAATTAAAAATACCCTACAGAAACCAGCATATTGTACAGCAATGATTTATTACTATATAATAAACAACCACCTTTAGGCTGGATATGAAAATAAAAACCAACACAAATATGGCAGATCCCCATTTTCTAAAGAAATATATCTTTATTGACCTTTTCCATTTTCTTACAAAGCAGTTAAAAACTCATTCTTACCCTTGCATGCTATTCAATGGTTATGATGGCTGCCTCCTTATGAGACTGTTAGTGGAGCTCTAGTAAGTTTCCTTAAGCACCACAGAAGATCATCATTGCTTGGTCCCACTTTTATAGGAAAGAATCCAAGTTTCACCAGATAGTGTATACTTAGCTCTCTTGAAGAAGACCAGTTTAGTGGATTAATGTCTAATTTACATATAGTAATAAAGACAAACTTTGAATCTTTACATATTAAATGCCCACTTTATACCATGGTGTAATTGTTTGAATTATGGGTGAGTGTACAGTATAGAGATGTAGATGCACTAGATATATCTATAAATAAAATAGTGCTTTAAGGTAACAATATTCTTTGGCTGACTTAAATGCCTGTGGTTGACTCTTAGAAAAGACTAAAATGAAAATGGCCCCACTATTATTGTCAATCTTAACACAGAGCTTGTGCGGAAGGTCCCTATACTGCTGACTGTCAGCATCTCCAGGTCCACGATATGTTCTCTTGGTCCTGATAATGACTTCACGAGCACAAGCATTGCACTTACAGGACTTGTTTGCTAAAATAAAAGAAAATAGAGAAAGGAAGAGAATAATTTTCTTGGATTGGAGTTTCTATGCTTTGTTAGTATACCTCCTATAAGAATTAGGGGGAGAATTTTGAAGGTGGTATAAAAGAGCCACTACTTGGTCCCTTCTTGGTTTCAACTCTTCTTGGCTCTTATCCCTTGTCTAATACAGTCATTAGCTCCAAGTTTCAAGGACTTGCTTTTTTTTTTTTTTAAATAGTTCTTTGTTTTTGATTCCTCCCTCTCTGTTAACATTTTTCTTCACTTTTATTGAGTAGTTGTGGACTTTACAGAGACTAGAGCTTAAGTGAGAATCTGATAATTTCTAAACTTGTAAACAAAGTTGTCACTTTTCATTTTCTCAACATTGTGCATCTGTTTACATTCTAGTAAGTAAAGAGAAATGGAAACAGTTTTTCAACAGAATATGGTAAATGCTAAGATATATGAGGTTATGCAGGGTACGTATGAAGATACATAAAGGTGTATGTATAAAGGGAAGAAAAGGAAGAGCCCTGAAGCACTGAGGGAAAGCTTTTGAATGCCTGATGAGAGTCACCAGGCATAAATGAAAGTTTTGTAAAGTAATATGTTCAGAAGAACTGGGTGCAGTTTCATTTTGATGAATAATATGATGGGCTCTTGTGAGTGGAGGGAGATGAGGTTGGAGAGGCAGGTAAGTGGATGTGTGAGTTTGAATGCCAAGGGATAGAGTCATGGATTAGTATTTAGCAGTCACCTCAATGGGTGGACATTAAACCAAGGGAGAGAATGCTTTGGTTAGGGCTACTTGTTATATACTCATGAGCAGCTTGCAACCCTCTGCTGCAGCAGTCAACATCTTTCTGATCACTTGTTCAATGTCTTGACTACAAGCTCCACGGGGGCAGGAACTGGCTTGGCTTTATTCATTGTTGTGTCTCCAGGATCTTCCACGGTGCATACCTCTTGTAAACAATAGTTGTAGGTAATAATAACACCTTGAAGGTGTTGATTGAATTAATTTATTCATTTAAATTTTATTTTAGCATCTGCTATGTGCCAGGTACCATTCTATGTGCTGAGGATAGAATACTGAACCGACAGGTGTAGTCTCTGCTCTCATTATGCTCATATTCTAGTGGATGACACAGTTCAGTGAATACTAGACTAGGTAGTGATAGGGCTATGAAGAATAATAGTAAGGCTCAGTAAGGGAGCAGAGACACTGGGGCAGTGTGGGGGATGTTGGATATTCAACCTTCAATTTCATGTACTTTCTTTACAATACGTTCTCTTTTCCAGGGAAGATGGTTTTCTCAGTATTTTCTCAAAAGGAATATAAATAAAATTTTATATTCCACATATCCTTTCAAGAATCAGGCTGACTCATGACTATCAAGAAACCTTCTTTGACAGCCCACATTGATTTTTTGATGTATCTGGACCATGGAATTAAGCACAAAATTGCCCCACTTCTATTTTCATAGATGTTAACTTTTTCTACACAATAATATTTAAAGCTCCTTGAAATCAGAAAATGTGCATTACATGTCCTTTTAATTCCTCATGACACCTAGCATAGAGCTGAGCATGTAGTAGGTGCTTAATTAACCGAATTAATTAACCTAACTAACCTGCTGTTGATTTTCATGCGTTTCAATGCCCTCTGCACAAGTAGAATTTTAGTGGAGAAACTCTGTAGGATTTGATCCAAGTACTTTTTGAATTATGTGATAAGAAATAGTCTTGAAATGTCTATTTTTATTATTTTAAATAATTTTCTTTCAAATAATTTAACATTAACTCTGGAAATATCAAAATTGGCAATGTTTTCTATCAGTCATGAGAATAAGGATTTCACTGGAGAAAAACACTGTATTTTGATTTGAAAATATGAAGTCGGTAAGTGCACTGATATGAATAATAAATAACTGTAAAAGTGCCATGTTTAATTGCAAAGAAAAAACATGTTGGAACTTTGTTTCACTCTTTGATTATTCTGCTAGAAAATTTTATTTTCTTACATTATGGCTAAAAGTTCAAAATAGAAAATTATTTTTAAAGATTTTGTTATTTAAAAATAATGTTATTTGTTTAGGCTAGAATTAGTTAATTGGTAGTATCTGAATTGTGTAAAATTCATTCAGTGGAAATTTCTTACAAATATCAAGAATATGTCAAATTTAAAATATCAAATGTTAAAGAACTATAATATATTCTTTTTTATTCAAAAAAATAATTGTAATAGATTGCATTTTGCATTGGGTCTTTCTTTTCAGAAGTTGGTCATGAGAAATTAATCATTTTCTAATATACTGGCAAAGAAATAATATCACATAACTCTGGAGCTATATGGGAAATTAATATATCAAAAAACAGGATAAATGGGTAAACATTAAAAATCTGTAAACTGTACCACAAGGATGAATTTCCCAATTTAATTCATATTCTCAAAATGAAATATTGGCTTTAAAATTTGATTAAAAATAAAGAGTGCCCAAAGGAGTTTTGAGAAAATTGTAACTGGATGAATAACATCATTAGCATGAAACAGTTACCGTAACTCTGCAAACTGCTTGGTAGGGTGCCATCATTTTCACATGAAGTGGTGAGCCGTATTTAAAATATGTCCAAATTTTAACCTAAAATGAACTTGCTGAGATTTTGTAGGGAGACTGGAAGGCTGAGGCTTTGGGGTCAGGGAGACCAGCTCAGAAGCCACTGAAGGGATCATGGAAGTGACGGGAGCCAGTTTATAGGAAGAGAGATAGGGATGTGAGGAAGCAAAGATAACCCAGGAGACAGTGTGAAGAGGGAAATGGCAGAATTCAGAAAGTAGATTTCACACAGGCAATGAAAGATAGGGAGATGACTCCATACTGCCAGCCCAGAAGTTGGCAAGAATGGTACAACTACTGACACATACTGTGCGGGGAGGTGGGGTCACTTCTCACATACTTATAGGTTTTAGTTTCGGTGTGAACACAAACTGTCTTGTGAATGTAACAATGATGAATTCATGATGTCTGAAAAACTCTTTAGGAGCTCCAGGAATTATTTTGGGTTTGAATTATATGTATGTCTATGTATAATTAATTAACCATCAATGATTAGTGATACCTACTTGGGGGGTATGTTGGGTGGGGGCAGAGGCGGGGGGATGGGAGGCTTGTATTTTCGTGGTCACACACAACTCTATCAGAGTCTGCCAAACTTAATATTTGAGTGATTTCAGGGATGCTACTTAATCTTTCTGCATCTCACTTTTCTCCTCTGTAAAAAATGGAGATGAATATTAATATCTATCTGGCAGTGTTACCAAGAGGAATAAATGAAATAATGTAGCTGGAAGGCCTTACACAATGCCTACACATAAGACACTTTAAATGTTTGCTTTCCTTCCACATGTGGATACCACACAACAACAACAACAACAACAACAACAACAAACTCCCATCTTTCTCAATAGTTAAGGCTGCCTTCAGGATACTTACTCGTAGGTAGAACTCTCCATTTTCATTTCCAGATTTAATCCGAAAAGTATTGATGGTGTTGGCATAAATAGTTGTGGCCTGTATCTGGAAGATGTCTGATGGCACAGACCTATCAGATCGGATGCTCATGTATTTGTAGACTATTGACTGGGGCAGTTCTCGGCACATGGCATTTGAGACTGGGCAAACACATCGGCTGCAGAGACAAACAAAAGTATTCAGCAGTTTGGCTTGGTAAGACCAGAAAATCCTCACTTTCAAAAGTTCTGATTTTTCTTACTTCTCTGGTGTTAGAATGTAGGGATCTTGACAAGGATTTCGTGGATAACAACGGAAGCCGCCATGATAATTCCAACACATTTCATCCTCCCGGCATTCATTTGTGGTCTCACACTCATTTATATCTGTAGAGATGTAGGGTCAAAGAGTTTACTAACTAAACTAATGAACTGATCTAATTAAATCATATAACTGGCAGATTCTGTTTGCAAGGAAGGAGGTGTGAGAGCATCTGGACTGTGTTCAACCTGCTTTTAGACACAAGACTGGGTGTTCATTGTATTGAATTCAGGACAGACAGAGCTGAGACATTCTAGGCAGATTAATATGTGTCATTTCATGATATTTTATCAAGCACCTATTGTTCATCTGTTGAATTCAAACCCCAATGTTAACCACTGACTCTGCCTATATAAAAGTTAAACACCAGTTCTTGTCATCAGGGACATTATAATTGAGGGAATGTGTATATGATTACTTAGAAAGTAAAATGGAATTAAGTAAGAGATAGATAAGTATACTGGGGCATGTGGAGCAGAGTTGGGTAATTTTGCCAGGGGGATTAGGGAAGGCTGAAGGAAGGAAGAGGCATCTCAACGTGGCCTTGAAGGGTGGTGGTTAGATGGAGTTTTCATGGCTGGGGCAGGGAAGGCTTTCCAAGCTGAGAAATCAGGAAGCATAAACTATGGAGGGCAGCTTATCATCTCTTTCAGGAACTTGGGAGAAAGGTAAAGGCTAGAAATCTGGTTTCAGTAAGCTGAAGCATGCTGGGAGTGGATTATACTGTCCAGAGGAAGCACAGCACAGGAAGTGAAACTATGAAGTGTTCCACCTCATAGAGCATAGCAATTTTAGGACTGTAAGGAAAAAGAGGAAGTTAAGGAAGAGGCTGTCAGTGCAGGGAGACAACCCAGGAAAAGGCAATGCCAAAGAAGTCAGAGGGAGAGAGAATCCTGGGAAGAAGGGTTGTGTTTACCTCAGGCTGGACAAAGATTGACTTTAAATTTGGGAATCAGAAGCCTCCAGATGACATCTGAGAGAACAGTTTTACTAGAGAGCCATTACATTTATAACAACAACAACAACAACAATAAAAATAAAATTAATATCTACATCTCTATGTCTGTCTCCCTTTACATTTGAATAGTGATTTATATTTTATTCAATGTAAACTTTTTCTGAATCATTCCTTCTCCACAATGAGATATTTTTATTCATGAATTTACTCATTCCATAAGTAATTTACTGAATCCTTGCTGTAAGCCAAGCATGGGCTAGGTGCTGGGATATGATCTCTTTTGAATTCTCATACCCGGTGTTCTTTTTTAAGGGCCTTTATTGCTTTCTGCTTTGCATTATTGCAATCTGCATGTCTAGCTTAACCCTTCTATTAGCTTGTAAACTCCTTGAGGGCAAGGGTTATTGTACCCATCTTTTAATCCTTTCATCACCTAGCATTAATGCAATAGAGCATCTGGCTTTTAAGAAATATTAAATTGAACTAAGTTGCTCTTCACACAAACTGTGTGGAGGTAGGTGAGAAAGATATTTCCACTTGATATGGATGAAAAACAAATAAGGGTTTAGTGGCTCATTCAAGTTCATATACTCTAAATAATTCATGCCTTGACTTTGGAGGAAAAAAAAGTATTTTAGCTTCCAAACTGGCTAAAGTTATCTGGAACTCAAGAACAGACTGGGAAAGCTAGGTAGTCTCCAAGAGACAGTTACAAAAAGTGTCTTCTTGGGCTGGCTATGGCTGAAGAAAGAAAACTTAGATTCTTCAAATGAAATCACAATTGACTTATCCTTTCAGTATTTTCCACTTTTTTGAAGAATAAAGATGCTGTTTAGGTACAGGGAAAACTAATACTTATTTGTTATATGGAGTCCAACAGAAGCAAAAGACAACCTTATAATTTCATTTATTACTTCCATTAATGTAGAGCCTAGCATAATCATCACCTTAATCATTCTGGAAGATTTTTCAGAAATTAATACTCTCAAAATATTTGATGAGTGTGTGTCTATGTGTATGTGTATTCTTTTGTCTCTCTGTCTCTCTCTCCACACACACACACACACACACACACACACACACACAGTTTTCATTTGTATAGGCCTGTGAAATGAGAACAGTTATTTCATCCACAAAATAAGTCTTTTAGAGAAAGTTAAGAATCCAAAACTTTCAATTTCATTTTATTCCTGTGGACAAGGCTCAGAAGGAACGATTTCCGTAGGAGAAAGCAATTGCTTTATACTTTAGAAGAATGCTAAGTCTTTTTCACAAAAAATGTTTTGGCTTAACCAAACATTCTGAAGCTGCATATCTTCAATATATAACATTTAGGAATCCCCCACTTACAATTTTGGTGCATTTTCCACCTTTAATTACAATAGATATAAATGTTTCCACATAGATAGGCTAGGCAGGTCGGATCCCACCGTGCATTAATCTGCTTCTGTCTTTTGCTGAGCATCAAATCAATTTTTGATCAGAAACACATAGATATTTGTTTGAAGGACTCCAGAGAAATTTGTTAAGACATTCCACTAGCTAACATTTTCTTGCATGTAATATGCATGTTGAAAGTCTCAATTAGGGTTCAGTAAGTAAAATCATTGGAATGCAATGTTTTCCCATAATTAACATTTATAAAGTCTCTAGTAACCTGGAAAGGGTTATAAAGATGTTCATTGTGCAATGAACTACATTCTGATTATGCTCATACTCAGTGGTTGGAGTCTAGTCGAAAAATTGTGTGCCTATTATAAAATCCCAGGTAATGGATTTCCTCTAAGTTAATATTTTCCTGTAAAATCATGATATAGACTGAGAATCCCCAGTGTCTCCTTTCCTTGATCTTTCTTTTCTTAACAGGATCTTTATTGTCCTTGTGTGCCTTCACTCCAACTCTGATTAAAAAGGACTCTCTACAGAAGACGTACTACTGGTCACTTACATTGGTAAGTAAATTTCATAAAAACACCTTGACCTGTACAAGCTTTATAGTTTACAAATTATTTTTATGTATGTTATTCCACTAAATTCCCACAACTCCCTTTTCCAAATGAGGAAGCTGAGGCTCAGAGTAGTTTGATAATTTGTTCAAGATTGTGCAGACTGAATACAGTGGAGCTGGGATTCAAACAGGTTTTCTGTCAAGTTTGGTCATTTTTTCATTCTTTTGTTGCTTTGTGTAAATTTAAGTGTTTGTACTAGCTTTTCCAGGATTTTCTACGTTTTTGGTTTTATCTGACAGTCCTTTCCCTGTTAAGAAAATTTTCAACTACATGCAACATTGGAGGTAGGGTCCTTTTTTTTTTTAGATCTTCCTGAGAAACTCTGAAATCATACCATTGTGGGGAGCTGCCTCTTCCACTTACGTATAGGTGTGAAGATCATCTGAATGTTTATTTTGAAACTGGACCCAAGGTCATTAGCTATTTTGGGGCTAGTAGTTTTCTCTAAAATATTCAACTATATTTTACAACATATTAGGCTGACTTTTCTCAGCACCTACATTCTTACGCAATTTATAATCCTTGTGTTTTAGAGGGCTAAGACTGGATGGAGGTATGTTTAACTCACATATTGAGCTTATGCTCTAAACTCAAACTCACAGGTGAAACATTTTAATAACTGAATCTTTTCCAGTGGATGATTTGAAGATGTATCTCAAAGAGATGATGTAGGTTACATAGAATACATATCAATATTTTATTAAAATTATTTATCTTTTAAGGACGAAAAATGTCGGCATTAGCATAGAATCACCTCTTTATGAGATGTATATATTTTATGATGAACAGGGGAAAAAAGAGCTTAAATTGTATATTGAAAGTGGGAAAAATGAAAGTCTATAGGAGAATCCTATAACTTCCTCTTGTCTCTTCCTGGCTAAAACTAAATACCTAACATATGAAAAAAAAAATAAACTTACCTTGACATGTTCTACTTCTCACCACTTGGTATCCCTGGGGGCACATACATGAGAATTTCCCAGGTTCATTGACACATTGATATTGACACAGGTAGCTTGAGGTTCTGCATTCATCAATGTCTGTTGAATTAGACAAGAGAAAGGACACAGAGTTGAAAAGTTTGTGCACCACTACTTTGGATATATATATATATATAAATTATATATATATATAAATTATAAGATTTAAAATATCTATATTAAAATAATTATATATAATTAAAATTATTTATATTTTAAGGAGGAAAAATTATATCTACCTATATATATATAAAGAGATCTGGCTTCTTGTCCTATTCCTGCTACTGTGTGACTTGGGCACATTTCTTAAGTTGCCTGGGTTTCATATATACACACACACACACACACACACACACACACATATATATTTTTTTTGTTCTGCTCAACAGTCCAGAGGAAGTAATACACTTTTGAGGTGAGCTAAAGAGAGTAAAAATATTGCAAATTCTGAAATAGAAATACAAAACTTTATAAGCAGCTAAAAGGCAAATTCTAACAATATCAGCTTATTTCCCTCTATGACTTCATAGCACAAAAAGTTTTTCTTATCATGACTTTTACTGAATCATTGCTGACAATTTGGCTAATCCTGGACCTAACTACACTACTGAATGAATTGGCTTGTGGTTGACGGCCTTCATTTTGGACTCTGCAGACCCATCCAGGATGTAGAGTTCATGTTTGTCTTCTCAGAAATTGGGTGACTTTGAAGCCAAGTTCATTTGAGCTTTGAATGCCAAGTCCCCTAACCTGTGCAAGCTTCCAGAATGACAGCTTGGCAGGATCTGACTTTCAGGGGAAGAATGCTTTGCATTTCTGAATAGTGATGTCCCTACAGTTTACTCAGAAGGGCAGAGGCAGCTGTCCTGAGGTAGCCTCTTTCAGTTTTGAGTGTAATGGCATGATGTGAGGCCTCTCTCGGTGGGGTTTGAGCTTTGTGTAAAGCTGAGTGAACCGTGAGGAGGTCAGGGACATCAAGTGTCTGTGGCATCCCCCTCAGGATGTCTAATGCCTTTTGAATTATATAACGAAATGTGCACATGCAATGGACCCTGAAGGTCATGAATCTAGTTAAATGGCCCTCCTCTTGTTCATGTGGAAAGTGAAACCCAGGCAACTCAAGAAATGTGCCCAAGTCACACAGTAGCAGGAATAGAACCAGAAACCAGATCTCCTGATTTTTATTTTAATGTTTTGACATGCACTTGGCTATTCTGAAACTTAAATGTGCACACCAGTCACCTGCAGTTTTTGTTGAATGTAGATTCAGACTCAGGAGGTCTGGGTTGCAGCCTGAGATTCTGCATTTCTCATAAGCTCCCAGGAGGTGCTGACATACCTGGTCACTGGATAACACACTGAGACGCAACATGCTAGAGCACCCTTTCTAATTATTAGAGCCAGCCTGCACCTAATATTTCAGTTATTTTTATTTCTTTTCCTTTTTCTTGGTAACACACTAAAAAGGCAATGTAACAACTGAACTACATTAACTGGATTTTAGAACAGAATTCCCATGGGTAAGCGTTTGTTTTCATAAATGGGTACATAATCAGATAAAACAACAGCAGTCACAGGAATTGGACTTTATTCCATACTATCTGGGAAGAGTTTTACCTTCACAGTTGAGCCTGTCACTGCTTAGCTCATATCCTTGATTGCACTGACAGATGAATGAACCAAGAATGTTGTAGCACTGCTGAGCACATTGATTGCTGGCATCACATTCATTTATATCTGAAAAAAAGTTTTATATATATATATATGTATATGTATATATATACACACACATATATATATAGACTTTAAACATATCCTTACTCTTTTGTACCTACGTCATCTGCTGACAAGTGAGTAATTCCCTAGCTGAATTATTTGCCCTGCAGAAGCTCACTGGAGAACATCCATTTAGGTTTCATATTTGTTGGAACAACTACAAACGTCTGTCATATACTTCTTTTGGAAATACCGAAATATTTTTTCTAGGAATGACAGTTAGTTTGATGTTTGATGAATCTTTCCAAAGGAATTTAATGCTTCTAATAAATATACACTCCGGTATCGATTTTCTTTTGTTGTTCAGATACAAAATGCCAATTCTATAAATAATTGATATAAGACACTTATACTGATATGGTCTCTCAGCATGCTGTACTGAAGATTTATCTGTGCTATTTATTACTTTTTAAATGGGTTCTGTTAAATTCCATTACAATTATAACATAAGCCTTTGAGACCCATACGGAGTTTTGCAATGCTCTAAAGCACTGAAAATATTGTGAAAAGGCATTTTTCCTACACTAGATTTTTTCCATGTCATGCCAATCTTTTAATTGTGTGCCGTGACATTGCATTCTGAAAGGGGAGAAGAGGCATGTAAAAATCAGATGCACTTTCAGTGGAAAGTTTATATACTTGAACTTGTAGTAACCCCTTTGGCACTTTCAGCATTATATCACACACTGCTGATTGACTGGTGTATGTATATCAATTGATTTGTAGTTTTAAATTTGTTGATCTATCCACAGAGGAGAACTAAAACCAAAGTTAAAAAGTTTTCTGTTCACATCTTGATGTGTTTTAAGACACAGATTGGTTATTATCTTTTAAGCTTTATGATTGCTGAAGGGAAGTCGATGGAAACTATTTACTCAAGAACATAGAAAACTGGAAATACTGCAACATGGCATGGGGTTTCCTTTTGTGAAGACAGAAATCAGCAAGTTCTCAAAAGGCTTACCTACGCAGGTATAGTTGTTTGCTGCCAATTGAAACCCAGGACTGCACTGGCAATAAAATGAGCCTGGTGTATTCACGCATCTTTGGTGGCAATATGGAGGGATGGTACATTCATCTATGTCTAGGTTATCAGGCACACACACAAAGAGAACCAAATTATTGAATTAGCATTCTCTGAAAAGCATTATCTAGAAAACCTATGTAGAGAAAATCTCTTTTTAAAAGTAATAATTTCCTATTTTGTTAAAATTAGGGTATATGTATTTTAAATATACTTTGTATTCTGAGTTAAGAAGTTAAGAACAAAGACTCAATGTTCATGCCATTCAGTGGTAAATAAACTTGGTGGGTGGATTGAGATTTAAAGAAAACAAAATAATTGAGACTATTGCATATATATATAAGATGTCAGTTTGGGGAGCTAAAAGCTTATATATAATTACAGAAGTAAAAAAGAACTACTGAAGTGCATGGTGCAGCACAAAACAAAGAAGAAAGAGTTGT
This sequence comes from Homo sapiens, assembly GCF_000001405.40. Taxonomy (NCBI): domain Eukaryota; kingdom Metazoa; phylum Chordata; class Mammalia; order Primates; family Hominidae; genus Homo; species Homo sapiens. The sequence continues at coordinate 55,878,249 of NC_000002.12, forward strand.
GGGCTGTGCTCAACTGGTGACCTTGGCTAAGTCACTTACGCCTTCAGTATCTTGGTTTTTCTTCTATAAGATGTGGATAGCAAGGCTTGCCATGTGTATCTTAGGACGTTTTTGTGTATCAAATAAAAGAACACTGTGGAAGAATTGGATGCTAAATAAGTTACCTCTTGAGAGTGCTCTTTTGACACTTTGATGAAGTGTTCCAGCCTGTGTCCTTCTCATATAAATATTTTCAACTATAAAATGCTCAACTAAGAACTTGCTAAGTAGGACTAACATCTTAGAAGCATAATAAAATTTCATTAATTCATGATTCTACACTTTGTGACAACTTCAACATGGCATGTGTAATTTAAAACAACCATTATGCATATACAATGTAATGCTATATAGTGACACTGCCTTGTGGTAAAACAAAACAAAACAAAACAAACCTTTATGCTGGGCTCTTTTGGTACTTTAATAACTAAAATTAAGTAGTGTGCTCAAGTGGCCTCAGGATAACCTGAGTCTGAATCTTTGTTCTGGCAATTACTAGCTTGGTCTTAACTTCTCGAGCTTGCATTTCCTCTTCTGTGAGTAGAATTATTGGGAGGGTTACAAGACATAATGTAGGCAAAGTTACTGGCACAAAGCAAGTAAACATAAATGGGAGCTAATAAGCTGCAAGATATATTTGATTTAACTTGAATACTGAAATAAATAGTAAGAAGATATTCACATGGCTTTTCCCCTTACTTTGGTTCAGGTGTCCATTCAAATGTCACCTCCTCAGGGTGGCCACCTTTCCCACCAATATCAAATAGGTTCTTCTGCCCTATCTATTCCCTTACCTTGCTTTAGACTTCTTTGTAGTCCTTAACAGTACTCGACATTGTGTTATGTGTTTATTTGCTTCTTGTGTGTTCCCTCACTATAGTGCATGACATTCTCCCCTTGAGGTGGAGGTAGAGGGTTTTTTGTCTGTTCATTGTTAGATCTGGAATAGGGCCTGGCATAGTAGTAGGTGTTCAATAAACATTATTCGAATAAATCGAAACTTCACACTAATTAAGAGCAATTTTAGCATAGTGCTTCCTAGTCCTCAGTACTATCATCAGGTGCTAGTATTGATAGCTAATTTGTATGAATGGTATTATACTTTCTAATAGCTCCACGAGGGCTATGAATTTGTAAAATTTGTTTACTATTATCCCAGTTCCTAGAACAATGCTTGTTACACAGTAAGCCCTCAATAACTATTTGGTGAATATGTGACGCATGTCTTCTTAACTAATAAACATTCATTGAACCATTCTTATTTGCTGGTACTGTGTTTGGCACCCCAAGTTTATAATGATAATCAGTATACATGTGTTCTGCCTTGTCTGGTATGAAAGACAGGCATGAAACAAATTATTCCATGGAATGAGAAGATCAACAATAGAAAGGAGTGTATGGGACACAGGGAGCACCATGCTACTTGAAGTGTGGCCTGCTGACTGCTGCTGGTTCATGGGCTATTTGGACCAGTCTGCAATGAATAAATACAGAAACTGAGAGTACATGTTTAGAAATAGCAATTTGACATTAGTGCAACATTATTTTTATTGTGCTTTACAGAAGTATTGGTCTGCCGTAGATTGGAAATTTACAAAAAAGTATCCTTCATCATAATTTGAGAAGTACTGGCACAGGGGAGGAGCAACTAATTATATTTGGGTAAATCATAGCAGGCTTCCCAGAGGAAGTGATCCTAAGCTAGGATTTGACAGTGAAATAAGAATTTGCCAGGAGGGAATGTTTTTGTTGTGTAAAGAGCTTGTATAGAGGCACCAAAGTGTAAGTAACACTGTGTGACGTGTGTGGGGAACTGGTGGAATAAAGCTGGGGTGTAATATTTTGTGGTGGGGGAGAGGTGTTTATGCAACAGAACTGGACAATGATCAGATTGAGCAAGACCTTTCATGCTCTGTCGAGGAATGTAGACTTGATTCTCTCAGTGAGGGAAGCAGGAGGGGAAGACACATGATTAGATCTGAGTTTAGGAATATTTCCTCCTACCACATTAAAAGGGCTGTGACCGTATGTTCCATTATCTTTGATTCACCCCACACTAAGTTGGATTAGTTCTTTTTTCTGTACTTTTTATGCCCTCAAATATTTATTTTCCTGTCTAATACAATGGCCAAACTTTGTTATCTCTGGAGTTTTCTACACACTCTTCTTTTAAATCACAGCTTCATTTATAGCAAACCCTGGGCCTTCCTCAGAGGCTGGGCACTAACCCCAGCATCTAGGCACAGCCCTATGGCAGACAGAACTGGGCTGGGGCCCACATGGAACTCAGTGTTGACATGTGAACATCAACAGCTCACATTCTCAGGCGAAAACTGACGCTGGTTGTCTGTCCCCACATCCTCACCCTCTGTTCCTAAGAGGAAATAAGGCTTTTTCACTGATCTGTGGTAAGAAGGGGTATGTAAATAAATGGACAGTCAGAGTTTCATGCCTAGTGCTGGGCCTCATGATTGAGCCCAGAGTACTGTATTTTACTTCACTATCTGCCAGTTGGCTTCCTCATACTTTGATCTTCCATTCACTCAAAACACACGCATAGAGCCTCCATCACATGGTGGGCACACTTCAGGGACTGGGGAGACCACAGTGACACAAGATGACCTGGTCTTGCTGTCAGGGAGCTCACGCTCTTAGGCCCTCCAGCAGAGGCACGTGCTGAACTTGGCTTTGTACTCATGGTACCCTACAAAGGCTTGCAGTATAAAGAGCCTTTAATACCCATCTGTTGACTCAGAATACAACGATAGCAAACAGCTTTACTGCACAGGGACAGGCACTATTCTAAGCATTCCCTACATGAGCTCTGGAGGTAGGGCCTAGTATCATCTCCACAGTACAAGTGAACATAGTGAGACACAGGATTTAAGTAACTTGCTCAAGGTCTCAAAGCGAGCTGGGGTTGGTGCTTGGAATGCAACTCCACCATTTGCTCTATGTGCTGTGCTATGCTATGCTCTGCAGCAGTGAATGGTGAATGAAGCCCACAGTACCAGTGTGTTAGCGCGATGGCCCCCAAAACAGCAAATTTAAATTTTTTTGTGGTTGTTTTTATTGTCCCATTCATACCCCAAATTTCTGCTCTTGCTTCGTCTAACATTTAACCAACACTTTGTTATCCAGAATAGCTCAACCTTTAAGGTTGTTTCTTGTTATTGTGGAAAATGGATTGGTAGTCTATAAAAAAATAAGGAATTATTGGCTACCACTCTCCAAAGAAACATGAATGCTTTGATTGGAATGCTTGAGGTTGAAACAGTTAAGGTACTCAAGACAGGACCGTGCTCACTGCACTGTGGTACTTACCTACGCACTGCTCCCCTCGCTTCTGATATCCAGGAGGGCACTGACATGCAAAGGATCCCCGTAAATTGATGCACACTTGGTCTGCTCTACAGTTGTGCGTCCCTGCAGTGCACTCGTCTATGTCTGTCAGAGACATGCAACACAGAAAGAATTGTCAGTTGTGAAGATGTTGATATTTCCTCCATTTTGCCACTTCTTAAGCTAAATTTTTACTTTATTCTTAAAAGTTTATAATGTTCTTGCATTGGAAATGTTTAAAATTATAAATTATTTCAAGTGTTCAGAAAATAATTTTGCAAATACCAGTGAGTACTGCTCAGATTTAACAAATGCTAACATTTTGTCATGTTGGTCTTGGCTCATTTTGTTTTGTTAAGAAACATTTCAGATACAGCTAAAGCCTCACACCATCCTCATCCCTTGACCCATCAGCTACCACTGTCTCGGTAGGAATGAATCCTTCCCTGAGATGTTTTTGTACTTTTGTTAGACAGGGATGCATCCATTAGAACATATGGTATTGTTTTGTATGTTAAAAATTTTAATAGATTGTATGATACTTGCTTTTCCATCCAATATATTGTATTTGAGATAATTTCCATTGACAAATTTCTAAAAATCTAACCAATAACTGGGTGTAATCAACCTTTAATATTATACGTTCCCTGTAGCTGTTTGTTTTTGCAAACAGCAGGGCAACATGTATGTATAAATCTTTCATTGCAAATTTCAGAATGCAAAGGATTCAATTTGATCATATTCCTCTAGCCTGTGTAGTTTAAAAATCCATATTTTCTCAAAGCAGTGTACTTCTTGGAATAATTTACTAAATGTGCCTTAATGAGTATGCAGGTTACAGTTCTAGAAAAGTAAAAAATGCTCAGTGATAGCATAATGAACTAGTTATAAGAAATTTCTTTCAGATCAAAAGGTGATATAAATTTGTGTGTGTACATTCATATTTACAGTAATTTATAAGTAAAATCTAATTTTGCCTTATCTGTATCACTTTTATATTCATTCGGCTCTCCTATATCATGAAGTTAAGTAGTACACAAAAAAGGATCATATAATTTCATCATTCTTCAACAACCACTCTAAGCTTCATTAACAATATCATAAAACTTGTGATTCCTAGATGACAATTTTTGTATAAAAACCAAAATACTACCCTGGGTCTACCACAGTGATGATTTAAGACCCCTGAGGCAGATTTCAGAGGTCTTAGATCATCACTGTGGCAGACTCATGGTAGTATGTTGGAAGAAAAAGTAGGGAAAGAATCAATAATAAAAAATTCACCCAATTTCTGTCTTCCCTCTAAGAATCTCTGAGAGTAGACCCTGAGGTTGGTTTGCCTTTCACTTTTCTGTATTTTCAAGGAGGACTGCGCATTTACACTATGCAGTATAATAATATATGAAGTTGAGATTGTAAAAGGGTTGTCCTCAGAAATCAGCTTCACTTAGCTGGGTGTGGAAATGATAAGAGAGATTCTTTCGATAAGAAAGAGGGAGGGGAGATGAAAAATACTTGAGTGATGTATGGCTATTTATTGGATAATAATCTATAAAGCATCCACTTACGTAATTCTTTGAACTTGGTTTTAAAGTTTTGGCTAAGGTTTTTGTTATTTTGTTTTGTTTTGAAATTTATTATAATTACTACTAGTATTATTTTCAAGTCAGTGATTACAAACTGTCCTTTTTAGGTACTATGCGATGGTGCAACAATCCTGCTTTGAAATTATCTGCTGTTTTTTGTGTCTTTTATTATTTTCTCAGATGCACTTGATGAAAACCTTTTTACTGGGGTTTCTTCAGAGCTTTATGACTCGTTAATGCAGAAATGACAGCAGAGTATCTATTGTTTTATGTCAAGAACATTTGCCAGCATTTGCAGTGATAACAGTCCTGAGAGATACGGCAATGTTAGATTCAGATGTGGCAAGTTTCCTCTGGCAGCAGATCAAGGCCCTGGGCTGGCTGCTGCATTTTCTAAGGGAGGCCTCAGCAGTGACTGAGGCTTTTCTTTTTGACATCTATCTGCAAACTGCCTCCACCCCGCTGCATTCCTACAACTGATGCCCTATGACTTCCTTCCTACTTTCTTGTTGCTCATTTCTTAGTGTCTGATAAATAGGCTAACATTTCCAGTGGAATTAATGTATCATTAAGTAGATTTTAAACACAAAAACCTGTGCTACTCCTTCTTAAGAATGAGGTCTGTTTACCTTCTGAGTGGGTTATTTAATAAAAATATTAGGTGAGTTAAATTAATAAAAACAAACAACAACAAAAAACAAATACCACTGTGCTCACTGCCACTACTTTCCTTCCCTTTCTCCACCAACACCCAAACAAAGCTGCAACAAGACTTGCCTCACCTAGGACTGACTGGTGATTACACATTTTACTTACTGGGACTCATAAAATTGTCAAAAAAGTGACCTCTGTGACCAGGAGGCAGCTACTAACTACATTTCCATTTATGGCTTCTCTGGCTGTGGTTTAGAATATTTATCCTCTCCTTTGCTGTTGGTGGTTTATCTAATGCTAAAGGCTATAAACAGACTGAATTTCTTTGACCTATTTTCAATTACGTTAATGTCAATTTATTAGTTTATTTAAATAACACAATATTATTTTGAAAATTATACTTTGAGATCCTGGAATTACTTATTTACACATCTATGCAAAGTCATATAAAATTATTATACATTGTTAAATTCCGTTATGTTTGGCTTTTCTACTTCTATGCATTTCCATTTGTCATAAATACCAGAAAGCTCACTATGATACAAAATTTACTAAAATGGACAATGATGTCAGAAACTCAAAGCAGAATACCCATCCCTGTGCAGATGCTCTGGAAAAGGTGGCTCTCCCAGGAGTGTTGATGACAGTCCACTGCCCTCTACTTGCTCCTGACTTCCCATAGTGCAAACACAGCCTTTTGTAGGTATCTCCATGGTGTGTAAGAAAAATCTGTTTCCTACATTTGTATGGGAGAATATCTGCATTAGCAAAAGCAATGCTTTATTTATAAGGGAAACTACTCAGGTCAGCCATGATTTTCCTGATAATCTAGGACAAATTACTATGGGGAGAAATTTTTTGTTGTTTTTGCATGATTATAATTTATCCTTGACAGTTAAGCTCACTTGGTTTTTCAGGCAGTCAGTTAATAAATTTCCTGGGACCTGGACCCAAGCTCTTTGGGTGGGGATGGGGGATCTATGTCTTATTTTCCCCCCTGTATTCCCAGTGCCTAGGATAGTGCATGAAACATGGTGGATTTTCAATAAATATTTGTGCAATAAATGGATAAATGAGTTATTACCATTTGCTGAGAATTGGTACCTAAAGTTTCAGGAAAAGTAGGATCAGTGTTTTACCTAATGGAGCTAAAAATGTATGAAGCAGAGTAACAAGGTATATCTGAGAAACACAGCAAAATCAGTAAGATGTTAGTAAAAGAAAAATGATGTTGAGCAAGTGAGTCCAGGAGTGCAGAGGCTATGAGGTATAAAGCAGATTCGCCAGAAGAGGTGGGTTCTCCACTGCATTTTGAAGAAGACGAGATACATGGGTTGCCAGGAAAAGGAAGCTGTTTCTAGGCAGAAAGCAGCTCACATTAGAAAATGCTGATAAGACAAAACTGGTTTCCATGAGAAGAATGGCAGACAGATGGCGTCAGCACAGCTGCCGGGGCTCTGTGTGAGGAGCCTGGTGCAGTGCCTGGTTGAAGAGGATCATGAAATGCTAGATCTGTCGTGAACAAAATTCAAGGCCTTAAAGGCAGGATTAGAGAGTCTGGATTGAACAACATAAGGAGTCTCTCTGAACTATGTAGACAGAGCCTAATGTTAACATTACCAAAGAACAAAATAATAGATTGTGCTTCCTAAAATACCATAACACATTTCGTCATTCTAATACATTAACAATAGCTAATGGCAATATTTGGTGATTCCCTCATTTTTCAAAAATGTGCCCACGTGCTCCCTCCTAGTGATTTATACTATTGTAGGTCCCTCTCTTGCTGACTTTGGCACCGTTAGTTGCTTTAAATAACACAGGCTAATCTTTGCTCAGCTCTTCTAGCCTCTTTATCACACCGACCCCCACGTCTAGGGAACCGCACATTTGATTTTCTCTCAAAGTTAATGGAGACAACTTTGTCCACATCTCTGTGGTGTCCATTAAGTCCCTGCTTAGGCCCTCATTCTCTATGTTTTTGGCTCCTTCCCTTCAGTCTGACTCATATTTCCCAAACCCCTGACTCATGCTGCTTTCTCTCTCTTATGCAACATTTTAATCTCTGCAATGTTCTTTCCATAATTTGATAACTTACCACAACATGGAGTCCCTTTAGCATGTTTTCATGGGCAAAAATTATCTGCACCTTGAATGGTGTTGAGTACCATTTAGACTTTTATAATTTGTGCTGCTTTTGGTTTAAGAAATAATTTAGAACTACTTTTGAATAAGCCACTGTAGACTAGTGATGAGAATGCACTAGTAATAGGACAAAGAAGACTGAAATTATTTTGAATCTGTCACTCCCTGTGTGATCTAGGGTCATGGTATCAATTTTTTCTCTTTGTTTCTCCATCTCTGAAATAGAGAGTCTATCCTCAACAATAACACACAGATTTTTAAAAGTATTCAGATTCTTCACAATATACTTTTTTTGTTTCCAGACTGTAAACCCCTGGAGTAAAATAACCGTATCTTTACTAGTTCTGTGTGGGGCACTGTGCATGCTTTGCAAATATTATTTAATGGTGCTATCCTGTGAACTCTTGTGGTTAAAGAAAAGATAGTGGTTAAATTCAAGTTGGTGATACTTCTTGATCTGTGTGGATTTAAAACCTTATTATACCTAGCTTCCTCAATCAAACTGATTTAATCTCATAAATGGAGTAAAGTAGAAAAATGGTCAAGGTAAAGGATTCATGTTTGTTAGAAGGAAGAGCTTCTTTACCATTGGCCTCCTTCCTCCCAACATTCTTAATGATTTAGATACCCACCTGCTCAAAATGATTGCTCCCAATCCTTTCTAGAGACAGGGTGATAAACTAGTTCCTACCAAAGTACTCTTTTTACTTACTCTCTGAAACTTTTTAAATAAAAGGGACTCACTGAGTGAAGGTCTTAGAGGTATTTGGAGTATTTTGTTTTTCAATATAATCCTGGAAGGTAAGAATTACTTCAGCAAGACCTGAGGGCACTGAAGTTTACTACTGTTTTACTCATCCAGTATTTGCTATTGATAATGATAACCTGAGTAATTAATATAATAAATTATGTAGATTGAAATCTGATTTAGAAAAAAGTATATAATATTTTATACAGATTCATATACAAACTTGGTAACATTCTAAAATTAATTGGTATAAAAATAGGTAAATTCTTAGCAATATAAAAAGATCTATTATTTGATTGGGAAGGCAGAATTACAAAGCTTCTTATTTAATCCTAATAGCCCTGTGGAAGAGGTAGTTACTTCATCCACAGTTTACAGATGAAGAAAAAAAAGGATGTCACTGAAATGTAGACTCAGTTGAGGGAACTTGCCCAGGGTCACACAGAGCAGAGATTCAAACACCAGATTTCCATTTTGTTTCTGCAATTTAGGTCCTGAGGAAGACTTATTTCCTATGAGTTCTGGAGAGTAGTTTTAAGTGAATTTATAGGTGTTTTTAATTTTTTTTAGCCTTAAAGATAGGGTTGTTAATGTCACAGCACCTTGATTCCTCCCTTGCGTCTTTCTTCTACTTAGAATAACATTCATAGCTCTCCAAGTTTTCTGTTTCCCTCCCCAGTTTTTAGCCAATTATCAACATTTTTTTGTCAAAGACTTTCTAGTTCCCTTGCTGTTTCTTTCATAGTACTGGAATCAGATTTATCTGGGCCAAATGCCCAGTTCTAGTTAGCTTTTCACCCTTCTGAAATTATCAGCTAGAATTCACTCAAGCTAAGCAGTTCTAGTGGAGAAAATAAATACTAATATTAAGTAACAAGAGAGAACTGTCTTAATCGATGGCCAGCAGTAGATTTATAGTTCTAGATTCTTATCAGTTCTGGCAAAACAGATTGTTAATAATTTGGTGTGCTTTAAATGATAAACAAAAATATCACCAAAATCAACAAATTATCAGCCTCCCTGATAGTTCATTTCTTTGTTTTAGAGAGTGGCGAAATCAAGTGTCCTAGAAGCCCTTGGCATTGCATTGTGTTCTATCAGAACTTTACAATATGCTGTTCTCATAGGAAAAAAATCATGCTACTTCGAATTGCTTTTCTAGCAATGATGACGGATTTGCATTGCAAATGGACCCCCCTCACGTAGCTTCCTCTGTGGACAACAGTGTTCATTTGCCAGATGATTGGATGAGGTTAGGCATACAGTTCATGAACATGGGGAAGAAAACCAACTAATGCATGTGAACGACCAATCTGTGACTCATCTGTACTACACATAAACCAGATGAACCAATGGGTCATAGGCTGAAACAGAGGAAGAGCAAAGAAACAAAGGCTTTACTTCTCATTCTTCAGCTGTTTTTGCCCACTGGCAACATGAAGCTTATGCTTTCAGAATCTCAAGGAAACAACATTGTCTACTGTTAAATGATTGTTAATTGTTAGGAGTATTTTCTGGCATCTTTGTGAGTATGTCATACCCAGCTAAACTCTTTTTTTTTCCTTCTTAAACTTTTTTTTTTTTTTTTTTTTTGAGATGGAGTCTTGCACTGTTGCCTGGGCTAGCATTTAGTGGTGCAATCTTGGCTCACTGAAACCTCCACCTCCCAGATTCCAGCGATTCTCCTGACTCAGCCTCCTGAGTAGCTGGGATTACAGGCGCCCACCACCATGCCTGGCTAATTTTTTGTATTTTTAGTAGAGGCAGGGTTTCACTATGTTGGCCAGGCTGGTCTCAAACGCCTGACCTTGTGATTCACCCACCTTGGCCTCCCAAAGTGCTGGGATTACAGGCCTTCTTAAACTTAATTATTAATTTAGAAAATGTTTGGGAAAAGAAAACCCTGATATTTGGGATATTAACAACCATTCATCAGTCTGCTACCTTGTGGAGGTAAACCTGTATTTTGAAACAAACAGCAACATCAGTCTTTGCTCCAGAGTGGCTCAGTACTAGAAATTAAAGACCCTTTGTGTGAAGGTTTAAGCCCATGCCACACAGGCTGGAGACCTGCTTCAAAGTGGATGGCCTTGGGAGGAATTAAGATCCCGCCCTATTATGGGATGCCTCTGCACTGACATTTCAATTGTGTTTTCCTGGTTCCCGGCCACTTGATCTCTCCTCTCCTCTATCTCCCACTTCCCCGGCTCCGGCTCAAACACTGGTGAGTGATGAACTGAATGGAGACTGACTACATTCAACTGAGTCTACCAAGCCCTGCCTGAGCACTGTGATTTGATTCTTGGCCTCCCTCCCTGAGGCCTTGCAGCCAGATTAGTCAAGTCTCTGGAGCCCAAAGCACACACATTCCTGGCTTATTCCTTCAGGCAAATCATCACTTGAGGTCGCATAAGCCCCTGACTATGGCAGTGCCAATTATAACAAGCATGGCTTGCTGACCTCCTAATTGTATGAAACCAATTACATTATGCTTGTTGTTCATTCAACAATAAGCAGCTTTTGTGCCCACTAAATTGAGGCATACTACTAAATTTGGTGAGTGTAACTTGGCAATACTTCTCCAACTCATTAACTGCCTAAAGCTTTTTCAATAAAGAATACCTTTGTGCCTCTTGCCTTCAGAGAATGTTACTTTCTTGTGTGTATTTTCCTGCCCATTTCATTATATCTTACTTATGATCTTTCTGCGCAATGTTTCTCCATATGCCTCAGGGCCCTTATTTGCACTAAATTCTTTTTTCTGTTCTCTTTTTGATTCAAAATTCCAGCACAATAAAAAGAATAAAGATGTGGATAAATCTAAATAAGTACTGACTGCCTAAAACAATAATAGTAAAGTATTTTGGGATTTATAAAATATTTAGAATTAAAATACATGAGAATAATAGCATATATAGTTTGGCAGGAAGAGGAATAGAGTTTAAATATTTTAAGGTCCTTGAATCACGCAGGAAGAGTTAAAAGTACTAATTGATCTTAAATTTTGATAAGTCATGGATGCATGTTCAAATGATCTGTAGGAAAAACAATAAAGGAATGGTAAAAAAAAAAAATAAAACTACAAAGCTAATAGAGGGGAAAATAGAATAATACAAAATACTCCATCAATTTAGGAAGAAGGTAAGAAAACAAAAGGAAACTAAAATGTGCAGGACAAATGAAAAGCAAATAGAATGGTAGGTAGTTTTAAACCTAAACATATCAGTGGTTATAGTAAATGTAAATGGACTAAATGCACTCACTAAAAACCAAAAATTGTCAAATTGATTAAAAAACAAAACCCAAATATACTGTTTCAAGAGACATAATTTAAATACAAGGACACAGAGATTAAAATAAAAAAGATGGAAAATATTTATGCAAACACTAACCAAAACAAAGTTGGCTATGCAATATTAGTATTAGAAGAGGTTGACTTTATGGAAAAAAAAGATTATTAGAGAATTAAAAAAATACTACATAATGATAAAAGTTTCAGTTTACCAGGAATATGTAGAAATTCTAAATTTAAATGCACTTAATCATATAGGCTCAGTATAGACAAATAAAAAAATGAATGAAACTAAAAGGAAAAATTGACAAGCACAGTTACAGTAAGATTTTAACACACTTCTCCTGGTAATTGAAAGAATAAATACATGTTTTCAGAAATGAATAGAAAATGTGATTAAAACCTTTGAACTAATTGACATGTATAGAGCACAGTACAGAATACATAGCCTTTTTAAATACTGAGGGAACATTAAAAGAAAATGGCTATATGCTGGCATTAAAGTAAGTCTAAATAAATTTCAAAAATTTGCAATATACAGATTATGTTCTCCAACTACAATGCAAATAAGATAGAAACAACAACAACAACAAAACTAGAAAAAGCCCTTCTTTTGGAAAATTAGACATACTTCACAACAACCCATGGTTTAAAGATAGCTAAATTGAAATTTGAGAAATCTCAAACTGAATGAAAATGAAAATATTACAGATCAAAATTTATGGAAAAAAATGCCAGCCCATAAGAAGGCCCATAGCCCTACCCTACCTCCTCATATCATCCTTATCTTTTTCTTTGTACTCAATTTACAAGAGAAGAAAACATAGATGAGATCTATATCTGAGATCATCTTCAGGGTTATGAAAGGGAGCTTAGGGAAGGAGGAAAAGATCTTTTTATTTTAACTTTTATTTTAGGTTTGGGGGTACATGTGCAGGTTTGTTATATAGGTAAATTTGTGTCACTGGGGGTTGTTGTACAGATTATTTTGTCAGTCAGGTGCTAACCCTAGTACTCAATAGTTATTTTTTCTGCTCTTCTCCCTGGGAAGAGGAAAAGATCTTGACCATGTATTTCCAAAAAGCAGAAATAGAATAAATGGCTAGAAATGCAAGAAAGGCAGATTTTCGCTCAGTGTAAGAGAAAATGTGGTTATTATTTGTTTTGATGTATTAGGAGATAATGAGTTTCCTATCACTGGAAATACACAAACGATTCAATGTGGATCCCAGCAGGAGGTGGGGGATTTGACTAGTCATCTGTGTTTAAAAACAGTGTTAACATGCTACATGCAAATATGACAGAGTTTTAATAATTTTTGAATCTGAACGGTGGGTGTTCCTTGTTAATTGTACTGTACAGTCAACTTTTCTCTAAGCTTGACAATGTTGATGATTAAAAATTGAAAAACAGATGCTGCATCCACTCTAATATAGAAAATTGTGAGGATTCAACAACATTGAATATCTATACTTTCTCTCATTTGACACATGGTGCACATACGTATAGCTTTGTATAGCTGTGAAGTTAACTTTTATACCTTTACAATCTATCTCCCAACATCTGAAATACTTGCCTCATGATGAAGTGTAGCAAGAAAAGGTTTCATTGTAAGTGGTTATTTATTCCTTCTCTCTTCCTTGAGCAGGAAAACAGTTACGAAATTTTAGACTCATTATTTCTTGTCCTGTATTAAGGATTTTTCAGGAAGGAAGACTCAGTCTTCATCATGTTAAGGCATAAGATTATTCCGTGATCAAAATGTTAAACTTGTGCCCAAATCCTTCAGATAACATTAAATCAAGTGAGATCTGACTTCCTGGTTTTGTTCCAAATTGATACCATAGTTACCATTTCCTCCAAGTTATCCATAAATTATCATGCATTCTTGGACTTAATTTGTTGATAAATTATGATGACATAGGCTGTGGGATTTTCCTCCCTCTATGTTAAAACACTTTCAGTGTTGTGAAGCAACAGCATTCAAATAACTCCTGAATATTAGCTCAAGGAGTGCCTAAAGGCCATAAGGGACAAAAGAAAATCTGTTCAAAAAAACTTCTGACCCTGTGAGTGTTGCAATTCTAAAGGCTTCTCAAAGCTAGCATATAAAATAGTCTTTGGACTTTAAAATGAGTCTGGGGCATTTTACTTTACATTTCCATTGGGGACAGAAATAAGTTTCTCAGAAAATACATTCTCTGAGATCTGTTTCATTTTTATGAATCTGACATTAAAGCCTACTTTGATAAATTCCAAAATGCTGTTTTTAAAAGTATTTGTTTTCTAGCTCTAATCTCTTCTCCCCTCTCTAACTTGGATCTTGGGAAACCTGAGTAACATGCTTTTGCTTTCTTGGGGCCATGGTCATGGATCTCCATTTCTTCTTGCGTCCTTTTTCAATTTTCAGTGGTGACTTCTCTGTCCCTCTAATCTGTAGGATCAAAGGAGAGTCTGAAAATGGACTCATCTTTCTGGATAGGATTAAATGGCTCTGTTAGAAGAGTGGGATGAATAGAAAGTTCTCTTCAATGTTTAAATACACTACTGTGTTCCTATAAAGTTACATACTTGTCAAGAATTTAGAGTAGCTTAATGTCTGTTTGGCAGTGCAAATTCTGAAAAAGAAAATCTGGTGGAGAAACATGCCCTATACATGGTTTGTGTGTCTGCAGAGTACAAAGGCAGGTAGACCCAAGCCAGTTATGCAGTTGATGTGTTAAAGGTTGATGCCAAACTAAGTCAATCTTAAAGAGAATTTCTTGGCATGAATAAACGGATGAAAAAAACCAAACTCTACGTTCTTAGATCTGTTATATATACTTAAAATGGTTACTGTATGGAGCACATCCACGGAGTCTATCATATTCCAAGTTTTCATTTTGAAAGAAAATGGAAAAATTGAGCAATTCAGATTGTTAATTTTAAAATTAGCCTAGGATTATTTTTTCCCCTAGAAATGTAATAATTTGTTTATAGAAACTTTTAAGTGAAAACCTTTGGCTTCAGGCACATATGTGGTTAATGTGGATGACTGTGAGGCTGCCAGATAGGTGTAAGGGGGTACCCTGTCAGTGACCTTCAATTACGAATCTCTTTTCATGAGTTTCAGAATTAGAGGAATCATACTATTCTCTAACAGCTAGTATTTTTAAGTTCTAAGTTATTTTATTTGAGATTGTATCTTTCTGTAGTTGCTTATGCTAGCTTTTTTTTACTAGCCTTATTATACCAAGAATTAATGTTTATATATAATTTATTATACCAAGAATTAGGAGTTCAGGGGAGGACTTGTTGATCTTTTTAGAAAGTCTGAGAATCACAGAATAACTCTTTCTCTTAAACAACTCACTGACAGAAATATGCTTGAGACAGAAGGGTGGGTAAGATCACAGGTTTTAGAGTCAAATAGGTCTCAGTTCAAATCCAAGCAACATCACGTTTTAGTTATGTGTCCTGGGAAAGTTATTTGACTTTTCTACTCTTCCAAATCTCACTGCCACATCTATGAAGTCGGGGAATGTTCAGTTCAAAATGATACTGTGAGGACAATTAAAACAATACACACTCAAAATGGAGGTACCTGGTCCACAGTAAGTGCTCAATAAATTATACTTAACAGTGTGAAGACTTAAATTGGTAGTGGGATCAGGGTGGTACTTCAGCTATATACAGATGGAAGGAAGCAAGAACACTGCAGGAAGTTGGGGTTTTTAATGTAATTTTCTATATACTTTCACATTATTAAATATCCTACCTTTGTTTTGTTGCTTAGTGTCATGTTTTCAATATGGTCTTTATGACTAACACCCAATCAACAGGAGCATCTATGGTATGACCTTCCCCTCCTTTGGCATATTCCAGATGAATGGATACAAGAACAGGCAAACACAGCCTTTCTTGCTAAAAGTTATTTCTCATTAGGAAAATTGAAAACATTCAAACAAAACAAAATCTGTCAAAACAAAACAAATCTAGTATCTTCTGCATTTCATAATATTTGATTCCATAAAATCAGTCCTATCAGAGGAAAGGACTGTTGATGGCTACAGAATCGCTTCATGGCAATGAAGTATTAATATTTATAAAGACTACCTAGCACACATAACATTAACTAGAGCTCTAATTAGAACCTACATGTAATTCTGAGAGAGAACTATTGTGTGAACAAGTTCTAGCTATGAAAAAGATATGAAAAATGTAAATTTCAGCAGCAACTTTTATTTATTTATTTTTTTGAGAATGTTAAGGACATTGTGGTCACCATCTTTCAAGACAGTAATAAAATTATCGATCAGAACTATGAAAAAACAGGGAATATTTTCAAATGTCATAGAGTTAAATGCATATAAAGCCAGGACAAGGATTTCTGGTCATTTGTTCTTAATAACAAAGCTTAGAGTTAGACTTTAAGATGAAAATGTTGTATGCCTGACTTTTCAAATAAGCAGGTTGGCAGAGTCTTCACTAAGCAGCATGGTGATCTACACCACTTGTATTTAATGAAACATTCATTCAGTCATATCAGATAGGAGAGTTTAATTTTGGGCCAATATTTGTTTTTTTAAATGTTGTGCTAGTAATATAGTAAAACCATGGCATATTAGAAAAGTATTCTTTTGGAAAGTTAATTATAGTTTCTTTGAATACAAAATGACCTTCTTCAAATGCCTTCATTATAGCTGAAGGTAAATGATATGTACATACGTGACTGTTTCTTGTTACTCTTGTAAGAGAGAGTATTAACAAATAGGAAAAATGAAAGAACTTAAGGCCCAAGGAAAAGCACCATGCTTATGGTAATAGGGTGATGAATCACGTGGCTAGGCTGACTCCTTCTCTGTTGTCATCCTAGCCTATCAATCATCATCCTACATTTCTGACCCCTTCCTACTTAAATACTGAATTTTGCATTTGCCCCTGAGACCATTCTTCCAACTTGAGAACTCTGACTGCTGCCACCTCTGAAATGGTGTGAGGACTGCCTTCTATTGGTCTGTGGGCCCTGGACACTGCTTCTTGGGCAGCTTCCCTGGCCCAGTGCTGAGGCTCTCTAGTGCACTCCTTGCAGGATTGGCAGGGCTGTCCCTGCCATCTTCACCTTTCTAGTGATGCTGGGCTGCTGCCAGGCTCCCAGGGCTCCAAGACCTGCCTGTGACTGTGCACACAGGTGTTAACAAAATGCAGATGGTCCTGTATGATTGGTCTGAATCTTCACTGCCACATAACAGATGGTTCCATACATAAAATTGTCTTTTCCTTGGGCTCCATCTCATCAGTGCCATCTTACATGGCCCTCTGCATCAGCCTGGCCACCTACTGCCACGTGCAACACATTCTTGCCACTTGTCTGCCTTTGTCCGTAAGCCTCCCTCTAAATTCCCTATCTTACCAGTAAAGACTCCCCTTGGGGGTCCAGCTCAACTCCAGGTCACCACAGAAAGTAGCTTGTTCAGGTGACCTTTAGGACAGCTGTGTCCACAAATTATCTTTTTTTTTTTTTTTTTGAGACGGAGTCTCGCTGTCGCCCAGGCTGGAGTGCAGTGGCGCGATCTCGGCTCACTGCAGGCTCCGCCCCCGGGGTTCACGCCATTCTCCTGCCTCAGCCTCCGGAGTAGCTGGGACTACAGGCGCCCGCCACCTCGCCCGGCTAATTTTTTGTATTTTTAGTAGAGACGGGGTTTCACTGTGTTAGCCAGGATTGTCTCTATCTCCTGACCTCGTGATCCGCCCGCCTTGGCCTCCCAAAGTGCCGGGATTACAGGCGTGAACCACCGCGCCCGGCCAAATTATCTTTTTTAAGAAAGAGAATTGCAGCAAACTCACTATCTCTGGAAACTCTACTGACTTGGGGCAATGGCTGCTCCTCACCTCATCCTTAATTAAAGCCCCCTTAAGGATGAAGCACCTTGTCTGGCTGGCTCAGGGTCCTAAACGAGTTTTGCTCTGACCACCAAAGTCTGGCATTCTCCACTGGGAAACTAACAGCTGGATAACCCCAGGCACGTATCAGTGGCCTATATAATTTTATAGCCTCAACTTGTTGAAGGTAGCAATTGAGATATCCATTAGGCTGGATGTATAAATTCTAGCATGTTTATACTATAAACTGGCAAAACAGTTCAGATAAATAACATTTGACGCTTCCATAGTATTTACACAATTATATCATCATTACAACACTTTGTCTTACAAGATTAGGAGATGTTGTGACAAAAAACGTGAATGTGTAAAATTTCCTTGCAACTTCTGCAAAGGCTGAATTACAATTTTGTTTTCAATCCAGTGTTCCAGTAAGTGGTAGCACAGACTCTAAAATGGAGCAAACCTCAAACAGTAAAAATCCTTTAAGAGTTGCAGTTATATTCTATGTGGAGAAAAACTAGAAATGGCCTGAAACGATGCATTACCTGTTGATTCAATTTTTAAGGCTAGTTTGACTTCTGTAGCTTTTCCTTGAGCTAAAATATTTTCCCTACTCCTTATGTTTGATAAAAATTTAAGCATACAGACAGACCTGTGTTATTTCTTGAATGAAATCTATATTTAATTTGCCCCTGTAGAACTATTATAAATAGAGAATAAAACCAGTTGTAATTAGTTACAATAAAATTATCCAGACAGGTTAACAAATGAGAACTCAGAAATAAATTTTAAAAGTAAATGATGCATTTAATTCCTTTGTGAGCAAAGAGGGCACATTTCATGTGGATTTGCATACACAAGTTTCAGACTGATACAGGGCATCTTTCATTTTGTATAAATGGAAGCTGATTACATCACTCCTTACCACCTTCAGGATGAAACCCAAACTTTAAAACATGACTGGCAAGGCCCTTCATGATTTGACTCTTGTCTATCTTCATGTACTGCACACTGAAGTTATGCAGAACAACTTGCTCTTCCCTTTTCCCATCTTCTCATGACCTTAGCAAATGCTGCTCCCTCTGCCTGGAACATTCTTTCTCCTTTCCCTACTTCTCTAAAGTCTAAATGCCACAACTTGCCAAGACGGAGGCCTGGTGTCACCTTCTCTAGGAAGTCACTAAAATGGGACTTAAAATGTCACACTGTAATTACTGTCTGCTTCCTCAGAGACTGAGAACTCTTTGAGGGTAGGCCCCATAAGCTTTTATCTTTGTATTCTCAGCACCCACTATGCTTTGCATTTACTAGTTACTTAATTCAGGCTTGTTGAATAGTCTCACACTTTGAAATGATGTTTAGGGATCCAGCTACAGGATACCTAGTCTGGGGTTTTGTGCTATCTCCCCAGCTGTAACTAACAAAGCAATATCAATTTTTCCCCGATCTTATTCTTCCTAAATCTGATAGAAAATAAAAAGTAAATTCCAGATAATGAACACATCATCTCCAGCAGACCCCCACCATTGAGAAGGAAAAGTACAGGTATGACTATTATTAATGAAGTGTTTCAGAATGGAAACTTAAATAGGTCAATAAATGGATAAACCAGGTGTTTTACCTTTCCAAACTAGCTGTGGGGTCTCCCAAGAAAAAAAGTCAAGACTTAGTGAAGTGAGATCGAAATCCAGTTAAAATTCTTTTGGATTAATCCATAAACTAAACCATCTATTCTTATGTTCTTAAATTCTTGTTTTATTAGCTCGGCAGTCCAGCCTCACCCCTACTCCCAAACCTCTTTCTGTACCGCTTTTAAATTCTTATTTTTATATAAAAATAACCTTTAACTGGAAAATGTTTCCCCTAGATGTATCAGGAAAACTTGTTGCTTTCCTCTATCTACAACCAGATTACTTTTTAGTTCATGCTTATTTGCAGAATGGATGGTAGGGGGGTTGTGGGGTAGAATGGGCCTATGGATAATTGCCTCCTGCTATAATTTCCAATATTGCAAAAACCTTGTTACAATGACTCTGCTTAGGTTGAATTCATCGTATTTTGCAGGGTGACTGCCTTAAACATGCTAAAATAAGAGTAATTGTTGTTAACAGACTGTTTAGACATAGTTTATATTTAGAGACTTGCTCCATATTCCTTCAGTCATACACTACGATTAACGAACATTTTACAGTTTAATGAATGTGAGCATGAGGCAGAGAGGCTGATTGTTCAGTAGACCATTGAAGGGCCTATTTAACTCCAAATTGGTTATTTCATGAAGTGTGGGGGGTGAAATTACACCATCTTGTTAATTTGTAATTGATGCTTATCTTTGTAATACCTACGAATAAATATATTGCTCAATAATATTAGAAACAAACTGTTCACCCTACTTAGAGTCAAACTTGTTTAGAATCACTGTTTCACACAGCAGAAGCTGCTCTGTGGCAAAATAATGAATTATCTATTATAAATAATTTTAAACTAATTATTATGATCCAGAAAATAGTCCTTACGTAGCACACTCTCTTTTTATGCCTCTTACTAGCATACTTTATGTACAGTACTTGAAAGTTAATGCAATTCTTTCTTTAAAAACTCACTCCCTTTTCCATAAATCAGACTGACATAGGCCCTTACCACTAATGCTCCCCACCTCAGTCCCATTAAGATGATTTAACACATTTAACCATATGTGTAAATGTATTTTTTTCCTCCTCATCCTACACCTGTCTGGAGATAGGGTTTTCATTATGTCACTCTTCGCTCAAAATCTGTCACTAATTGTGACAGTAATAAATCTAAATGGCTTAACCAAGAATTCTGGGTCCTACCTCAACTGTCTTCCAATGGAATTTTCCGATCTTGTTTCCTGCTGCACCCACAGTACCTGCCTTGCCTCAACCCAAACAGTGACACTGGGACTGGGGTGGGGAACAGTGGTGGTGAGGGCTGACGTCAGTATGATTTATGGAAAAGGGAGTGAGTTTCTCAAAAAAGAATTGCATTACTTTCAAGTACTGTACGTATGGTAACTATGCTAGCAAGAGACATGAAAGGAGAGTTTGATACACAAGGACAATACTGTCACCATTATGCTGCACCTAGGGTGTCCACCCACCAAAGCCTGTCCTGTTCTTCTCAGGTTTGTTCCCCTCTGGTTCATCCTTCATTAACTGCATCACATCCATTCTCTCAGAAAAGTCCTAACTGGCTACCTGGTGGCAGCACCAATTCCTCCTCTGACTTCTCCAGAATTTTTCAGTAATCGCCACTTACCACTGATGATGTGGGGACTGAGGCTCTCAACTAGGGTCTGTTGACTTGAATTATTGAGCTGAATTATTTGTATCATTTAATTTTTAAAAGTCTGACCTTATGTTACATCTTCAGACAGACTAGGAAGTCCTTGTAAGAAAGGTGGTGTGCCTAGGCTTCTAGTACAGTTTGAACACGTGTTAATTGAATGCATTGATGCATGAACTGATGAATAAATCATTAAAGATTGAACAAATGCATGGATGGTGCAGACTTAAGGGTATATATGGAGAAGTATATCCTAAACTTACATTAACAATTTGGGCCTAGCAAGGAAAGGAAAGATGGAGTTCTAAAAACCATCTAGTACTTAAATCTACCTGGCTGCATTATTTAAATTATCCTTTAATGCGTATGGGGCAAAAACCAGTGGTCTAGCAAGAATTGACCAGAAACAGGCTCTTTTGGTTACATAATCTCTCAGTTGAGCCCTGTGTGTTTGGGAATTTAAGAGCAACATGAGGTTATGGTGACCACCTGGCCACACCATATCCCTCTTCCCTTCTACCCAAGTAGTGACCATGAGCTCATTATCAGGAAAGTGGACTCTGCTGCAACACATTCACAGGTCACCTCTCTGAAGGATTAAATGCAATGCAGAATGGGGTAGGACAGAATAAGTCTTATTCAGAGAGCATGAACAATTTCTGGGGGGGAAGTCATTGCTAAGTTTTATAATTTTTTTTCTTCTGAACTTTTGAAAAAATCAACTCTGGTTTCAGTTTAATTTTTTTTTCCCCTAAAGAAACCTACATGGCCACTTCTTCAAATTTGTTCCAGATGGATTCAGTCATAGAATGATTGATTAGACACTCAGTTGTGAGCTATGCGGTTAAGTTCAGAAACCTACAACAAACTGGCTTGGAGCTGAGTTTCGTGGTAAGTGGCAGAAAGGATAATCCTTAAACTGTCATTTTAGAGTTGGTGATGAGGAAAGAGGAATTTAGTGGGGCTACTTATGTCAAGAGAATATATTAGCAAATGGATGGCTGAATATGAGGAAATCTTATGAGCAGAATGCTTTTTTCCCCTCTGGGCTTCACTGTAAAGGGAATCAGATCTGACTGCCCCCACGATCCCCCCCACCAACTCTCACTGCCTTCTTCGTGGACTAGACCAGCCTTCCCGGGATGCTCCGGGTTGGCCTCTACCTGGCTGTGAGGCACCCATTTATCCCACAACCCACTCAACTGGCTCACAGAGGTTTTTATTATTGGCATGAGAAACACCTGGAGAAATCTGGAAAATAATCTGGGGGAGAGTAAACTAAGGAGAAAATGTACTGTGCTCCATACAGAGCTGTATTATGCACTTTTAAAAGCAATTTAAGAATGTTTGGTCTATTTCTATCTTCTTTACCAAAAAAACCCAAAACTTTGCTTTGGATTTTAGTTATACTTTCTAATAGCTGAATTAGCCTTTTCTCTATTTTTCTCTCTGGTTAATTGACAATCTGGCTACTAGAGTATTCTTCATGGGGAAACTGGATGTGGCTGGCAGCTGTCCCTTCATGCCACCATCTCATATTATAGGTCCTGCTATTATTGTTAAATTGGTTTCTACCTTTATCGATTTTTAGTCATATATCTTTCCTCTTTTCCTCAGAGTGCTATCCTACTTCATTAGTGCCGCTTTGTTGAAAAATAAGCCACTATCCTGCCTCTTATTGAGATACCTATTCCTTGGGACCCCAAGAAAATTCATGTTAGATTTTGTTGCTTCTGAAGTTTTAACTCTTAAACAACCTATTTATTGTAATCTTAGGATATGTTCAGTGCATGTCTTCTAGTAGACTTTTGGGGCAAAAGAAACGATGTAAACATATTTAAACATAAAGGTGATGATTCTAGGAGCAGGTTTTTGAATAGACTGTGGGAAGAAAAATGTGAACAGAACAGAACAGGGATTTCTAGGAGAGAGATGGAGAATGTGATATCCATGATTCCCTAACAAACACAAATATTGGAATGTCTAGGACAAAAGGTAACATAAAGCAAGAGCAGTGTTTATTAAATGTCTTTTATGTAACAAGCATGTGAGTACATGTTAATCAGCAATAAAGAGTTTTTATGCTTGTCCTTAAAGTTTTTGTTTTATGAAAATTACTTGTTGAGTGGAGTAAAAGACTTTAAACTAGTTTTAAAATTGAAGGAGATGGAATCATTTATGAGTGTTTTTGAGGAGGATTGATAGCATTTTAGAAGACTCAGGTCAGTGAAGAAAAGGCTACGTTTACTCAAAAGGAGCTTCTAGAAACAGCCAGGTTCTTCTTTGCCTGTGCTACTGACCACACCCATTAGGCTGCCTATCTGCATGAGTCATACAGCCTCTTGCACTGCTGGGGAGGGGGTATATTTTGCTCTGAATTCCTATTTTGCTTTTTGAAATCATTTAAAATTCTAGGTTTAACTCTAAATGGTTGGAGTCAACTCAGGGAGAATTTTAATTCTAGATTGTGGTAGGCAGCTTCTGACATGGCTCTCAATGATGCCAACATCTTGGCATTCACACCAGGGGCTTGTTTCCAACGAACAGTATATGGCAAAATTGATGGGTTGCCACTTCTATGATTAGGTTACTAAAGACTCTTAACTTTGGTCTTATTAGCATCCTCTCTCTTGCTGGAACCTTCTCTTGCCCCCTCACTTGCTAAGAAAGCTGCCATGTTGTGAGATGCTCTATGGAGAAGTGTATGTGGCAAGGAATTGAAGGTGGAAGAATTTATGAGAAACAGAGGCAGGAAGTCAATCCTGCCAGCAACCACTAGTATTTGAGCTAGGGAGTGGATCTTTTCCAGTCGAGCTTTGAATGAGCTGCAGCCTTGTCAGAGACCCAAAGTCAGAGGACCCAGCTAAGCCACAACTTGATTCCTGACCCAGAGAAAAGGTGAGGTAATAAATGTTTGTTGTTTTAAGTCACTAAGCATTGGAGTAATTTGTTATGCAGTAACAGATTAACTAGCACATAGACTTCCTTATGGTTCATATGTGATGGAAAATAATACGTAAACTCAGGCAAGACTCATGGCTTTGGTTGTAAGCATGGTTTGAGTTGGAGGCTGAAAGAAATTCCAAAAGGTGAAATGAACTAATTCAGACTTTAAACAGATAGTTCTTTGCCGAAAGGCACTCGTCTCCAGTGAAGATGGGAAACCTTAATTCAAGAATCAAGAACATAACAAAGGGCTGGTCACATTTAGTGCTGGCACCTTTACATTTTACATGGGGTTATATTAATATATGCAAAAAGTTTATTTCCTGCGCACCAAAATAAAAATAACTCCTTTCCAAGCTAGGATTGAAATGAAGTCTGGGGCTGTGGCATGAACCACAATACCGTAATTACCCATGTCAGTGCCTGGGGAAAAGACTGCAGTGATCTAGCTTTTAAAGCTTCAGTGATTTGGTGCAGACTTTTAGCAAACAACTAGTAGTAGGTGTGAACTGTTTTGTCAATAAAGATTCAGGTGATTAGAACCAGCTGGTTTTTTGCTTCTGAGTCATTAATTCTATTATAATCACAGAATGCACCTGCATTCTTCCCAAGGTGGATTTTGACTTGCCTCGGTATGTTTTCCTGATAAAAATGCCATCCAAAAGGCAAAAATGAACTATCAATGGAAACAGCTTAAATGCCAGGCATATATCAATCAAGAACCATATCATCACCATACATCCACAAGGCTTACAGCCTAGACAAAGTGCACTCATTTTCTCTCTGTCTCTTTCTCTTTCCTGTTCTTTGTAAATAATTTCAAGTAAGAGCTGAAAGGACAACTCTTAATTTTAATAGCTGAGAAAACTATCCAGCAAGATAAACTGATTTAATAAAGTCAGCAAGTCATTTAGGGGAAGACCCAAATGGGAACTTTTGTCTCTTGCTTAGTTTCATGGGGTTTCCACCACCCTTTGCTGCCAAAGACTACTTTCTGGAATCCTCTTGAGCATTCAAGCATAAAAACATTCCACTACAGGAGAAAATTCTATTAATTAGTAAGAGAGGGAAATATCTGTGATTTATAGCTATAGCTGTTACAATGTAATTTGTATTGGAGAAACAGTATCTAACCAAAGGAGAAAAATGTATTTTTGAAAAGTAACCACATGCAAATTTGACTCTATCCAGATTATACCCCATTTGCTGCTGCAGAAAGTAGAAGATGAAGAATCCATTAGACATATCAGTTTCTTGGTAGGAAGGATACTGTCAGCTACTGGAAGACAGGTTCTGCATACATCAACAAAACCAGGGAGCTTGTTAGAAATGTATAATGTCATGCCTTAACCCAGACCTACCCAGAATCAGAATTTTCATTTTAACAGGATCCCCAGGGAACTGATATGTTCATTAATATTTGAGAAGCACTAATCTATAATGCATAACACACAGGAGATTCTAAAAAACATATTAAACAATTGAATCCCAAATCTAAAGACTTCTTTAGCCAATTTTATAAAAACAGCAAAACCAATTTATTAGGTGTCACCTTTTCTATTTTCCTTCATCAGTCTTTTGAGGGACATATGCATTTATACAAATATATATGCATGTATACATATATATGTATACATACATATATGAGTGGACAGTTGGTAATTACAATATCTTATGAGATACTTTAGGAGAATCTACTTTTGATTGGTATAGTCTTGTGATTGCTCATTGTCCTCAACTCCCTTGTCTTGCTCTCTTTCTCCCTCCCAGTTACATTCCACAACTTTTTTTCTGCCTGTCATTTCTCTTACAGGGGGTCCTGTCTTTCAGGGTAAGAAGCAGCGCCTGGAAGATAAAGGTATGGCTCAGTTGTTTGCTCCGTTTTTGCTTTTTCTCCACAAATGTATGTTTGAATATAGTCCTGGCCCCTACCCTAGCAGGTACTCCCTGAATTTTTGCTTTTTCCTTAGAAGACTGATTTTCATACTTGAGTGCTGTGTGGTGGTGGTAGGTGGTGCTAGAGGGTGAGTGTCACTGAAACTTGAGATTTGCAGAAGATCCAGGAAGTACCATCAATAGCTTGAGTTTTTCATGATAATAGCATGCAGTATATATTTTTTAAATTGACCAATAGGCAAGCAACACCAAGTCATGAATTTTCAGCAATTGCTGTTACCCAGTTGTGATCTTTGTGGTTAAGAGTTTGTGATGGTTAATTTTATGTGTCAACTTGACTGGGCTAAGGGATGCCTAGATAGCTGTTAAAATATTATTTCTGAGTGTGTCTGTGATGGTGTTTCCAGAATAGACAGCATTTGAATTGACTGAGTAAAGCAGATGGCCCTCACCAAAGCAGGTGGATGTAATCTAGTCCATTGAAAGCCCAAATAGAACAAAGAGTCAGAGGAAGGATTAATTTTCTTTTTCTCTTCTTGAGAGGGGACATCCATCTTCTCCTGCCCTTAAGAAAGGAGCATTGGAGCTACTCCTGGTTCTCAGATTTTTTGGACTCTGGGACTTACACTAGCAGTTCCCATCTCCCACACCCTTTTTAGCCCTTTAGACTTAGACCAAATTACACCACTGGCTTTCCTTGTTTTCCAGCTTGTAGACAGCAGATGATGAGACTTCTTGGCTTCCATAATCACATGAGAAATTCTCACAGTAAATCTCTCTCCCTCTTTTTCTCTGCATGTATCCTATTGGGTCTGTTTTCCTGGAGAACCTTGACTAAATACAGAGGTTCACCTAACTGTGACAGAGAAATTATTTCTTCTCTTCTAAGGGATAGTGGCTTTTTTTTTTTTCTTTTTCTTTTTTTTTTTTTTTTGCTGAGCAACAGCTTTGGCATAACAATAATATATTACCTATTAGAATAATTACAAAACTTAGGATCTCCAACTGCAAAGGCTTGGTATGAATTTGAACCTGCACTGATTCTTCTTTTCCTATCTTCTCAGCCTATCAAGATTTACACTGAAAAATAAACAGGTCTGTTGCTTGCAGTTAGTTTTATCCACTTCTCAGGACTTTTACTCAATTTTTTGAAGCTATGGAGAAAATGAAAAATACCATTCACATTTTTAAATAATTAGTGTAATCTTCTTTATTAAGGTCTTCCTGATTTTCTCTTGTCACTATAAACTTTTCCTTTAATCTGAAACCAGAAACTATGTATTTTACTAAGAAAATTTCATAGTAAGTTCATAATACTTTTGGTAATGTGTAAAGTCTGCCTGTTCCTGACTTTGATACTGTAAACAGATTTTCCAATAATTCTTTTTTGTGTGTGTGTGACAGAGTTTCGCTCTTGTTGCCCAGGCTGGAGTACAATGGTGCAATCTCGGCTCACTGCAACCTCCACCTCCCGGCTTCAAGCGATTCTCCTGTCTCAGCCTCCTGAGTAGCTGGGGACTACAGCCGCATGCCACCACCCCTGGCTAATTTTTGTATTTTTAGTAGAGACAGGGTTTCATCGTGTTGGTCAGGCTGGTCTGGAACTCCCGACCTCAGGTGATCTGTCTGCCTCAGCCTCCCAAAGTGCTGGGATTACAGGTGTGAGCCACCGCGCCCAGCCTGATTTTCCAATAATTCTTTAAAGCTCTATTAGAATCCTAATACTGTTTGTAGCCAAGTTTTTACAATGAAATTAGATAGTATAAGCTCTTTTTCTAACAGACTGACATTCTAATAGTCCATTTGGTGTATTAACCTTCTGTGATAGGTTGGTTTACTGGAAACTAATGCTCTGGCATGCTTACACAATCCATTTTTCTGCTTAAACTGAAAAATCAATGAAAATATTTTTCAGTTTACTTAGAGTTGAGCTCTAATTTACAATAGTTTTGCTATTTAACATTTTTTTGAATGAGCTGTTCACTAATCTTTCCTGTTCTACAGAACTATTATTATCTGCTTAAATTGCACGACAATTAAATTTCCTTCTTCCATTTAGTTTCTTTTTACCATTAGCTTACCCCCCACCCTGACCCACGACAATCACTGAAGGAGGGAGGTCATATGATTGAAGTTCAGAACAAAGCCCTGCATCTTTTTTTTTTTTTTTTTTTTTAGACGGAGTCTCGTTCTGTCACCCAGACTAGAGTGCAGTGTGTGATCTTGGCTCACTGCAACCTCTGCTTCCCAGGTTCAAACAATTCTCCTGCCTCAGCCTCCCAAGTAGCTGGGATTACAGGCATGTGCCATCACGCCCAGCTAATTTTTGTATTTTTAGTAGGGACGGGGTTTCACCATGTTGGCCAGGCTAGTCTCGAACTCCTGACCTCAAGTGATCTGCCTGCCTCGGCCTCCCAAAGTGCTGGGATTACAAGCTTGAGTCACCATGCCCAGCCAAAACCCTTCATCTTTACCAGCTTGTATGGGAGGACTTTTTTTTCTGGCTCCCTCCCTGGATTAAGATTCTTCTGATATTCCAGGACATGAACTGTTTTAACAAAAGGTGCCCACAGCTTTTACTGCAAAGTTTAATTCATAATGAATGACTGGAATTTTCTGCCTTGCTTGTTGAGTGGAGTTCTATTTCAGACTACTTCCTGACTATATAATTTACCAAAGTCTGAAGAATGAAAAAGCTTGGAGATTCAGTTCAGTCCCAGATAAGTCATTTTTGAATCCACCTTAAACGATAGTTCATCAAAAATGTCAATTTTGCCAAAAATTAAGTTGTTCAATATAAAATAGTGGGTCAGGATGAAATCCAGGCAAATCTCTGAGAAAGATTAGTAATGAAATGATCATCTTGCTGCAGAAGTATATGATGACAAAGCCTCAGAGGTTATACCTCAGCACCTTCACTTCTTTTTTGTCAACACTTTCTATTTAATCCATCTAACACAATTCTTTGTTCAGCAAAAAGTGTAGTTAACTGTCCAGGGTGTCCTGTTCTCTTGTGATAGGTAAACACATGTATTCAGAAAGCAGTTTCCAGTGTTAATGTTACAGGAATAATGAGAGGAAACCTCTCTCTGCATTCAGTCATTTCAGAAGCATCATCAACTATGATCAGTTTCATTTTGGTACATGGTACCTTCCTACTGAAAATAATGTGTGCACATGTTTGTACATATGCATGTGTATAGGCATGTACTTGAATAGGTATCTGTATGTGTGCACATGTGTGGGCATAAATAGTTAGAATAAACTAGGCAAGAAAAGGGGTATTTAGCCTACGTAGGCAGGTTTCTAAAGTGTCTTTTAGTTATTTCTCTTGGGATATACTTTTCTTTTTTAGAAGTGGAATCTTTTGATATCACACATTTACAAATTGTAAAAATACGATTCTGAGGATTAAACAGCAAACTCTGAAAAACAGACTTACACTGCCCTTTGTCATTCTGGTATATTAGAAAATATTGGGATATATAAGTTTTCAGAAAATAGTAAAAATGTTAATTTAATGGCATGCTGGTGTGAATGTATGTACAAGAGGAGGGCTTTGCTGCAAAATATTTCACAAGGGAAATCTAACATCATCATTGAATAAAAATTCTTCCCTAACCCGGGTTGTGACAGACTTGGTCTGCAAGGTGGGCAGTGAGTTGGACCCCATGAGTTGTTTCCCACTTTGGATTGTGTTCTGTGGCTTCACTCAAGGGAGTAGGATTGGATTCCTTGCAACACACAAGGCTGTTTAGAGTGAAAACTTATTTCACCACCTTCCCCACAACGATTTAACTACATGCAGTTCCAGCTCCTGTCATGATTCTCATTTTAACTAGGCACACATAAAAGCACATGCAGTTTTTATGGCTGTCTTGGATTCCCTTCCCTACGTCACTCTTATTTCACCTACAGTTCAAGTCTCAGCTAGTTAACAGTTCTCAATGGGCTCTCAGTAAGCTCTGTTCTTTCTTCCTGGGTTCCTGAGAGCTATGACTTTTTCTTCTCACTTATCTAGCTCCCCCGAGCTTCTCTACTTTGGGACAAGATCAGAAAACTCTTCTTTTAAATCACCTGTACACAACTAAGTGACTTTCTTGGATTCTAAAAACAAATTTGAGAAGGATAATTTCTAGCCAGGGAAATGTCCAAGGTAAGATGGACTGCTCAGAGTCCTTCTCCCTTGATCTTATTTTACAGAAGTTCATCAAAAGCCTTGAGTTTCTTCGCAGTATCAGAGAGCTCACATCAATGTTTTCTACCCTTACAGAAAGACAATTACAGCATGATCTCACTTAAATGTACAATCTGAAAAAGTCAAACTCATAGAAGTAGAGGGAAAAATGTGGTTACCAGAGGCTGAGGGTGAGAATGGGGGGAGATGGGGAGACGTTAATCAAAGGGTACAAAGTTTCAGTTAAACAGGAAGATTTTGAAATCTGTTGCATAGCATAGTGACTATAGTTAATAATAATATGGTGTATATTTCAAAACTGCTAAGCAAGTAGATTTTAAATATTCACACTGCAAAAAAACAAGTGAAGTAATGGTTATGTTAATTAGCTTGATTTAATCATCCCATAGTGTATACATATATCAAAACATCACATTGCACCCCATAAATATGTATATTTTTCAATTAAAAATAAAATTATAAAAACAAAAATATTTTTCAGGCTTATGATTATCTGACCTCAAGTATCATAAATATTAACACTTTCCCAACCAAAGTGTATTTTCATTATTCACCATGAGATTTCTGAAAAAGGATGTATTTGATACAGAAATGCATTCCCTGGTTAAATGGCTTATTGGAAAATAAAAAAGAATTCTAGTGTTCCCAATTACTAGTCTTCCTCTAGGAATAACACCAACCTGTTTAGTCACTAATATTTATGGAAAACCTAGTAATCCAGGATATAAAGAATAGGTTTTATGAATCCTTCTTTCAAGTAGCATAAGCTTAAAACGGGGACAAGGTATCTGAGACCTCCATGTTAAAAGGGACAGGACAGTCTCTTTTAATAATTACTGATGGACCACACTAATATTGTATAACATTTATAGTTGGGAAATATACCTTATATACACATGGTACTTGGTAGCTTATTTTCAAGGATGGTTTAAGTCTGAGTTCTCCTATGATTAAAATCTATTCATTTATACAAACAACATATACTAATTGCCTATTCAATAATAAGTAAAACAGAATGCAGTTCTGGAATATGTTTAGACAGAGCTAAATGAATTCATTAGCATTTTGGTGGAGTTACGGAGGATGGAACCAGTCATAGATGTTTGCTCTGCAAAGTGGTTCATCAATTGTTCTTTCTGATTTGGTTTTCTTCCCCACCTTATCTTGCTAGCATTCCAATCAGAAACACACTGTTTCTGGGGACCTCTCCTGGGAAATCATTCTAGGACAGATGGAATGTGGACATGATACAATGCTTCTCACTTGTTCTGTGCAGTTACAGTATGATTATTTCCTCTGATATTTGGATGCTAATTTCCTTGTCAGATTTCCCAATGTCCCCTCATCATTCTCTCCCAAATGCCCCATTCCAGCGAGGAAACAGACTTTTGTCCTTAACCACATTTCTGAGAACACGTTTTCTTTTTCTGTCCAAATATGTATTTTAGTTAATTGTGGTGCTACCTGTGTCACATACTAGTTTTACATCTACTTTTGGCAATTCATTATGTACTTCCAGTGATGTCTCATGTTACTTTATTGAACTGTTGTTTGTTTCTTTTATTATTTGATAACTCATGGGACAATTATTACAAATTCCCTAAAGACTATGAGCATTCCTTCCTTCTACCTTGACTCTATTAAGCTACAGCAGAAAGTGGTTCTCAAATTTGACTGAATTCACTGAACTCTAATGGAATGGTTTTATGTTCCATTTGATCAATTTCACTTGCAATACTGCCTAGTTACCCTGGATGGGATAGATGTACAATCATTTGAAAGGTAGTTGAACTTTTAGAATTTGACTTAGTGCAAATCTCAAGCTTTTTAGTCTATTTAGTACACATTTATATACATTGATTAGCTGTTTCTTCTTTTAATCTGTAGTTATGCTAACAGCTCAGCATTCAGCCTTCCTTTCATGTCATTTATTCACTTCATTTTTATTAAATGTTTACAAATCATTTCAGTTTAAACTACAAACCTGCAATTCTTTTTAAATTTTTGCAATGACAGCATTTTCTTTTGCCAATATTTGAAATGCAGTTTTCTTGATCAGTTTTATTTTGAGTGTGCGATTTGCAATTACCTCCTGGAAAAAGCAACATGCTAATGAATTTCAGATGCGGTGTGAATTACTTATTTGTACATTCATGTAAAATCAAACACATTGGGAAAATTTTTGTTTACTCTTTGGTTTCAAAGAATAAAATTGTGCCAGCAATTCAACACGTGCAAAGGCAATCCTTACAAAAGGGGCAACTTGTTGATTTCAGGGAATATAGCTTGAGACTTCCTGCTGGATAAATAAATAATGAGCCAGTACCAGTGCACTTTCCTGAAGTTACCCGGGCTTGCAATTCTACTCTAATCTCCTTCTTGCTTCAATGGGGAGGAGGAAATTCATTCCACAGATTAAGTGTTAACTAGTCTTAAAAAGAATCTCCTCGTCTTTGATGGGAAGTAAATTTCTTATAAAGTTTAAATTGAAAGAAGATGCTTATGTGAATATTCTTCAAATATCTGATATTTACAGAGTCTAAATGGAAAGAGATGGTTAGCTGTGCATCTGATATTGAAAGGATCTCATATCACTTTGGTGACTGAAGGATACTTTACAGTCAAAGTCAGAGTCAATCTCCTTCTCTTTTGTGGTTCTACACAAACCGAACCGCTACAGCATTGCCTCATCTCACAAGTTTGTGCCATGAACTTAAGGAGGAGCCCTATAGAAGATATAGGTATCACTTAGCATCAGTCATTGCCATAGCCAGAATAAAAATTAGAGTCTCACCTACTGACAATTTAAGAATAGTTATATGATTGCATATTTGTAGGTTTCATAGAGATGTGTATCCTGTTTTCTTGTTAATATGTCCTTTTTTCCTTTAGATTGCATACATCATGTCCTTGGTTCAGGGATACAGTCTTAATCAGGACTCATGGCCACCCATGTTTAGGAATCGGAGTATTGGTGATGACAGTAAGAAGAGTGAGAAAAGTAAAATAGAAATACTAACTTACCCTAGAGGCAGAATGTATATTTTTGATGTTTTCTTTTCACTGCTTCCCATATCCCATGTGAAGTATTCTGACCCTGCCCTCTGATTTATATAGCAGAAGTTAAGATTAAGTTAAGGCATTGGTTCTCAGACTTGAGTAGGCGTCCATATTATGGGATTGTTAAAACAATATATAGTTATATGTTATATAACTATATGTAGTTATATTGTTATAACAATATATTTAATTGTCTTATTATAACAATATATGTTATATAATATATTGTTAAAACAGTATAATCCCAGAACCAGATTGCTGGTGCTGGCCCCAGAGTTTCTGATTCAGTCAGTCTGGGGTGGGACCTGGGAAATTTGCATTTCTAATAAGTTACCTGATGATGCTTGATGCATCTGGTCTAGGGACTACACTTTGAGACCCACTGAATTAGGGAGGTGTGTAGCACAGTCCTGCTGCAGGAGAGTGATCATACTGACCTCTTCTATCCTTCCACCTCTAACGGTTGTCATTCAATTTTTATGAAGCAATTTTAAGAACACTTTCTGACTGTGTATGAATCAGATACCTATAAATACTGCTCACAAATGTGTATTGAAAATGACATAAATTGACTAGAAATTTAATGGCTGCAGCATATTGAAAAGTAAATTATGAAACAATGCTAGATTTTTTTTAGGAGTAAATCAATTACTTCCATACACTGCATCGGCTTATTTGAAAAATAATTTTCTCCCCTGTAAACTCAACTCTTATCCATTTATATAACTTAAGAGAATTTTCAGGTACTTGAGATAATTAACAACTAAAAACAATGAAGAACTGTAAGGAGGCTAAATGCCCATTTTTCTTACTGCTTAAAGTACTTTTTTTTAAGGTTAACATCATAATTTACTCAATTATAGTCTTCCTTTTGCAAAATATCTATTTTCTGAGATCACAGGTCTTCACTGGGCTGTATAATTATATGGAAGAAAAATTAGGCATTTCCTCACAAAACTAACCCATGCAGCCAGCGACCCTAATGACATTAATGAGAATCAACAAAAGGGCAGTGTTTGAAAGCTGTTTGGTAATGACAATGCCAGGTATCTAAGCCACTTGGTTACACTATGATTTTCTAATTCTCTTCTGGATATAAGATCACTTAAGTTTAAAATGAAAGAAGTCAAAGAAAGATATCCCTAGCATCTGAGAAGCTGTATATGTTACTTCAAGTTCCTCTTTGCAAAGGTAGATGTACAGATAATAACTTCTTCCTTTTTCAAAAGAGTAGTTTAGTTACCCTTATGTTTATAAAGAAATATGTAGAATATAAATGGATGATGCCTAAGACTATAGAGGTTTTTAAATTTGAACCCTATGTACACTGTAATTTGTTCCTTTAGACTTTACAGGAGGCAAATATGTATTTTTTAGTGTTCTAATCACTCCTGTATCACATGTAATAATGACAAAATAAAATGATTGAAAATATAGCTGAAAGTTGGAAAAAATAAAAATTTTAGCAAACTGAAAAATTTATAGGTGAAACATAGTATTTAATTTGGCTGTGTGGTGAAATTTTTTCTAGGTGGGAATGTGAAAAGATTGCTAACTTTCCCATGGTATGACACATATGACACATAACTAAGTGTGCAGGTTCTAATGTCCAGGCATCCTACACATAAAACATCTAAAACAATGTAGAAACTTGCTCATTGGCACACTGGCAAATGGGATCCCGACAACTGCAAAGAAAGACTCTGTCCAACTACTTAAAAATCAATGCAGTTTGTCTTTTGAAAGTACAAAACAAATTGTAAAAATAGTCTCACTGGACAAGCAATGCCTCAACCTGAAAAAATGGCTCTAACGTTAGGACTTCTTCACTCTTGTCTGTGAGGTGCAGGCGATTTGGCTGTGTGGGTATGCTAGGGGCTCAACCATCCTATTTGCCTGGGACAAAGGCATTTCCAGGAACATGGAGCTTTTGGTTTTGAAACTGGACAGTCCTGGTAGACAGAGATGGTGGAAACCCTAGGGTATGTTTTTTTCATATTTCTCAATGATACTTTATACAACATAAGCCAGGTACTGTACTCGATTTGGTTTTACAATCAACTTTATTGGACATTCGTACTGAGTTCATTTCTCGATGGCACAGTTTCTTTACCAAGTTAGTAGTCATGCCTGTAAGTCCTGACAGGGTTTATTAGTGGCTTAATTACCAGGTATGCAAAATGCCATGTGTTTTAATTTTTTTAAAGTTCAATTAAACAAACAAGTTTCTTCAATTAGGGCAATCAATGCTTTCTCTTTCTTGTCAGTTCCCAAATGACTTTTTTTTTTTAATACAGGAATGGAAGTCTTAGAAAGTTATATATGATTTTAAAAAATCCTTTCTCAACTTCATCTAGTGATTTCTAACTCCATCTCCTTTAGAAAGATTATATAGAGACTATTGCCAGGTACAGTGGCTCAGGCCTGTAACACCAGCACTTTGGGAGGCTGAGGTGGGCACATCATCTGAGGTCAGGAGCTCGAGACCAGCCTGGCCAACATGGTGAAACCCCATCTCTACTAAAAATACAAAAATTAGCAGGGTGTGGTGGTGCACGCCTGTAGTCACAGCTACTCGGGAGGCTGAGGCACAAGAATTGCTTAAACCCAGAAGGTGGAAGTTGCAGTGAGCCAAGATAGCACCTCTGCACTCCAGCCTGGGTGACAGCGTGAGACTCTGTCTCAAAAAAAAAGGAGAAAGAGACTATGCAATAAAGGTGTAGAAAACTAAAGTGAGCCATCAACAGATTATAATATATTCCCCATTCATTCAACTTCTTTTTGGTGTAGATGAGTATCTGTTGTCTTTGAGGCAGATGATATCTAATGGAAACAATTAATTTCGAAAACTCTATCTATACATGGCCCCAGGTATGTAACACTGAAATGATCTTCATTTTATAGATGCCAAGAATAATGTCAGTCATGGGAAACTCCCAGCGTTACTGGCTCCCACAGCATGATCCTCATTTAGCAAAAAATTACCTGAAAAAAACCTGCTCACTGTGACCTGATCTTTGAATGTTATGTTGTATTTCAAACTCCTTGTTTTTGTACAAAACTGAAAACACCCCCAAAAATACATGAAGGGGAATAAACATATCATGTTTTCATTAAACAGTTAAATGGACAGCTATTTAAAGGATATATTTATAAAATAGTGTACATTTAAAATATCTAGTGGTATTATTTAAATTATTTAGAAGCCATCTGTGACTGGTATAGTGCATTCAAAGGCACAATTGATTTGAAGACTGAAACACAGTACAGATTTCAGTTCTTACATTTAAAATGTCCTGAGTTTTAGGTTATATAATGATAAACTATACCTGCTAAAAAATATACATAGAAAAAAGAAATAATTTTTATGCAAATAAGACTCATCTGTAAGATTCATTTATTCTATCCAGTAGACCATAGGAAATGTGTCTGGATTACTGGGCATAAATATGCAACATTTAAAAGGGAGTGGAGATCTTTATTAAAACAGAAGACTCTTCAAACTCCATGATGATGTCAATAATATAGGTCCTTAGAGCACATTATTGTTCTAAACAGAGGTCCCCATACTTCCACATTGGTTATAAAATATTATTTTGTGCTGCTGGCCTGGAATGAGAATGTCATACATCTGCAGGCAATTAGAAGAAGCTGGACTGCATGTTTGATTAGCTCAATAAGAAATGGGCACAAGTGTGACTCGACTTATGTTAGTCAAATTCCCTAGACAGATTATCCTGTTGTTATCATATGAAATAACCCCCTTTTATCAACAATTAAGTAAATCCACATTTATGGGCACTTTGCAAAATTGTGAGGTGGGAAGAAATCCAACTTAAGCCCTAAGCCTTCCAAAAAACTTTTAACCCTGCTTTCAATGGTATAGACACCAATCCCAAATTTTAGAAACTGGCTGAATTACACAGATCAATTTGGGTTGGAAATAACCTGTGTGCACACAGTCAACAGGTATGTATTTAGCATATTCCATAAGCAAGGCACTTAATAGTCTGCTTATAACTAAAAAAAATTCCCAAAGAAGAAAGAACTATAAATGTTTTACTATGTGAAACGTAACTTACTTTGTTAGGTAGTCTAAATATTTTCTAGAAAAGTTAAATAGGATTTTATTTTCATTAATCACAGTACAGTTTCTACCGTAACCAATACATGTTGTAAGTCTTGAATATATTTTATTCTAGGACCTCTTCATTTAGTTCTGGGCATTGTTCTTGAATTCAACCATAAATGTCAATGACGGTCTACAAACTACTTTGGGAAATGACTCATTCATTTATCTGGTTTTTTTTTCTCCCAAGTACCATTAAAGTACACATCTAAAGTATTCAAAATAATTCAGTATATAAAAGTTGATACTTAAGAATTTTTCAGCAAAATTTTTTGATTTTGGGAAAAATACTACCAAACTTTCCAGTCTAGTTATATAACTAAATAACACAATTAAAAGTTGGTCTATCTTAAATAAACTCAAGATTTTTTTTATCAGTATTAACCCAAATACATGTATAAGAATAACCTCATCATTTTATCTCCTTGACATAATCCTTAAATTCAATATCAGAATATCAAGCAGATGCTGAAGCATTCATCATCAATACTGGAATTCTGACTCATGACAGTAACACGAAACAGATGCTAATACGATGCACCCTCTGAAAAGTGACACCATCACAACATGGGTTAGGTCTTGATGTGGGGTACTTAAAGCTTACAAACAAAATATGAAATAAATAAGAGTCAGAGCATGACAAGTTTCCTTCATTTTTTTTTTTTTTTTTTTTGAGACAGAGTCTCACTCTGTTGCCCAGGCTGGAGTGCAGTAGCATGATCTCGGCTCACTGCAACCTTCACCTCCCAGGTTCAAGCAATTCTCCTGCTTCAGCCTCTCTAGTATTTGAGACTACAGGCATGTGCCACCATTCATAGAGAATTTTTGTATTTTTAGTAGAGATGGGGTTTCGCCATGTTGGCCAGGCTGGTCTTGAACTCCCGACCTCAGGTGATCCACCCGCCTCATCTTCCCAAAGTGCTGGGATTACAGGCGTGAGCCACCGTGCCCAGCCCCTTGCTTCATTTTTAAGCCATTTAAACTCGAGTATCTTTTACACAGAAGATAAAACTAAACACGGGTGAATAAGGGGCAGCATCCCAGGGCACAAGAAAATGCATCTTTCATTTAATGTAGCAGCTCAGTGGTCTCTATTGAAACCCTTGGTGTTAAGGGAGGAAGGTGCTCTCTTCCTTACACATGACCAGTTAGAAAGTAAGAACTCCTGGACCCTTTCCATTGGCCCACGTGTGCCATACACGTATGTGGTGGTGACATGGAGTTCTGCACTATGGGATCTACCTAATCAGCCTCTGGCAGGGAGAAAGGAGTCTGGAGGCTCCTATGGCCCCATTTCAGTAACACAGTCTCCACACCAGGCTGCTCTGAAATGGTTTGCCAAGAAGAAAGGGAAACAATCTCATAGCACAGTTCAGTTAGCTAATATCCTACATGTCTTCAAAGCCCCAGATTCTTATCACTTTGCTAATACGAGCCTACAGCTGTTTCTAGAATACACAGTGATGTGTATGCTCTGTGAAAATAAACAGAAAACCCTAGGCAGATGATGCCATGGTGCAAGTGATATAAGTGAAACGTCGTCAAATGAGAGCTTAAAAGAGATATAAACGTGAGTGGGGGAGAATCCCTCCAAGGTAATGAGAAGCAGGAGCCCCATTTCTTTACTCCTGAATGAGGAAAATAAGTCTGTGGCAAGTTCGATGAAAAGAAACTTGAGAAACCAAAGGGGTACATCTGTAGAGTAGCTTGACAGCATAATTTCAAATTCCCAGTGAATAACCTGATGGTGACTTTTGCCAGCTGTGACTTTGGCACCCGCCTTCCTGGGTTGGAAGGTCAGCTCTGCACTTAGCACCTGTGTGACCTCTGGTTCTCAAACTTGGCCGCACATGAGGAACTGAAAAAAAAGCCGATGCCTGGAACCCACCTCAGAGACTGTGATTTAACTGGGCTGGGGTGTAGCTTCGCCATCGAGAAGTTTTAAAGGTTCCCAAGTGACTCTAAATATGGGCAGCTAGGGTTGGGAACCACTGATGAACTTTCTAAGCCACAGTTTCCCATTTGTAAAGCAATGATGACAACTACAGCAACTACCCTTTAGGAATATTGTGATGATTAAATATAATGCAGACAAAGCACTTAGCATGATGTCTGGCACGCGAGAAGTCCTTAATAAATTATCATCATCCTCACCACGAGGTGCACTTGGGCAAAAGCTTTCAATGGTTAGGAAAATAAGTTATTCCTACCTTGGCACACGTTGTGTTCACTTTGCTCGTAGCCTGCTGCACACTGGATACGGTGGGAAGGGTTGGAGGGAATGCGCTGAGGGTCAGCTGGGTTCCGCCGGATGACAAAGTTATTTCGGCCAGTCTGCATTTCAGGGCCTGCGACTGCAGCAGCACTGGCCACAAAACCACCCCCGGGCAACACTCCACTGGTTGCCATGCTGCTGGCAGCTACAACCCCGGTGGTTGCCCCTGAGGTTCCTTCTGCTGGTTGTGTTTCCTGCTGAGGCTGTTCATTATTGACAATAATCTGGGCTGTTTTCGGAAGGCAGAGGTATCCTCCATAGTGGTTGACACACTTCATTCCACCTTTACAAGCGTCTGGGACAATGTCACATTCATCAATATCTGTGGTCAGTAATAAAATAAGTCAGGAATCTTCTAAGAGGGAAAAATCAAACATGTAAATATAATGCTCATGCCTTTTTGGTATAACACAGACAGGACAGGAAGAGTGACACAAGAGATGGAGACAGAAGGCAATGATCACATGGAAGTCTTTGAAGCTGGCTCACCTTTGCATTGCTGTCTCACAGGATCCCACTCATATCCGTCAGTGCATTGCTGTGAAGAAAACATCAAAGGTGGGGCCAGGAGACAGTTAATTGGTGTGTCCATTCCCTAAGAAATCACTCTAAAAGCTTCATTCTTATGGCAACAATCCTTGTGCTAAAGTCCTAGATATATGATGAGATGGGTGGTTTAACATTCTATCGCTTTTTTTTCAAAAGACAAGTCTGTGCATTGGACAGCTTCGGGGGTCCATTCTCAACCATCAGCTGCCTAAACTCTTCTGTTCTTTTTGGTACAGTTGCCCAGTACCATCTTCTTTTCTGTTTTGAGACTAATCTTCTCCAACTTCTCTGACTGCTCTTTATTAATTTGCCTTTTTTCCCACATTGGAAATGTTAAAAAAAAAAAAGACCAAATTCTCTCTCTTTCCTCGCCCTCTCCCCCGCCCCCACCCCCAACCAGCCCTGGACTCTTCTCTCTCTCTCTAAATCCTCTTACAGCATTCAAGCACCTCCATCTCACACCCTGACCTGCTCCCTAGCTTCAGCTCCTAAGGAACAGAGGTGTTCCTCCTAGCAGTTCCCAGCTTCAATCTCCTCTCTAGTTCACCCACTGAACAAACAGCCTATGGATCACCTTCTGAAACCAGGCAGTTTTAGGGCCTGGGGATGCAAAGATGATGCAGACTTTGTCCCTGTCCTCAAGCAGCTCAAAGACCAGAAGAGGAGACAGATAGGTAGACAAGTTGCAGCAAGATGGCAGGTGCCTTCTACAAGTGTATGCAGGAAGGAGTAATGGACTCTGCCCGGGGGCATGGGTGAGCATGGCAGGGCAGAAGGGAAGACTTGACAGAGGAGGTGACAGTAAATCAGGCTTTACAGGATGAGCAGGATTTTTCCAGGTGAATGTGGGAATTCTAGGAAGAGAGGCTATTGTGACAAAGGCATAAAATTTTTGAAAAGGGAAGGAGCTGCAAGGAGTTCTGGGTAGGTGGAGGATGAGGTTACAGAGGTAGGCAGGGCCAAAACAAGAAAGCCTTTCTTTAGGAATGGAAGCCTGAATTCTACCCTGAAGGTCAGTGAATCTCAAGCTTTATTGTGTCTAAGGATCATTCAGGGTTCTTGTTAAAATGAAGATTCCTGGGCCCACCCAAAGGATTTGATTCTGTAGGTCTGGGTAGGGGGCCTGGAATCTAAATTCTTAGCAAGTATCCCAGGCGATTCCCATACAGGTTGTCTAGGAACTACTTCTTGAGAAATGTTGCTACAGGCGATAAGAGGCCTCTGAAGAATTTTTAAGCTCAGGAAACAATCTGATCAGACGCTCATTTGAGAAAGTCACTGTAAGGAAGAAGCCCAAGGAAGGATTGAGCAAAAGTGGAGTAAACAAACAAATAAACTTAAATTCTTTTAATATAACTGAGAGCTGCTTATGTACACAATGGATGCTTGACAAGGAAATAGCTGAATGGAAGCCCAGAGATCCATTTAGATATTTTACTGATGTCTGAAACTTACTGGAGCGAGAACTAAATTCACTTTGTCTCTCAGACTAATTTTTTTCTTGTTTCCCAAACAGTGTTAAAGGTACCACTACCTTTTTCGAAACCCAGGATTCCAACTTTAACATCAGTGCTGAATGCTCCACTTATTTTCCTTCCATCTCTGCTGACTTTGTGTCCATTTCTACCATGTCTACTAAGAAAGGCTTTTGCTGGCCCATGAGTAGGCAAGGCCCCGCATCTCTACATGCTGCATACAGACCCCATGATCTTTCTTGTGCTCTTGGTTATGTTGCTCCTCTCTCTGAGACCTCACAGTGACCTGCAGATCTCTCATCATCACCATCTCTGGGTTCTTCCCACTACCCAGTTCCAGCTGATCTGACCTTATCACCACCTGGATTGGTCTCAGGTGCTTTCAGCTCTAGCTTTTGATTATGCCACTCTCTGACTCAGGTGCCTCTTCA
Source organism: Homo sapiens (assembly GCF_000001405.40). Lineage (NCBI taxonomy): Eukaryota > Metazoa > Chordata > Mammalia > Primates > Hominidae > Homo > Homo sapiens. The sequence continues at coordinate 55,920,185 of NC_000002.12, forward strand.
GCCTTTCTAGATCAATCCAACCAAGGTCATCACTTCCTTCAAGAACCAGCACAGAGTTCTGTCTCCTCTAATATGCTGGCACCAACATTAATCACCTCCTTGCTTTTCTATTTCCTTGGCAATTTGTATAATCTGTATAATAGTATCATTTGTCCTTGCTTAGGAACTTTGTAGTTTTCAACACTGTCTTCCCAGGCTAAATTCTCCAAGAGGAGACTGAATTTTCTTAGTAAACAAACAAATTCTTTTAATAGTGATGAGAATTGCTTATGCAGATAGTTGTTGAGTAAACAGCTGAATGGACACCATCTTTAATATGGAAGAGGACTATGAGGCTATTATGTGGATACGAGCCCATTCTTCTGAAAAGTATCTTTCAAGCCAGGCAAAAATGGCAGTTCACTTGAATAATTTGTATGGTAAATAGAGAAGACTTGCAATTTGTTTTAGGTATTTACTTCTAGACATTTAATGTCAGTGTACTATTAAGTAAGCCTAGACTGAGTTTAGCTTCACCACTTGGCTATGTAGCCCTAAGCAAGTTAGACACTCTCTCTGATCTTCAGTTCTACCATTAGTGGAAGGAAGATGATGCCACTTACCTTACACATTGCCGCAAGGATCAAAGGAGATCGTGTCTCCACAGCGGGATACTCAGAAATAGTTATTATCTTGTCCTTTAACCATGAATTATTAGGCATACAAAATTTAAAGGAGAATAGGCCCAATCTTAGCACAAAAGGGTAACATATCTGGAAAATTTGTTACAATAATAATGAACCCTAGTTAGTGGTCTTAAAACTATCATGTTTAAGCCACAGGGAACCTTCTCTGGTAAAAATGAGGAAGATTTAGGTGATTAGCAAAGGGAAGGGCATAGAAGATAAGCAACTGGAAAAGAAGTAAAATCTTTTATGAGATGATTATAAAAGTGGGTAGTGAATTTAATTTTAGCTCCCTGAGAAGGCAGTAAGTTTAGTCTGAATAACAAAACATTTTCATTTTAAGATAAACAGCACATGCCTTCATTTTTCTTGCTTAATTTATCTTCAGCAGAGGAAGCAACTGCATTTAACATGAAGTTAACAAAATATTTGTATTAAGCTATTTTATTTATAGTGGATCTGAACAACAGAAAGGAACATTTGCCAGATGAATACTAACATTCTAGGGATAATGTGGTACCAAAAAGTGAGATAATGTTTATTATCAGTAATTGACATTAGTTCATTTTTAAGAGTTTTCTTTTCAAAAATTTTTCACATTCTTTCGAGTAGGATTACTTAATTTTAAACTGGGAGCAGTAGAAAAATGTGCTTTTCATATTCCAATCCAGGACAAATGTCATTTGCCTAACACTGATTAAAGACAAGAAAACACAGAACAGAGGTGCAAACAAACTCACCAGAAGTGAAGTCAGTACTGTCCTTCTCTGTTCTCACCACAACTATTTGTAGCAGTGGGAGGGGTCAGGTGATCTTTTTAATATTTTATTAAACATTGGTTACACCTATGCAACTAACTAATCAAATATTACTTGGAAATATCAGAGACGCTAATTAGAAAATGCAAAACGGAGTTGCACACATTACGTTTTAAAACCACTTTAGCCAATATGCATCCTGGTAACACATAAACTGTTGTCTGCCTTTATTTATTAGAATTATCAAGTTATACAAAAAGAATGAATATATAGCCTTTATAAATTCAATAAAGGCCACTTACTTGAGAATGCATGTCATGTACACAAAGAAGGCCATGTGTCTTTATGGTGTTTAACGTTCTTACTTGACTTGAGTCTTATTCTGCACGTATTGGTTTTATCTGCATGTGGTAGGAGTCCAGGTTTTCCAGTTCCTTACACCCATTAATTTGTTGAATGTTTTGGAAACATGTAACTTTCTTTGGTTTTAGTTTTTGAACGGATCCCATTTTTAGCCCTGCACAAATGATTACATGTTGGTTCCTATCTTAGGTGGTGAGCCCAATGAACTTTTGAAAGGATCAAGGGGGCAATTTACAACGAATCTTAGATATGAAGCATGAATGAAGTGTTGTTTAATTTATCACCCTCAGCAGAGTATAGCCCAAATACACTGGCAGGGGTGTGTAAAGTCTTTTTTTGTCACAGAATCCCGCTGAACCGTACTTATTTCAAATTCCATCACCCCTTACCGTGTACGTGATGGTTTCTTCGGTGTCCTGTGACTTGACCAGCGCCAGAGTCAGCATAGTTAGGAAAAGGGCTTTCAACATTGTGAATCTCAAAGAAAATACAGGACAAACTAATGTTTAGTATCTGCTGCGGGGAAAGTAACAAAACTTTAGCAGTGAGCACAAGCGAGGAAAGGAGGGTGGGAGAGGCTGAGGCTCCACCATACTCAACTTCCAATCTGCTTTCTCATCTCCCCTCCCCCTCCTGAACCTTCTCGGTAGCCAACGAACGAGGCAGCAAAGACGTAAAAACTGCTGTAGAATTGCATTTCACGTTACTCCATCCTGCTACGCTGTTTACATACAAAAGACATTCAGCGTGCATTTTATACTGCACCTACAAAGCAGGCTGCAGAAAGAGGGGGTCGAAAGGAAAAAACAGTAATCCATTTCAAAGGGGACGGTGCATTTCCTGCCCCCCAGTCCCACACCCCGGGGGATGGAGGTGGGGCTGCAAAACTCTGTTCTCTAGAACGTTAAGGCTTTCCCAGTATACTCACCTTGAGCTAGCAGAGTTCCTTGCACAGCACAGCAAAAATACCTGTGAGCCAATATGAATTGCCTTGGCCTCAAGCTTTTTATTTTTTAAACAAAATAACAAAACAAAACTCGGAGAGCAATCTTCCAGTTCTAGTAGAATACTAGACCTTCTCACATGTCTCAGAGCTTCTCACATCCCCCAGCACAAACTCTCAAAGTGGCATTTCCACGCCTTTCTCTGCGCACAGCTTTGTTTAAAAGTCCCAGGTTGTGTGGAGGGGCAGCCCAAAGCGACTGATTCTCTTTTGTCTTATCAGTCTGGGTCCCCGACACGCTACCTTCGGTTTCAGGCTGCCTAGGACCGGAACCAGGGATCGCACCGCAGCCCAAGGTACCAGTTTCGGGCGGGCGGCCTGGCCCGGCAGGGAGATGAGGTCCCCTTTCTTAACAGCAAGCTAACGCGGCGGTCCCCTGGAGCTGCTCAGCGTCCCAGCTTCTAACCAGCTCCTATGGAATCCAGGTGCGGCTTAAATCTCGCACACTGGTCCCCTAAACTTTCAAAACCACGTTTATGGGCAAAGCCCTGCCGGCTGGTTGTCGGCGCGCACACACATGCCCATCCCAACAGATGTCACCCGAGTACTCGCACTTGCTGACAGATCGCATTCCGAGGCTGCACACCTCCACCTCCCTCTCTGCCCGAGACACCCTGCACAGTCCAGGGCAGTTCTCGGGTACTCAACACCCCTCAGCTCACCCCACCTCACTCTCCCGCGCGCGGCCCAGTGAGTACTGGGCTCGCTCGGGGCGACCCCCCGTTGGGGGCTCCTACCTGTGCGGCCGCGCTGCGCTCCGGGCCCGGGCAGCGAGGGGAGTGCGCAGGGGAGGGCAGCCCCGTGGGTCTGATCTGGCGAAGTCCGGCAGCGGCCGCGGCGGCAGGAGGAGGAGGAGAAAGGGAGGGAAAGGGGGAGGGCGAAGGGGGGCGGAGGAGAGAGCTGAGGGAGGCGCGAGCGCTGAGCCCAGCGTTGCGAGCCCGGCGGTAGAGCGCGCAGCGCAGCGAGGTCCGCGCCCCCTGCTCCAGGGGCCCTCTTTGCCGCCCCCGCTTGCCCTCCCTTGCCAGCTCCTCGTTTCCCAGACTCGCGGGGACCCCACGCCAGAGAGGACACGTTGACATGTGATGTCCTGGATGCGCTTCAGCCTTGGGGATGCTCCCACTCTCTAGTGCGTTTTCTTCTTCTCTGAGGAGGGGAACACAGCATCTCCCTCAGAGACCAGAGGGTTCTAGAAACTGCTGTTACTTTTTTTCCCAATAAGTGAATGCTAGGAGAGTAAATTAACCCCCATTCATAGAACTGTTTCCTTTACCTTTTCTTTCGGATTTTTTTTTTTTTTTGAGGAGGTGTCTGCTTCCACAAATGGAGAAAAATGAGAATTCATCCATTCAACAAATATTTGCCACCTACTGTGTGCTTAGTGTTGGGAATAGGCCAAATAGAACTTGCACTAACAAAATTGTGAGGTGGGGTTTGTTTTATGGTCTCTCAAACCTCCCTTTATGATAACAAGTGTTGGCAAGAATGGAGAAAAGGGAATGCTTGTATGCTGTTGGTGGAATGTAAATTAGTACAAACATGATGGAAAATTGTATGGAGGTTTCTCAAAAAACTGAAAGTAGAATTATCATATGATCCAGCAATCTCATTTCTGGGTATTTACTGGGAAGATTTGAAATCAGTGTGTTGAAGAGACGTCTGTACTTTCATGTTTATTGCAGCACTATTCACAATTGCCAAGATATGGAATCAACCTAAGTGTCCATCAAGGGATAAATGGATAAAGAAAATGTGGCATATATGTGTGTGTGTATACAAATATAATATATATTATATATATAAACACATATATATATAAAATATGTACACACATATATTTTAGATATATATGCGTTTTTAAGGCTAAATAGTATTCCATTGTGTGTGTGTGTGTGCGCGCGTGCATGTGTATATGAGCCCATTCTTCTGAAAAGTATCTTTCAAGCCAGGCAAAAATGGCAGTTCACTTGAATAATTTGTATGGTAAATAGAGAAGACTTACAGTTTGTTTTAGATATTTACTCCTAGACATTTAATGTTAGTGTACTATCAAGTAAGCCTAGACTGAGTTTAGCTTCACCACTTGGCTATGTAGCCCTAAGCAAGTTAGACACTCTCTTTGATCTTCAGTTCTACCATTAATAGAAGGAAGATGATGCCACTTACCTTACACATTGCTGCAAGGATCAAAGGAGATCGTGTCTCCACAGCGGGATACTCAAAAATAGTTATTATCTTGTCCTTTAACCATGAATTATTAGGCATACAAAATTTAAAAGAGAATAGTATTCCATTTTATGTGTCTGTGTGTATGTGTGGAATACTATTTAGCCTTAAAAAAGAAATTCTGTCATTTGTGACACCATGGATGGAAGTGGAAAACATTATGCACAGTGAAATAAGCCAAATGTAGAAACACAAATACCACATGTTCTCAAGTATCTGAAAGTAACTTAAAACAATTGAACTCATAGAAGCAGAGAGTAGAATGGTGGTTACCAGAGGCTAGGGTTGCAGGGAATGGAGAGATAACAGTCAAAGAGTGTAAGCCTCAATTAGATAGGATGAATAAGGGTTGGGTGCAGTGGCTCATGCCTGTAATCCCAGCACTTTGGGCAGCCAAGGTGGGCAGATCACCTGAGGTCAGGAGTTCAAGACCAGCCTGGCCAACATGGAGAAACCCCATCTCTACTAAAAATACAAAAATTAGACACGTGCCTGTAATCCCAGCTACTCGGGAGGCTGAGGCAGGATGATCGCTTGAACCCCGGAAGGCAGAGGTTGCAGTGAGCTGAGATCATCCCTCTGAGTGACAGAGTGAGACTCCATCTAAAAAAAAAAGAGAGGAAAAGTTTGATTTTTTTAAAGTTCAATTGCACGGTGTCGTGAATAAAGCTGATAATTGAGTACTGTATATTTCATTATCACTAAGAGAGTAAATTTCAAATGTTCTCATCACAAAAAATGTCAAATATTTGAGGTGATGGATATATTAATTAGCTTGGTTTAATTATTACACATTGTATTAAAAAATCATAACACCTTGTACCCTATTAATATATACAACTATAATTTGTCAATATATAATAAAAAGTCTCCCTTTTTATGGGTTTCTTTTTTCATCTATAGCTTCTCTTTTCTTCACTTATTGACTTAGTGAAATCTCCAATACTGCTCATTCAAAGTTGGGCATTTCACTTTCACCTTTCATAGTGGAATTTCAGGAATCTGGAGAGAAAAATCTTTTTTTCTGTTTTTATCAAATCATACCACACAAATTGCAGTTACCTCTGAAGGCTCCAACTCTAAAGTCATACTAATAGCTTGCTTCCAAGGCAGCTGTCTTCTAAGAAGCAAATGGCCAAATACAATTTCATGAATGAGAAAACTTACAAACTGAAGGGGTTAAAACTTTGACTCTGTCCTTGAGCAGGAGGCAGAGCTCAGGAGGAGAGGAAAAGCTCCTTTCCTTTCCTGCTGACTCAAGGTGGGAGGGTGGTAGCGACTGCAGGAGAGGGAGGTTATCAGGTGGAAGCTGCTCTCTTTATCTCTGGGGTATCCAGTGTGGGTTACCTAGACATTGCCAGTTTGGTAGCAAGCCACACAGTATTGGACAAGATCAGAGGGGAGGTGTACAACCCTCCCTAAACCTTACTTGAGTATACAGAGTTTTGGTAATTGTATCAAATATTTTTACTATCAAAATTCTAGTGTTTTCCCCCAAGTCATTAATGACCTCCAGATTTTTTTTAAATGGATCTTTACTTTTTGTACAGTAAGAAGATCTGTGCACATGGTTTTTCCTGTTTCTCTTAAACTCTTTCTACCTGTTCCCAGCCACTTTTCCAGAAAAATGGGGTGAAAACTCTCAAATTTATATCTCCAGCCTGGAACTGTTCCTATATATCCAGCTGCCAACTTGCTATCTTCATTTGGACATCTAATGGATGTTTCAAACTGAACACAACTGCTGTTATCATCCCCCAACCTACTCCACCCACCTTCACCATCTCAGTTAAAGCAGTTTCATCTTTCTATTTGCTCAGATTCAGGACCATGGAGTCATCCTTGATTTCTCTTTTTCTGAGATATCCTGCATTCTATCCTTCAGGAAATTCTGTTGGCTTCACCTTCATGATATATCCAGAATGGAACCACTTCTCATCACCTCTTTTGCAACCACTCTGGTCTAAGCCACCACCATTTTCCAACTGTATTATTGCAACATCCTCCTAATTGGTCTCCTTGTTTACAACCTTGTTCTCCTGCAGCCTTTTTGCAGTGGGAGTTCATATGAATGAAATCATAGAGTAAATACTCTTTCGGGTCTGACTTCCTTCACTCAGCATGTTGCTTGAGATGCATCCTTGTTATTAGGTGTATGAGAAACACATTCCTTTTTATTGCTGAGTAGTATTCCATTGTATGTATATACCCTGATTTGTTTGTTTACATCTTAATAGATACTTGGATTGTTTATGAATAAATCTGTTACGGACATTCACTTCTAAGTCTTTGCTGGGATATGTTTTCTTTTAGATAAACGCTTAGGAGTGAAATTGCTGTCATATGGTAGGGGTATGTTTAACAGTATAAGAAAGTGTCAAACTGTTTTATAAAGTGAGTGTGTTATTTTATGTTCTTACCAGCAATATGTGAGATTCAATTTGCCTGAAATCCTTGCCAACTTCTGGTATTGTCAGTAATTTACAATGTTAGCCATTCTGGTGGGTGTGTAAGTGGTATTTCACTGTGGTTTTATTTTACATTTCTCTGATGTCCAGTGATGTTGAATTTTGCTTTTCGTATGCTTATTGTCCATCAATATATTTTATTTCAAATTTGTGTTCATTTCTTTATTTTTTGGTCTTATTAGTTGTAAGAGTTTTTAAAAATAGTCTTCCTGCAAGTCCTCTTCAGATTTACATTTTTCGAACATTCTTTCTAGTCTTTGTCTTGTCTTTCCAATTTGTTAATGCTGTCTCTTGAGAGCAAACATTTTAAATTTTGATAATTTTTTTTTTTTTTTTTTGAAATGGAGTCTCCCTCTGTCACCCAGGCTGGAGTGCAGTGGCACTATCTTGGCTCAGTGCAACCTCCGCCTCCTGGGCTCAAGCAATTCTTCTGCCTCAGCCTCCTGAGTAGCTGGGAATACAGGCGCACACCACCACACCTGGCTAATTTTTGTATTTTTAGTGGAGACAGGATTTCACCATGTTGGGCAGGATGGTCTCGATCTCCTGACCTTGTGATCCACCTGCCTCGGCATCCCAAAGTGCTGGGATTACAGGCGGGAGCCACTGCACCCTGCTGGATGATTTATTTAATGGAGTCCAACTTTATGGATTCAAACTGGATGCATGGATTTAGCAGAATGCAAGTGGAAATTGCAGTAAATTCACCTTCCTAAAATTGCTCTGAGCTCAGAGGAATCTGAGATTTTAAAGATTTGGGCTGGGCACGGTGGTTCACACTTGTAATCCCAGCATTTTGGGAGGCTGAGGCAGGTGATTCACTTAAGGCCAGGAGTTCAAAACCAGCCTGGTCAACACAGCAAAACCCCTTCTCTACTAAAAATACAAAAATTAGCTGGGCATGGTGGTGCGCGCCTGTAATTCCAGCTACTCAGGAGGTTGCAGTGAGCCAAGATCACGCCACTGCACTCCAGCCTGGGTGACGGAGCAAGACTGTTTCAAAAAAAAAAAAGGAAGATTTGAAGATGTATGTGGTGACAAACTCATAATTTTAGAAGAGATTCACAGATGTTGATGATCACACACTGAGCACTATGATCTATGTCTCTGTATCCTTTGGAATGTGTGTCTTAATCAAACATGTACTATCAGTGTGGCTGAGTCTTAAGAGTGCTTAATCAAAGTGTAGAGTAACTGTGTTCAACGGGGACCCACAGTGGGCATCCCTGGCATGCTAGAGACCAAGATATGAATCACAGAATTAGCCCACAGTTTCTGGCCATGTATCCAAACCAGGCAACATTTGGGTCCACTTGATTTGTGAAAGTATATTCTCCTAGGAAACTGCTGAAGGAGAAGCCAAGGCTGGAACCAGAATTGATGGAAAAAACCCTCTCCTTCTTACAGAAAGAATTCATTTAAAAACACTAGTATTCTTACTGAATTGATAAAAATGGATCATTCACTACTGATAGCCCTATAATGGACTCTTGCAAGAATAATGTTGATTAAATTATTTATTTTCTTGGACTGCTTTCTTATTGATGCATAAAAATTCAGTATTTTTGAATAGCAGAATTTACATTATCCATGAAAATATTCCCATGATGAATACACATTTGGATTTCTGATATGCTTTATATTACTGAAACAAGTCTTTGAAAGAGATGGTTTTTAATTTTTTTTCTAGGGCTAAAATTCTTTGTTTCTATGTTGTCTTTTTGTCAATGATTTGGAGTTTGCATCAGGCCAAGAGAAGACATGAACTTAGGCAAGTCTTCAACAGATGCTAAGTCTTTTCTTTAAAAAATCCACATTACACATAAGCAATTTTAAATTTGTACATAGAAGATAATGTGTAGTTATTAAATTGATTGCTAAAATATGCCCCAAACATTCACTCATGTGACTGGTGGCCTGCGCATTAGAAGAGGACTCATTGAAATATATGGAGGTTGGATTGCAGCTTTGGCCTCAAAGAATATTGGCAAATTTGCATTTACGCAACATTAATTTGCCTCAAGTATGTCACTGGTGAGTTCTTTGTTTTAGTGAGTGCCAGATGTATTCTTCTTCAGAATATACTTGGTGAAACTCTCTTTCTGAATGCCAAACGGACATGAGAAAACTTTCAGTCATCTGGAGCTTGTAAATTGTTCTAAAATTTTTGGAATTTTATTGAAGGCTTGATTTCATCATAAAGCAGAGAATACCTTGGAAGAATAAAAAGCAAATCAATCAGAAATGATTGGAACCAGTAATTAGAATTTCCTTGGAGAGAGAAAAATGTATGATGTAAATCTACTGCCTTGCAAAAAAGATTGCTTTCTAACAAGTTATCAGATCTTACAGAGCAACTTCAGATGCGAACACAGATGTGAAGCTGTTTTTTTTTTAATTGTTGTTTTCAGCTACAAGTTCCCAACTCTCTCCTTTCAAACTTAGATATCCGGAAACTTCATTTGGCTAATCAAGGCTGATGGGGTTTCAGGATGATTGTATTATGGAGCATGAAATTAGAAATAATACCCATGAAAATTAGTAATTTTATTTCAATATGTAATTTAAAGAACTGGATCATCACTCCACTTTTGTCAATTTGGAACATTTTCATAATATTTTGTTGATTTTTAGAATTTTCTTTTTTCTACTTTCCAACTTTATTTTACCTTACTTGAATTATTTTTTCCTTCACTTAGTGGATGAAAAGTACAGAAATGCTCTTCATCTGTCTTTTTGTGAACAGTTAATCTTATATCTTGATGCTGATTACAGATAACAAAACAGATTTTAAAATATCTTTGAAAATATTTAAATTAATTTTTAGAGAACAATGGTTTAAACAAAATCATAGATATTTTGTATTTGCCGACATTTAGAATTAAAAAATATATAGCATTAATAAGACTGATTTGTTACTTTTTTTCTCTAGTATGTCATATCCTATACCAGTGGAACTGCTGAGACCAAAGCCTAAAAATGCAATGGATGTTATTATTTTCTCTCTGCTCTTCAAGGAACTTTAAAGCATAAATTATTTTGATAAACTAGCATTAACTTCTAACTTCTCTCACTGTAGAATGTGGAAAGGCTTAAAAAATAACCCACAAACTTTTCTGCTTGAAATTTATAATATGCTGCTAGCAGATAATTTATAAAAAATGGCATATTTGACTTTTATTGTTGACTAAATAGGGCAAATGTAGAAACTCTATTCAAGGTAAGAGGTTAAAAGTTTATATATCCACAGAGAGATATTGCAAGGAAATTGCTTGGATTTAAGTGTGTGTGTGTGTGTGTGTGTGTGTGTGTGTGTGTGTGTGTGTTTTGTAAAGAACTCTGTTCAAGAAGATGCTTCAATTATAGTTAATTTTTAAAAGGGCCAAGAGTTATAAAACACTTGAATTTGTTCAATTCATTTGGAAAAATGCTGGGATCAGAAAGAACTTTTCAATCTGATTTTAAAATTGGTGAATTTCGTTTTATGATTAAAAAGAAAAAGAACAAAAAGGAGATCTTGGCAGCCATTTTCTCCAACTCCCTCATGAAATTTAAAGCTTAGACGACTTATCCAAGTTAACACTAGTAAGTGGCAGAACCAAGAGTAGGACCACAAGTCTTAACTCCTCATTTTTGGAGCATTCCACTTCCCCACTTCCCTGCCCTATCTCTTTATTTACAGCCTCCTTTGTTGATTTGACATAATTAATCTTCATTATCATCATCCATCCATCCATCCAACTCACATTTGACTGAGGAATGTTTCCAGCCCTTAGGGAGCTGTTGGGTGGAGTAGACATGAATGAAATGGATGTTATCTCTCTCTTCTGCTAGGCTGTGATCTTTCGGAAGGCAGGGACTATGTTTGTCTACCTCCTTAGCAGCCCATATTACAGTATAGGCTCGACAAAGCTTCGTGCAGAATGCACTTTGCCTTGGGAAATTTCTCCACCTGACCCTGTACTATGAATCCTGTTGTCTGTTTTGATTTCTGTCCCATTGCTTCCTACTAGGAGTCTTCTTCTCATCTTATACCCCCTCTGTAAGACAATTCACTTGGCCAGCCTGGCTTTAATTCTGGCATCTCTCCTAGAGATGACCTTTTACATTATTGTCGCTCAGTTCTCTGCTCTGCAGACCTTGGGCTAGTGACCCTTATGTCTGCCCCTGCTGCAAACTTCCAGGACATTGGCCCCAGCCCTTACTAATGCCCAAGCCTCACCTGTCTGGGAGCTGAAATTGATAGTCTTATCTTTGTATTGCTGAGCAAAAGCATATGACCTGGCACTTGGTGGATACTCCCCAAATGTTTGTGAAAATAAATCATAAAGATACTTCATGGTGTCATATTTGTCGTCATCCTCCTCATTTTTTTTAATTGAACGTTTAGCTAGGAGAGACCATATTACATACCATGTGTGATATAAAATGGCTTATGGTTCAATTAGTCACACTCAGATTCATAAATAAAACTTAATATGAGTCTTAAAATTCCAGACAGTTGGTTTAAATAAAAATTGTAGGAATAACTGTTTTTATTTCCTCCTCTGTGTATTGTGAAGACTTAGTTGAATATAAATTTATGCTATATTAAGGAGTTATTTTCTCTCTAAGGAATTATGTAAATCAGTGAAGAAGATGAGGTTATACTAAACATACATGGTAAATTTCTATCACTTAGTCTTCTTTCAAACACTTCCAGAAATCCTGGGCTAGAGCTAATTAATAACTAATAACTACCAAATAAAAAAAAATGTTTGAATAAGCTATATTTTAGACAAAATAGTACTTCTTTTTCTTCTGAAGTATATTAAGCAAGTATAACAATAGGCTTAAAAATGACCACCTTGATTAAAAGTTTATTTTCCATGACTTGCCAACATTTAAAAATGAACTTATGTTTCTAAACATTCTGTAGCTTTCTTCTTCCTTTTGACTCATTAGCAATATTTGTTTTTTCCTGATTATAGAAGTAGCAAATGCTCAATGTAGACATTTTATAAAACATACAAAAGTATAAAGCTGTAAATTAAAATCATCCATAATAAAAATGGCTTAATACTATTAACCATTGTTAACATTGTTGTATATTTTCCAGACTTTCTATGTGTTTCCATTGGCTTTCTCCTTCTCTCTCTCTCTCCATACTTATTCTATGTATATATGTGACTTTTTCACATGGGCACCAAAGTGGCATTGCATTAGACGTCACTATTTACATAGTCAATAGCAGAAACACCTTCTTGAACCTAGAGGCTCATAAGCACCTTTCCTTAAGAACCATTGTGTGATGCTTTGGCCAGGGGAACAAATCCGGGTGATGATACTGCACTCAGTTCATGGTGCTACCTTCTTTTCCTCCTCCCCAACAGCTGTGTCTGTTATTGAATTAAGTGTGGGTTTTCCCGAGGTGGTTTCCAAGTCTCTCAATGAAAATCACTTTACAGCAGGCCCACACCACTGGTTCAATCAATTCAAACTCATATGTATGAATTATAATGGAAAACATGGTATAACTATCTTTATCAAATTATACTTGAGTTTGCAAAGTGACCTATTAGTTGGTGATAAAAAATAGGATTTTGAACTTTTATCACAGAGTGAAGAGCTTTTGAATATTTGTGAATTTTAGACTTCTGTTTAGATTATCTTTGAGAAGTTTTGCTGTTCTGGCCATATGCTGGCTCTTACTTGCTGTGCCTAATCACTATATCTTCCTTCTTTTCCTAGCATCGTCTATGTGTCTTTCCTTCCTAACATCTTTTATCCCCTCATTAATTTTTCTACTAGCTGTTGAGGAATGCCAGATTTCTGGGGTTTTTGTTTGTTTGTTTGTTTGTTTTGAGATGGTGTCTCGCTCTGTCTCCCAGGCTGGAGTGCAGTGGCTCGATCCTGGCTCACTGAAACATCCACCTCCTGGGTTCAAGCAATTCTCCTGCCTCAGCCTCCCAAGTAGCTGGGATTACAGGCCCATGCCACCATGCCCAGCTAATTTTTATACATTTTTAGTAGAGACGGGGTTTCACCATGTTGGACAGGCTGGTCTCAACCTCCTGACCTTGTGATCCACCTGCCTCAGGCTCCCAAAGTGCTGGGATTACAGGCATGAGCCACCGCCCTCGGCCTAAATGCCAGATTTCTTAAACCAACATCATTGTATCTACATGGGATAAGTAACAACTGGGTCACAGAAAATAAGGCTACCTTTGTTCCTTTTTTCTTCTTTCTCTACAAATAACCTTGAAACTAGAGTTGAACAACTTAATAATTAGTTTAAGTGAAATAAAACATTTCATAGTTGTGTAAAGGGAGCTGGTTTTCTGTCTCCTATATTTCAGCCTGAAGATCATTTTTCAGACCCCTCTTATTCCAATGTTCTCATATTTATCAAAGGCCTAGCAACATTAAACGGGCACTAGATCTTTAATTCTTTGTCCTCCTATGCCATTAGTATTCTTTTTATGATTTGACTTCAGAGCTGAAGGCTCTAATACCACTCCTCCATTGTATCGAATTTCTGAAACATAGGCAGACAGACAGACACATACCCACTCACATTTAATAGCAGAGCTGTGTCAGGAATCACGTTTTCTTGCTTCTTATCTCATATAATATTCATCCCTCCCTTCATTCTTGAGGGCTTTTTGAGTATCTCCATTGCTCCAGGCCCTCAGCTGAGTGTGAGGGATACAAAGAAGACCCAGTCTCTGGAAGGGGAGATGGACAATGCTTAATTCTGTTTGAGGAGTCAAAGGCTAGTAGAGCAAGTGATGCTTGATGTGGAGTTTCTCTCACTTAGTCTTCTTTCAAACACGTTCATAAATAGATTTCACAGGAAGATAGGGTTTTACCACACAAACCCTCTAGGGTTGGATGTTTTAGAAAGAGGAAACAGCATGTGCAAAAGCACAACGACATTGTAACATTCTTATGGGAACCATGAACACTTGGGTTTTGTTTCAATATAGGTGCAAGGTAGAGGGGGATGGTGGAAGATGAAGTTGAAGATCCAGGAAAGGGTGAACTAGTGGGTCCTGAGGAATGGCTTGGACTTTGTGGTTGATGGGCACCATTAAAGAGTTTAGAAAGGGTATTGATAACTCAGACTTAAATGTTATAAATATTACATTGCTGGTAGGGGGAGTGGTGGGTGAATTCTTGAGAAGAGGTGTGAAGTTAGAGGCAGTTGGAAACCTATCTGAAATTTTCAGGTGATGGATGGAGAGAAGATGTCAGAGCTGGGGTATGTTAAGGAAGCAGTCTGTTCAGGACATGAAGATAGTGAGAGGAAGAAAGTTCAGATGACTCTTGGGTTTCTTTCTCAGGAGAACAGGTGGACGGTGGTGTTATTAGCCACTAGACTAGAGGAAGAACCAGACAAGAAAAAGAGTTGGGAATGAAAGAGAAAGAGAGAAAAGCTGTTGAAGTCTCATGAGCACTGAGGACTGTTTGTTCTCCCAATTGGAAATGGGTCTAAAATACTGGCTTTAAGACACATAGGCTGCGTGCAGTGGTTCACAACTGTAATCCCAGCACTTTGGGAGGCTGAGGTGGGAGGATTACTTGAACTCAGGAGTTTGAGATCAGCCTGGGTAACATAGTGAGATTCTGTCTCTATAAAAAATAAAAATAAAAATAGCCCAGCATGATGGTGTGTATCTGTAGTCCCAGCTACTAGGGAGGCTGAAGCAGGAGGATTGCTTGAGCCCTGGATGTCAAGGCTGCAGTGAGCCATGATTGCACCACTGTACTCCAGCTTGGATGAGAGAGTGACACCCTGTCTCAAAAAAAAAAAAAAGACACATAATATACATTTGAAAGATAGTTATCCAGCCCTGAGGAACTGTTTATAATAACAGAGTAAAATGATAAAGGCACACTATTGGACTAAGAGTCAAGAGATTGTTTGATTTTTGCAGTAATAAGCTGCTGTCAGATATTCATTACATCTAAATCTAAACTCCGTGAATGCAAGGGCTGTTTCTGTCCTGTCTACTTCTGTGTCATTGCCATGAAATAGGTTCTCAACAAAAATTTATTGGATGAATTATTGAATGACTAGTTAGGTTTGTCTACTTAGCTAAGAAGCTGTGGTTTCATTGAAGAATCTCACAGAATGCACAACACAAGGATATTGTCAATAAAACTGCTTCCTTTATCCCATTCCCTTGTTAATTAACTTCAACAAATGCTTATCATCTTCCTTTTGTGACTCCAGTTTGGTACCATTTTCTTTGAAATATTGAAAAACCTGAAGAGACTGCTTGCTTAATGCTTAATGGATCTTGGAAGTGTGGTAGTGTTAATTTGTATATGTTTTAGTCTTTCCAATTAGATTTTTTTTTTTTTTAGTTGGAGTTTCACTCTTGTTGCCCAGGCTGGAGTGCAGTGGCGCAATCTTGGCTCACTGCAACCTCCGCCTCCCCAGTTCAAGTGATTCTCCTGCCTCAGCCTCCCAAGTAGCTAGGACTACAGGCACCTGCCACCATGCCTGGCTAACTTTTGAATTTTTAGTAGAGATGGGGTTTCACCATGTTGGTCATGCTGGTCTTGAACTCCTGACCTCAGGTGATTCGTCCACCTCAGCCTCCCAAAGTACTGGGATTACAGGTGTGGGCCACCATGCCCGGCCTAGTCTTTCCAATTAGATTTCTTAAAGTACACATTTCCAAATGTGTCTTATTCTTTTGAATCCCTATTTCCTTTGGACAATGGTGAGATTTTAAAACACATAGAATGTTTAAGACACGCCCATATGCAAAAGTCTTTTGCAAACTAAAATGAACGTGTATTTCTGATATTATTTGTAAGCAGTAATGCATTAAGTCTGACTAGCCTCCAATTTGTGGAAATAAGGTTTATATGAGAAAGCTCTGAGTCATAGATTTGAAACTGATTAATAGACTGTTCCTAGATTATAAAATCATTATAAAGCCAATGACTGTATGACCTTCAAGTAGCTTGTTAAGTCAGTAAATTCTGTGAAAAAGAAAACCTAATAGTCAAACTATTTATGGGCAGTCATGTAGATTAAACTATTGGTTTTACTGCTATGCAGAGATACCACTTTTAATTCGATAATCAGAATTAATTAGGTGATTATGTGCTGGCTAACTGCTAATGTATTTTATTTGAAATTGTTAAATATATTTTGGTTGTCGTAATTGAATTTTATGAGTAGAAATTAAAACTTAGTCAAATGTCTATGTAAAATCATCTGGATGATTTGTGTGTGTGTACTTGTGTTATTTACTTATACTTACAATTGTCTGTTTTTTAAAAATTTATTGAGCCTTTAGTTTTCCTACAGATATTTGGAAAACACAGGGTTTACCACCTTGTTATTAATGATATTACAGTCTGGAGGGGTTATCAAACATCTGAACAGGCAATTATAACTCAGTTTGATGGGGCTAACACAGAGAGTGCAAGGAAGAGGCAATCAACTCAACTTTGGGAGTCCAGGGAATGCTTGCTTCCCATAAGGAGGAACATCTAAGAGGAGTCCTAGGGGACAAGTTATCCAGGTGTATTAGTCAGAGTTCTCTAGAGGGATGGGACTAATAGGACAGATGTATACATGATAGGGAGTTCATTAAGAAGCATTGACTCACATGATCACAAGGTGAAGTCCCACAATAGGCCTTCTGCAAGCTGAAGAGCAAGGAAGCCAGTCCAAGTCTCAAAACCTCAAAAGTATGGAAGCTGACAGTGCAGCCTTCAGTCTGTGGCTGAAGGCCCAAGAGCCCCTGGCAAGCCACTGGTGTAGGTCCAAGAGTCCAAAACCTGAAGAACATGGCATCCAATGTTTGAGGGCAGGAAGCATCTAGCACGGGAGAAAGATGGAGGCCAGAAGACTTAGCCAGTCTAGTCCTTCCATGTTCCTTTGCCTGCTTTTATCCTAGCCATGATGGCAGCTGATTAGATGGTGCTGGCAGCTGATTGAGGGTGGGTCTGCCTCTCCTAGTCCACTGACTCAAATGTCAATCTCCTTTGGCAATACCCTCACCAACATACCCAGGAACAATATTTTGCATCCTTCAAGCCAATCAAGTTGACTCTCAATATTAACCATCAATCAGGCCAAGGGAGGAAATGGCTTCATGAAGATGCAGAGACCCTTCAGGAGATCCATAAGCAGTTCGTCGTGAATGGAGTAGAAATTAAGGAAGGGAAAATGGGAATTAAGGCCAGAGAAATAAACTGGGGTTGGTCATGAAGGCCCTTATTTGTTAAACTAGTCAACCTGGGCTGCATGGTTCTGTATAGGTGCTGTATTGGGTTTTGTTTAAATATAGGTGCAAGGTAAGGGGAATAGTGGAGGATGGAGTTGAAGATCCAGGAAAGGGTGATTTTGTGGGTTTCAAGGAGATTTTTTTTTTCAGTTGTATAGACTAGATTTAGAAACAGTGGTCACTGTTGACCTTGAAGAGAACAGTTTGTGTGTATGGAGGACTGGGAGTGGAAACCAGACTGTGTAGCAGGTTGAAGAGTGAATAAAAAATGATGGAGTAAAGACAGTGGTTGTTGTCAAGTCCAGAAGTTGTTTGATTTATGAAATATTTAAGGTTGGTATGTCATGAAATGTTCAGAATTAGGTATGGAACTATAGGTTGACTATAATAACAAATGATAGGTCTACCATCATACACAATAGTTTGTATTAGTTTCTTGTCATTTGTTAATTTTAATCGTTTTTCTAACTGCATGAGAATGGAGGATGCTGACCTGAAATAAATAAGCTCAGAGTCAGAGTTTATGGACCACTTCTGAAGAAGATGTAAATCTCTCTCTTAATGTATGCCACTTTTATTTTCCAAGACTATTATTTAAAAAATTAGGTGATAAAAATGTTTCTTCCAAAATCAAGTATCTTTTTATGATCAAGGCTAATGTCTTTTATTTAAGAATTATAATGCATATGAGATTAAATAAGTTTCCATGAAGTTCTGTCTCATAGTGACTAATTGAGGGAACTTAAAAGTAGATTATAGTCACAGCGATAAACAAAATAAGTCATAGAAATGTAACTGTTGAAAGTAGACTACTCATTTCATGCAAGAATTTTTGACATTATAAAAGATACTGGCTGTAGAATTTCTTTGGCTCTTTTATACATGTAAAATTATTTGATTAACAACAATTCCACTTTCATAATATTATGCAAAGCAGCCTACCTGTGCTGCAGGTTCTATGTTGTCTACCTTTCAATACAAATTATCTTTTTTCAGGTTATAAGCATTAAAAAATGCAACTAATAGATGATGCTTCTAATGTGAAAACTGCTGTTGGGGTGGATTTATCATGAAGTTAATGAAACTTCAAGGCCCCTTACTTGTATGTACCTAATTTTGTATTTCTAATTTCTAAGGCCTTGCACCTAATTTTGTATTTATAATCTCTTATTCTTTTTCTTAAAGAGGGCCTCCAGGCCGGGCGCGGTGGCTCACACCTGTAATCCCAGCACTTTGGGCGGCCGAGGTGGGTGGATCACGAGGTCAGGAGATCGAGAGCATCCTGGCTAACACAGTGAAACCCCGTCTCTACTAAAGATACAAAATATTAGCCAGGAGTGGTGGTGGGTGCCTGTAGTCCCAGCTACTCGGGAGGCTGAGGCAGAAGAATGGCGTGAACCTGGGAGGCAGAGCTTGCAGTGAGCCGAGATCGCGCCACTGCACTCCAGCCTGGGAGACAGAGCGAGACTCCGTCTCAAAAAAAACAAAAACAAAAACAAAACCAAAAAAAAAACAAAGAAAGAGGGCCTCCAAATTGCATATGCTTCAAACCCATAAAAACCTAGGTTTGCCCTGATTTCTTCATAACAGACAATGCCTAGAGAATCTCAGGTAATTATTTAATGCTTCTACTTTGAACTTTATTAAGAAAACAGACGTAGACTGCTGAAGGGAGAAACATATTTAAGTTTTCAACAGGTGCTAACCAGTAGAGAATATTCTTGAAAACCAAGAAAGGAAGAAATTCCTATAACTAATTTATTTTATTGTTGCATAGCTTTGTTATCTGGGAAGATCCCACAATTTTTGAGGCTCACTGTTTGCTAGGCATCAGTTAATCACAGCAATGCTATGAGGTGGGACCTTCTACTATCTGCACTATGCAGGCAAGGAAGCTGAGGCCTGTAGACTGAGACTCTGAGCCTGCCTGTTAAGAATGTGTTCAACTTTGCTGTGTACGATATTATTCAAATGGTCAATATACACTGTTAAAATGGTCAGCGTTGTCTGTTTGATACCTGAAGAAACTTAACTTCACGGAGACTGGACCTAAAGTCAAGTGCCTCTGGTCAGAGGGAACTATTAGAGGCCATGGCTGGCTCAGGGCACGTCCATGACCACACAGGAAAAGGGACTCCAGGCATACTTCTCTTTAAGAGTGAGCCATCTGTGGCATTATTGGCATATATGAATGACAATTTATTACCTTGGCACATTTTAGATTACTTTTTTGTACCAGAAGGTTTTTGTTGTTTTCCACCTAAGAGGGCATCAGACAACCCAAAAATCCACTGGTTGTCCATAATCAGAATCTTGTTAGTAGATTTGAATGATTACCAAGAAATGAACTTTTTAAGAAAGGAAGGGTCCAGACAAAATAAAATGAAAGAAATGGGGCCAAATTAACTATGGTAATGGGAAAAAGAAACATAAAACATTCAATAAAAATCCCCTTGAGTAGTTTTTTTATATGACCCAGCTACCTGTTGTCACACAAACAGCCTAAGACTGATTTTGTCACTGAAATACTCAGTGTGAGGAGGGCTTGTGGTAGACATAACCAGCATAGGAATCTCATTTATTCTAAAGCCATCCATGAGTAGCTGAAGAACCGCTCATCCCATTTTTTGCCTAGCCATCAAAGTGTTTATATTGCCTAAATGGAGTCGTGTTATTCTATAGAACCAAGGGTATGTTTAGTTGAATCCTCGTGTGGTGATTGTATTTTCAGGCTGGTCCCTGGTCTTCAGAATGCTTTCTAGAAGCCTGGAAAGGGTTTGTTGTTTGTTACAGGCCTTTTCCAGACTGCTAAACTACCTCCTCCCAGTTTCTCCCAGCAATAGTTTTATTTTTAAAGAGCACTCGATACTCCAAGTACAGTTCATTTTTACATTTCAAATTTGAGCTCTGATTTTTAGAAAAAAATAAAAAGTCAACATCCGGGGTCAGGCAAAATCTACTTAGTTTTAGTAAGATCTTTCTTTTAAGTAGGTTTAGTTGATTTTGTCTTTTTTCCTTTTCTTTTCTGATTATACAATTTTTTTGAGAAGTTTGGTAGGATATTGGTTTGAAACCAGTAAATTTTTGAGGGCACTCTATAATGTTATTCTATAATACTTTTTTAGGTCTTTGTATTTGGTAAATAACCAGAAAAAAAGTCTTCTGTTAGAAATTTACCAAATCATTTTATAGCTGAAAGAATGGCTTCTGAATGTTATATTTACCCTAAATAGCTGACAGATTTATCCCTCCAATAACCTCCCACTCCTGTCCCCTAATCCCCTACCTTCTAATTTTGCCTTAGCTAGTCATGGATAAATAACAGTTCGTGATGGCCCTTGGGAACTGTGGGATGCTCTCAGCTGGAATTTAAATTTCTACAAGCAATAATCTCAATTTGTCAGATTTTGGGATCCTAGCCATGTGTACTTCGCATTATTCAATCACCATTCAAAGTCATATCTGTAGGAAAGAACAGGTCTCAACCACATAAATTCAGTCTCTGAATAAAAAACCATACTCATACTCATCACTCATACTTACTCATATACATGGTTGGTCTGATTTCTATTTCATTAATTACTAGGTTGAATGCCTTTTCATATATTTACTTGTATAGCTGTAATTTTTAAGGATGATCTTTTTCAGTGTTTCGCCTATTTTCCTATTGAATCTATTTGTAGAATTTTCAAAAGTAACAACTCTTTATTAGACATTATATAAAAATTTTTCAGTTTTTCATTTGTCTTGATGTTTGTAATATTTTTATATACAGCTTAAACTTTTAACATTTACCTTAAAATTAAATATATCAATTATACAAAAGACTGTATAAATAACATACATATACTCTTTGAATAATAATAAAACAAGTAACCCTATACTCACTTCCCAGGTTAGGAGTCGTACATTTTCAAAACTTTGAAGCCTGTATGAACTCCTATTATATCACATTTCCTGTTCTCTCCAGAGATAATGGATGTTTTGAATTTTGTTCTTATTGTCTTTGTAGTTTTAGAAACCACATACAGATAATTCCTAAACAATGTATTATTTAATTTTATTCATTTTTGAACTATATGTAACTAGACTCATATCTTACAAATTCTTTTGCGACTTCTTTTTTTTTTTGGGAAATTCATTACCCTTTCAGTATCATCCATGTTGATGCATGCTTTTAATGCATGCACGTTATTATACTCTATGGTCATATCACTATTCATTCTGTTGTTTCCGTTTTTTTCCTATTACAAAAATGCAACAATAAACTTTCTTACACATATGTGCAAAAGATGTATTCCTGGATTAGAATTGCTGGCTCATAAGATATGCATATTTTCTTCTTTAAAAATAGCCAAATTGTTTTCCAAAGGGCTTGTATCATTTTATACTTACACCAACAGTTTTTAAGAGTTCTTGTTGTTTCACGTTATTGTTAATGTTTGATATTTTCAGACTTTAAAATCAGTGGTGGCTGTAAAATGGTGGTTTTACTTTGCATTCCTCTGATTACTGATTAGGCGAGCATCTTTTTCATCTATTTATTGGTCCTCTGAGAAATGCCTTTTCACGTCTTTGGACCGACCACTTTGTTATTGGGTTGTTTGTTTTTCCCTTTTCTTTTCTGATTCCAAGGTATTCTTCATAAATTCTGGATACTAATCCTAAGTCAGTTTTATGTGTGAAAAAGGCCGGGAGAGAGTCGCTCTCGGAGGCACTTCCTCCTTCTCTGCTGTGCTCCCAGGAGTTGGTTATTTCAGATGATTTACTGTAATATATCAGCAGTTAATATGAAAGCTCTATAGCTGGAGGTCTTAAATTACAGCATCTGTGATTATCAATTAAAGCGAGATTTGTATAAATTTGGTAAACCAGAAATGCCTCATTGGCATATAAACCCAGTCAATGACCATGGTCTAATATCATCTGGCCAGGCCTGGTGGCTCACACCTGTAATCCCAGCATTTTGGGAGACCAAAGTAGGAGGATCACTTGAGCCTAGGAGATTTAGACCAGTCTGGGCAACATAAAAATATCTCTACAAAAATTTGAAAATTAGCTGGGTGTGGTCCCTGCTACTCGGAAGGCTGAAGTTAGAGAATCACTTGAGCCTGGGAAGTTGAAGCTGCAATGAGCTGTGATCACTCCCACTGCACTTCAGACTGGGCAACAGAGCAAGACTCTCTCTCTCTCTCTCTCTGTCTCACACACACACACACACACACACACACACACACACACACACACACACACACCCCGCCCCCCCGCCACAGAAAATGCCATCTCTCAGTTTGTGACTTATTTTTTCCATTTCCTTTGATATCTTTTGATGTTGTTCTTTAATTTATCAAGCTTTACTTCATGAGTTGTGCTTTTGATTTCTTGTTTAAAGCCTTTTTCCACCCTGAGGATATAAAGATATTCTTCTGTTTATTCCTGAAAGATGTAAAATTTTGTCTTTCACATTTATTTATTTCATACTATTTAATTGCTGTTACACATCTGCAATTTTTGTACATGGTTTCACATGCTGTGGTAGCTGTATTATTGATCCCAATTTGTCACCCCTCCCTGTAACCATATCCTCTGGCATGCAGTTTCAAGTTTCTCCTGTAAAGTTAGATGATACTTCTCCAGCTCTTGGCTTTAGTCACATGGCTTTTTTTGGCCAAGAGAATGAGAAGAAAGACATGAGTTCTGAGCCTAGGCCTTAAGAGGCCTAGTGTGTTTCTGCTTCTTCCATTGCTCAGAGAAGAACATGTCTGAGCTAGTCCACTAGGCCCAAGAGGTGAGCTACACCAGCCACACAGCCTAAGCTGAGCCCAGTTGACTTCAACTGAATACCAGGTCACTTGTAGAGTTTTCTGTGATAATAAACCGTTGCTGCTTTAAACCACTGAGTTTGAGGTGGTTTGTTTTGTAACAATAGTTAACTGATACAGGTATTGATCCAATTTCATTTTTTCCTGTATAAAAACGAATTGTCTCTCTTATCATTATATAGCAATGACTTGAGTCTTTTGGTTTTCTTTTGGTTAGTATTTGTCTGATATGTTCTTTTTTAAAAAAATGTTTTATTTCCATAGGTTTTTGGGGGAACAGTTGGTATTTGGTTACAGGAGTAAGTTCTTTAGTGGTGATTTGTGAGATTTTGGTGCACCCATCACCGGAGCAGTATACACTGAACTTAATTTGTAGTCTTTTTTTTTTTTTTTTTTTTTTTTGAGATGGAGTCTTGCTCTGTCACCCAGGCTGGAGTGCAGTGGCACTATCTTGGCTCACTGCAAGTTCTGCCTCCTGGGTTCACGCCATTCTCCTGCCTCAGCCTCCCAAGTAGCTGAAACTACAGGCGCCCACCACCATGCCCGGCCAACTTTTTCTATTTTTTTAGTAGAGACAGGGTTTCACCGTGTTAGCCAGGATGGTCTCGATCTCCTGACCTTGTGATCTGCCTGCCTTGGCCTCCCAAAGTGCTGGGATTACAGGTGTGAGCCACTGCACCTGGCCAGTTTGTAGTCTTTTATTCCTCATGTCTGGTATGTTCTTTGAAGGAGAGTGTTCAGTCATTTTCATTTACAGTGATTATTGTTGCTTTTGAATTTATCGCTACCATCTTAATTTTCATTTTCTCTTTGCCTTATTTTTTTTCCTTCTTTCAGATTGGTTTGTTATTATGCTGTTTCTTCCATTCTACTTTTTCCTCTTCTAGTTTTTAGTTGTACCTACTGTTTCTATTAATTTTGTGGTTATCTTAAAAATTTTATTATGCATATTTAGCTTAAAAATCTTCAAAGGACATCGCTATCTTCAGGACCTTAGAACACTTTAACTTTGATAACCATTTCCTTTACTATTATTTTATATTTGTTCTATCTTTCTAAAATCCCACAATTTAGACATTGTTATCATTGCAGTGAATTTTTATTGACTTCATCCACATGTTTAGTATATTTTCTCTTGGTATTTCCTTCTGAATTTCATATCTTTCTTTGTTCTATAGTGTTTCCATTAGAAGTTCCTTTAGAAAGGATACGTGGGTGGTAAACTCCATTTTTGCTTGTCTGAAAATGTCTTCATGATGCTTATCTTGAAAGATACTTCTGTTGGGTATAAGATTCCAAATTGAGAGTTATTGTTATTTGGCATGTTGAAGGTGTTATTCCATAATCTTCTGGCTTTCATGGTTGCTCATGGATGTCAGCAATAATTTTATTAATAATCGTTCATTTGTAGATAATCTCTTTTTTCTCTCTGGCTTCTTTTAAGATCTCTTGAACTCAGGTGTGCTGTAATTTCTCATGATGTCTCTAGGTGCGGATTTATTTTCATTTTTCCTTCTTGGCATTGTTATAATTCTGAATCTGAAGATTTATGCCTTTCCACAATTCTAGCAACTTTCTTGCATCTCCTCATTTGCTTCGTTATCTTTGACTGTCCTATTAAATATGTCTCTCTCTTCTGACTCTCTTCTCCAATCTCTGACCTCTCTTTTATATGTAAATCTTTGATTCTTGTTGCTGCATATGGGTACTCAGATTTATCTGTTAACCCATGGGTTCTCTCTTCAGCTCTAACTTGAAGATTAGCTTGACAATTAGGTTTCTAATATTACGATAGTTTCCAGTTTAACGTTTTGTCTTTTTCACCACTGTCTATTTTTATACTCCCTTGTTTCTTCATCATTTTCAGTATTTTTTTCTGTAAACACATTAAACTCATGTATTTTTAAATATAATATCTGATAATTCTAATACCAGCAATTTTTGTGAGTCTGATTGAATTGCATAATTATTCTGCTGACTGTTGTTCATAGTGGCTTGTTTCCTTATTTGTTTTGTGATTTTTATTTGTGAGCTCATAATCATTGGAACTCTATCTGTGGGAAATCTGAGGCCTGGGTTAAAGTTATCTTCTATAGAGAGAATTTAAATTTGCTTCTGCAAGCCAACAGGGGAATGAAACCAAGAGCTACTTTAGTCTGTAATCTTTTTGTTTTCCTCTGCATAGATAATGTGAGTCCTGTTACCAAACCAAAGTGAAAGTTTGCCTGAGACTATGAGTTCTTAGGAATTCTCTTCTTTTTTTCCTTTATGCAGAAACCAGAATCCAGAACCCTTGCTTCGTGAGTCAGTGGGATAGTTTTGTTTCGTTTGTTTGTTTAGTTTACCTTTTTCATTGAGAATATCTCCTTTCATTATTTCAGCTTTGTGGAAATGTCTTGATCTTAATTTCTGTTTTAGGTTGGTCCTGTCTCCTATTCCTCATTAAAATCAATATCTCCAAACTGTAAGAAATCACAAATTTCTGCAAATGCCTCCAGGCAACTGTGCTGTTGAGTGCTTGGTTACCTTTTTGGATTCTAGCTTTTAAATCATTTTTGCTTCTGAAAATTCCTTTATTTTCTTGCCATCTAAGCTATGCTTCTAAAAAGGTTTTTAAAAATGTTTTGTTCAGAATTTTTAGGTATCCTGTACAGAAAAATTCCTTGGGATGCACCATATTGTTGGAATTATAAACCTAGAAGTTTAAAACTTTGAGGTAGTCAGGTGTATCAATATTTTCTTTCATGAATTTTGTTTTCGGTGTTAAGCTTGGGAGGTCCTGCTCCAGTTCAAGAATATCCAAATGTTCAAATACATTTTCTTATTGTAGTTGCATGGTTTTATGTTTTAAATGTTTAAATATTTATTTCATTTGGAGTTAATCTCGATGAAACATGAAAAGTAGGAATCTAATTTTATTTTTTTTCTCAGATAGTTAACTTGTTGTCCCAACATCTAGGTAATTTGTTAAAAAAAAGAAATATAAAATAATAATGGCTAAAGGTATAACTAGTAATGAAAAGGATTGTGTTTTAGTCGAAGTTACAAACATACTTGTTAGATGCATAATATGGAAAACCAATTGTGAAAATGAATAATTCTGTGTTTTTTAAAAGTATGTTGATTTCCTTTGTACTCTGTGAAAGAGGGTGGACTTTTAATTCCTTGGTTTATTCACCAGTTTCTCTAACAGAAATTTTTTTTCTAAAAAATGTCCAGGATACTATAAAATGGAGCATTAAAATAGGAGACTCTGGAGAGCAAAAGATTTTTTGCTGACTCCATGTTTTTTGTTTTTCTAAAATCAGAATCTTGTATATATTGAATTTACCCATTGTGACATAATTATTGATGATCTAGTAGAGAACTAGAAACAGATATGTATTAATTTGGATGGGGAAAATTGGACTTTCTTATTTTCCCAGGAATGACGGCTATGAAGATGGAGACAGAGGTGCATGGATAACCCCTATGGAATATTATTATGCCCTTCCTCATAGATTAAATTTGCGCTTTTTTGTCAAGTTTCCCTTTACCCATGGAATTATTTCCATGCAAACTAGAAAGTCACTGTGGTGAGAAGTAAAATTTAACTTCCAATTGAAACTTGTAGCTTACATTGCCACAGATCCATGTAAGAATAACATGGGTTTTGCATTATGGGCATAATCTCTATCATTCAGCAATTATTTGTTGATCCTTTGAAACTCCATGCTGGGCCTTGCATTGAATAGGAAGAGACTTCAATCCTCATTTATTTATAAGGTGGGAGAACGGGTTAGTTTTATTAATAGAACATATGAATGATTAATCACATAAAAAAGGTCAAAAAATAGAAATACATTTGAAATTAAAAGTGTATGGAAGAGACTTGACCCTCTTTGGCACTTCTGGATTTTATAGTATTTTCCACTTACAGTCAGAGAACTTTGACTGTTATTGCTTAGCCTGGTAATTATAGGTGAACAAGGCAGTTAGAGGTTGGATGGAAACAGGATTGCTTTTACAGACATATTAGAAGTTGCTTTATGGACTACGTTTCTGAAAGCTTGTTTGCTTGTTATTCTTTCCTCATTAAAGAGAATTCTAAGAATTCTGAGAATTCTAGAATTCTAAGCAACAGTTGCAACATCTTTCATATGCCCAGTGTCCAACACAGTGTTGGGAACATAGTAGGCATTCAATAAACACCTGCAAATTAACGGAA